>NC_000004.12:181648653-181951684 GCF_000001405.40 Homo sapiens | reverse complement strand
AACAGTTAATAGATATCTTTGTTGAGTTTACATGTGTCCATCTCCAAGCACAGCAAAGCAGAGGGGCACTGGGTACTGTAGATAAAGCAGAAATGCTGTAGGCTGCCATGATCCTGAAGTGTGGATTTCAAATATGGACTTTGCCGTTCTTCCTTTATTTTGACTACAGAATGAACTGCAAGTCTTAATGCCAGCTGACAACTACACGGTACTCACCAAGTGTCAACCTCTGTCAACATGTCACATGTAAAAACCAGTAGGTTGCATAATTCAGGTCTGTACACTCATGCTAAAGCTCCTGTTTCTAGCACTTCTGATATGCTCTAGAAGACATTGGTTCTTTTCTCTTTGCGACTCTGATTTTGAGACAGGTCCAGGGTTAACAAAAGTAAAATAGAGGCTGTCACCCATATGCAAGTTTTTGTTCAATGAACTTGGAGTGGAAGAAAAAAAATGTGTGTGGGCTTCAAGTAAGACACTGAAGAATGAAAGGCATTGAGTGCAAAAGATATTTTTAAGCATCCAATGTGGGAAATTAATAAAGAAAACTGGGAAAAATAACATTATCCAAATTAAGATTTTTAAAGCTGATCTATGGCTGTATCTTCTTTATTTGTTTGTTTGTTGATGTTTTTGTTTTTCTGAGATATGATCTTGCTCTGTTGCCCAGGCTGGAGTGCAGTGGCGTGATCATGGCTCACTGCAGCTTCCACCTCCTGGGCTCAAGCAATTCTCCTGCTTCAGCCTCCCGAGTAGCTGGGACCATAGGCACATGCTACCATGCCTGGCTAATTTTGTTTATTTTTTGTAGAGACAGGATCCCACTATGTTGCCCAGGCTGGTCTTGAACTCCTGGGCTTGAGTGATCCTCCTGCCTCAGACTGCCAAAGCGCTGGGATTACAGGCATGAGCAACTGTGTCTGGTTGTATCTTCTTAAATAATCTCTTAATGTAGTTTGGAGAATTTTTCAGATGTTGAGAAAATGGATTCACAGTTTGTTAGTAACAGTGCATGAATACAATGTGCCCACAATGAGCACAACAATATTTTACTTCATTTGTTGAGTGTCCACTGTGTTTTGGGCACTGTCCAGGGTGCTGGGCCAACAGCAGGGACCCAGACCAAGTGCCTTCATGGAGCTTCCATTCAACTGGGACAGATAATTGCATAATAAATGTTCAATTAATATGGTGTAACATGGTGTTAATATGCAATGGAGCAAACTATAGCAGGAAAAGGCCGGGGGAATACAGGAAGTGAAAAGTTTCATGCGCGTCCCTGTGAAGAGACCACCAAACAGGCTTTGTGTGAGCAACATGGCTGTTTATTTCACCTGGGCGCAGGCGGGCTGAGTCCGAAAAGGGACTCAGCGAAGGAAGATAAGGGTGGGGCCATTTTGTAGGATTTGGGTAGATAAAGGAAAATTACAGTCAAAGGGGAGTTCTCTGGTGGGCAGAGTGGGGGTCGTAAGGTGCTCAGTGGGGGAGCTTTTTGAGCCAGCATGAGCCAGGAAAAGGGCTTTCACAAGGTAATGTCATCACTTAAGGCAAGGACCAGCCATTTACACTTCTTTTGTGGTGGAATGTCATCAGTTAAGGTGGGGCAGGGCATATTAACTTCTTTTGTGATTCTTCAGGCCATCTGCGTATATACGTGCAAGTCACAGGCGATGTGATGGCTTGGCTTAGGCTCAGAGACCTGAGAAAAAGTGAGGTTGCTATTTCAGTTAGGATGGTCAGGTATGGGCTCTCCGAGGAGGTGGCTGTGCAGAGGCCTGGAGGAAGTGAATTTGAGGGAGAGGAACAACAAGTGGAAAGACCTGGAGGTCAGAGGTCACTTGGCACAACCATAGACCACCAGGGAGGCAGGGGGCTTGAGAGGAGGACTGAGGAGGACTGAGGAGGAACGTGGAGGGTGTGAACTCAGAGAGGGTGTGGGTGAGGGCAGGCCCATTGTGATGATCATTGTGAAGCTTTCACTCTGAGTGAGATGGCCAGCCATTGAAGGGGATACGTAGAGAATGGCAGGCTTGGACTTTCATATTAAAAGGGACATTCTAGCTTTCATGCGGAGGAATAGGGTCCAGGTTATGGCTCTTACAATAATCTGGGTGAGACACATGTTGAGTTGGGCCAGGGTGGTAGAGGTGCAGGTGAAAGAAAGGGAGGTCTGATTTCAAATTGATTTTGAGGAAAATAATAGGATTTGCAGATGGATTGGAAATGTGCTATGTGACAAAGAGAGAAGACAAGGATGACCCTAGGTTTTTGGTTTCATTCATAAGCCAAATCTTCAACAGCAGTTCTTTCTTTCCATCCCTAGTCTTCTGCCTTAAAGGCAAACATGAATAAAAGGTCTATAAAACCTAAACCTTTTGCAGTTGTTCTATTAAGAAGATGATGGACAGAGTACCTCTACTGTCTAGAAATAAATCCAGTTTGTATTTAATTCATTTGAGGAATTGCTCATGAACGGTTACCCATATATACATTCTGCATGTAATGCTGACAAGTTCAATTTCTGCTTGGGTTAATGGCCACATAAATGTCTTTTACATGAGTTAAGGTTGCTTGGAGGCAGGAATGATTTCTAATTTTTTTCTACGTCTGGCATTGCTAGATCAGTTTTTTCAAACTTGCTGTTTAAGGTCTAGCCTCCCCTTTGTACTGGCGGGTAAATCTAATTAACATTAATGAGAGTCCTGTGCACATATTGACAGGATAATAGACCTTTTAGGATGGTTCCTCCCCTCCTGCACTAGCACTCCCCTACTGCATACTAGCTGATTATTTCATTAGGCAGCAATATAAACCCAGGCAGGAGAACACATACTTTGTGGAAATTAAATGGGAAAATCTGCATTCATCCACACTTTCCTTTGCACTGGGGTGAAGACAGTGGGGGTGGGGGTACTTTTCAGCCACCAGAGAATCTAGTTCTCTTCAGACAAAGGCTTTCATAATTTTCCGGCCAGGCGCGGTGGCTCACACCTGTAATCCCAGCACTTTGGGAGGCTGAGGTGGGCAGATCACGAGGTCAGGAGTTCGAGATCAGCCTGGCCAACATGGTGAAACCCTGTCGCTACTAAAAAAATACAAAAATTACTCAGGCATGGTGGCGTGCACCTGTAATCCCAGCTACTCAGGAGGCTGAGGCAGGAGAATCTCTTGAACCTGGGAGGTGGAGGTTGCAGTGAGGTGAGATCGCACCACTGAACTCCAGCCTGGGTGACAGAGCCAGACTCCATCTTAAAAACAGAAAAAATTATTTTCTATTATATAAAAAATAATTTATTGGCTGTGTATGCCAGCTGATAAATTTGTCTAAGCATTTCCTTATTCTTAAGGTTACAAGAAATTAAATTCGTTTTATATCAGCTTATCCTATTAAAATGTTCTATATACAACCAATAGAAGCATTATAGTCTCTATTTTTTCCCCCCGTGAATTAAATTTGGCAAATGAAGAACCTCATATTCTCCTTAAGAGTTAAGTGTGTTTTGTAACCTCCATAGAAATTGGAATAAATTATTGCATGGCTGAAGGCAAATCAGTGGTACCGGTTATAGTTTTCAAACTTCAGTTACCAAATAAAACTGTGTCTCCCTGAGAGTGAGTGCTCGCTTTTCTTTACTAAGGCTGTCTCAGAGAAGAAGCTGCAAGTATGAATTTATTTTTTTTTCCCCTTCCCAAACTTGAGAGGTTGTGAGTCTCATGGAAAAAGTGTGATATACTAGAAATATTGAAAGCCGGCCGGTTTGTTTGAATCTAAACTTTTCCTCTTTGGGGTGGTATCAGATAAATCCATCAGTTAAGAGAACTTGACCCATTTAGCCATGCAACAGCTAAACCCTTAATCCGAACAGATTCATTTTACAGTTCAGATTTTGCCACTGATACTGCACTAATTTAGACTCAAAGGTCAACATGTTAGAGCAAAAAGGGCATTTTTTTTTTCTTTTTTGGCTCTTGAGAACTTGAGGAGCAAAGACTTTCCCATCAAAATAGGTGCAACTATCTGTAAGATCTCATTATTTTCTATTTTATTTATGAACTGAATTTTGCTGTAACTTTATAAGTAACATTTTTCAAATATACAATGAGACGTTTAATACATAAAGAAGAGAATGGTAACACTCCTCAGTATCTTCACTGATTTATTTTATCAACCATCTTTAAGAATATGAATGAGTTAGTGAAAGAGTAAACGGGAAGAATAGAGACAGATTGTAGAAATACCAGCGCTCACATAGGTTTTTGAACAAAAACCAATCACAAGTCTAGGAAAATATCTAGCTTGTGAATCATAAAACCTGTCTATTAAAACAATAAATCTGTCTTTTCTAATGGAATGAAATTTTTCAATAGAAGACAGTTAGTTACTCAATTTTGCATTTTTAAAAATAGCAAAATAGACTTTGTCACAAGTGTACGTAGCATAGTACTTCCTCATCCATATATATCAATTTATTATTTTAAAAGTGTGTTTACATACACTGTCTCGTGTGATTCCCACAATGTACTCATGTTTATAGCTTCTGTGCCTGACTCACAGTAGGCACTGAGTAAACAACTCTGGTAAAAAGAAATAATTATCCTGCGGCTAGGATGGTTATTATGAAGCCCATTTTATAGATGAGGAAGTCAAAGCTCTGAGCATCTTAATGAATTTTCCTAAGTCACAAACACGGTCAGTGATTTACATGGGATTTGAACTCAGTGTTTCTGATGTAACCATAGTGCTTATTACACTGAGGAAGAATAAAAGAATTGTGAGTTGGAGTCAAATATTTTTCTCCATCTAAATCAGACATGAACCAAGGAGTGGATTTTCTATGAGATTTTCTCCCGACTTGATTATCCTTTTTTATACCCACTGCCTTCTGAGTTTGCTCAGAATAAATCATAAATACACGTAACACAAATTCTTTATAAAATATGATTCATTTAGAATAGAACTCTATTCATTCTTTTTTCTCTTCTTGTATTTGTGTATTTTACAAATTATTACCTCCCAGCAATGTAAAAGCCACTAAAATAAGGACCTAGGGGAGATATAAATATAAAGATAAATTGGCCATGGTCTTTGGCCTTGCCCTCAACCCAGAGGTTAGAATACACACTAATGATAAGTATAATATAAAATGGAATGTGATGAATGCAATGAGAGGTTTGGACAAATTAGCAGTAATTCAGAGGTGTAGGGAGCCACTTTCAGGGGCTCTGGGAGGGTGTGGATGAAAGAGGTGTCCTTAGAGCCACGTCTTGAAAGATGAGTGGATTCTGATAAACTGAGATGTGAGATATCCTTCTAGCATGTTGCCAAAAGGTAAAAAGAAAGATAACATCTATTTTTGGCAAGGGTGTATTTTTATGTGGGTACTGTCATACACAGTTGATGTGAGTGTAACTTGGTTAGACTTTTGGAGAAAAACTGAGCAGTAGCTGGTAAATATTAAAATGTATATCACTTGTGGCTTGGTCATTTACTTCCAGGAATATATTCTAGAGATATATTCATGTGTGTATGAGGGTGTAGACTGCATCATCATTTATAATGGTGAAAAATAAAAACAACCTAATTTTCCTTCAATCGGTGACATTCACGTAAACTGAATAATGAAGAAGAACAAAAGTGTGCAACATGGAATTATCTTTATGATAAATAGGAAAAGAGACCAAGTTATGGAACAATAGGGACCTATTTGTATATGTAAAGTTTAAAATGATCACACACAGAAAGGAACAATAAAATATGTGTGTATATATATTTCTCCAGACTGTGTGGGTGTGTGTGTATGTGCACGTGTGCTTGTGTGAGTGTATACGTAGGCATAGGAAAAATGTCTTGATATTTACCAGTCAAATTGATTACCCTCGTTACCTTTGGGAAAGAGTCAAGGAAAACTTCTGTTTTGTTGTACTGGAAATGTTTTACAGATATTATTTATGTATTTTGTAGATAATTAACGAAATATAAAAAGCCAGTGCTCTATCAACATGAGAACAGACTTTTAACTGCTTCGTTTCATTGATCTGCTTGACTCCACTTAGTCAACCTGCTTGTATATGAGGTTGGAGGTGCCCCAACCTCATACACAAGCAGATTGACTAAGTTACCTGCTGGTGGAAGTTGTACAGAAGAAGTCTCGGGCAGGCAATCGGAACTAAAATTGAGGACAGCAGGGGCTCTTGTCCGTTAAATAGCCTTAGGCCAATTCACAATGTGAATGAGGAAAGAACAATCTTTCCAACCATGATAACATTCCTACGTCCCCACGTGCTCCGAGCGGCCATCTTGCTCTTCGGATGAAAGCAGCAGTCGCTCCTGCTTATGTGCTGTTCTCCACTCTATTCTGAATTACTATTTTAATTCGCCTCTTCTGATGATTCTCAGGCAGTTTTACCCTTGTTTCTAGGAATATATACTGCCTCTTGGGGTTAGCTAAGCAGCCCATTCTTAACCCCTAATTTTAAGTTGCTGCCGTCTGTAGTTTATACATCTTTCCAAAGCCCTACATTGCTTATCTTTCCCTGTTGAAACAAGCCATTCACATTCCTTTCTCAAAATTACTTCCCTCCCCAAACCGGAAGTGAAGTGGTAGTTTCCCTTTAATTTCATCACATTAAGGTTGTCGTGGTGGGCAAATAGATGTGAAAACTTTCTTCACAGTTTGCAATATCAGATCAACCACAGTGTCTTCCCTGAGAGGCAAGCATGTTTCAGTCACCTGACAGATAAATGAGCAGTTTAAGTGGAGGGCTCCGTGGAATAGTTTTGCAATTAGGCTTCTGTTTCAAGTGGAAGAGGAAGGAGGGAGGCTGGCGTTTGTACACAGGTGCTGCAGGGGTGTGGTGGCAATGACAGGATGGTGTCTGTCCTGCCTGGGGACCCAGGCTCTGTCTGCAAACACTTAGGAGGGTGGCCCGTTGGCGGCAAGGCAAGCAGCTGTTCACACAAAGGTTACAGAGAGGCACGGTGTGGCCCAGAGTGGGCAGTCAGGCATTGTCCCTATGTTGGAGAGGGGCACGGTGGCTCCGGCCATCACAGGCAGGATGATGGCTTTAGTCAGAGGGCAGAACGAAGAACAGGCCTATACTCTCTCTGTGATGGTAATTTTATGTCTTAACTTGAGCAGGCCAAGGCATACCCAGATCTCTGGTGAAACATTATTTCTGGGCATGTCTGTGAGGGTGTTTCTGGAAGAGGTTGGCATTTGAATGGAGGGGACTGAGTGAAAAGGATCCCCCTTCGCCAGTGTGGGTGCTCAACATCCCATTCGCTGAGGGCCAACATAGAACACAAAAGCAGGGGAAGAGTGAATATTCTCTCTTCTGGAGCTGGGACATCCATCTTCTCCTTCCCTTGGACATCAGAGCTCCAGGTTCTCAGGACTTGGGACCCCCCCAAGACTATAATATCAGTGTCCCACCCTCTTCAGACTCAGACGGGATTGCACCACCAGCTTTCCTGGGGCTCCAGCTGGCAGATGGCAGATCATGAAACTTCTCAGCCTCCATAATCCAGCAAGCCAGTTCTCATAACAAGTCCCCTTTATATATCCCTATAGATCCTACTGGGTTCTATTCTCTGGAGAATCCTGACTAATACCTGCTCCTGGTGCCTAGAGACAAAAAGGACTTGTACAACTGACAGAACTGGACAAAACCAGTTCTGTGGGATGAAGTTTATTAGTGAGCATGAGAGACACACAGCTTGGGTCTCTCAGAAATTTAAGGATATTTTATAGGAGGTTGAGGTTCTGTGTGGCGAGATAGAGAAAGAGCTATAATTTGAGTTACTATGATTGTTATCCCATCCACATCACAGGCTGTGGGCCCTGCGGAAACGTGTCAGACCAAAAAATTGAATAATTGGGGTGATTGCTGTGTCAGCTGATCAGGCTATGATGAAGCTGAACTACAGCTGAATTATATGCAAAAGCCTTTGCATATAATTGCATATGTGTTCAATTGCTTCTACGGTCTGTGGAACAACAGTTTTCAGCATTTAACTCCAGATTCTGGCGGGCAAAGAGGTGTCACAAGCAATTCCCAGAATCTGTTTATGCATCAAAGAAACAGATTAAATAAGTGAATTTAATTAATAACAGCTTGCATACACCACTATTTTTCAAATATATATTGAATTGGCATGGAAATGAACATTCATCCACCACAATCACTGAAATAATAGTAAATTTTTGTTACTAAGCATTTTCTTAACCAACTAATGCTGGAAGAATAATCTTTGGAGTCAGAAACAATTTTTGACAAAATTTTGGAAATATCGGAATGAACCCAACCTCCTGTTCTACTCTCCCCTGCTTGTAATCTGATTGGCTAAAGGCTGGAAATAATAGACACATAGAAACTACCCAGCTCAGGTCTTTTTAAGTAGTTTCCAAGGCAAGGCAAACATAATGCCTAACTCTAGGCATCACTGAGAACCTTGACATTAATCTATAAATCTTCTATGCTCAAATACACAGGTTGTTACAATCTACCCGGGATCCAGGGACTCTACCACTTTCAGGAGGTAGAAAAGCCTGCATACCAAAACCCTTCCTTTGCCCTAAAATTACATTTGTAGACATAAAACACAAGTTTGTTCAAAAGGTGTTTTACTCCCAAAATATTTGAATGGCAATTCTTACAGATATAATCTATGTGCCTCTTTGAATATGCCAAGATTGTCTTTATAATTTCTAGAAAATAAGTGCCAATGTCAATATTATTAACCTATTATCAAAGGTATGAATATAATGATTTTTAAATTGTGATTAAATGTTGAAGTACCTGGAACTAATTAAAATGTGAGTAACTATAATGCTAAGTACCTTTACAATATGTATTTTATTTTGTACCAGAGTAAGGACATGAAATTGACTCTCAGATTTAAAAATATTTTTTTCCATTCTCCCTCATTTCATGAAACAAAGCAATCTAAATAGACTTTAAGATAGTTTCATGTTGCTTTGAATAATTTAATGGCCAAATATTTTTTCCCAGTCTTTTATCCCCGGGGTAGTGTTTTTCCTTTGAGCTCCTTATCTAATTGCTGTAAATGACAATATGAATTATGTGCAGAGAGCAGTAAGAAAAGAAAACTCACTATATGCAGTCTGATATTTGGCTGATACACATCCACATAGCTGCCCTGATGGCTAAGAAAGTCTTGGGTGTTGGTTGGTAAACAGCCACCCCACTGGTCCCTCACTCAGGACTCTGGGCCTCTCTTCAGTCTAGAAAGTAAGTGGTCCTTTAGGCACTTAGAAGGCCTGAAGGACCTCATATGTCACAGAGATTATCAGATATCACCACCGGCTGCACAAATCTTATTTAACCGCTTCTAACTCCAAACTGATAATTTTGGATAAAAGGTAATGAAAAATTGAAAAAAAAAAAAAAAAAAGGCCCAACATCATAGCAATGCTGGAAAGAAAGAATAGGAAATTTCTAGGTGAAAAAAACAGAAAGAGATCTTCAACTGATACCAAAGTCCTTTGGGTAATACCAAATTGGTGCCAGTTGGCACGCAGAGATTAGGAAGTGACTGTCCATTTCAGGCCAGAAGAGGCGGCCTGAGTCCTCACACAGGAAGGCATCAGAAACCAAGATCACGGCCGAAAGCAGGTCACCGGAAGGGCTGCCTCTTTTGTGGAAATTTTTGTCCATTATCCAGGGGAGAGGCAGGGAAGCCTGTTGTTTTTTAGGTGTTCTGATAGAAGCGTCTCCTGCGAGAAATTTTAACTCCAAGCCTCTTCAACATGCAGATGTGGGGATCAAACTTAAAATATTTACTTATGATATGGACAATCTCATTCCAATTCATGAGACACTCATGTCAGTCCTGTGAAACAACTGGAGCTGGCAGGGAAAGAAAAGGTAAAACCAAACCTCTAGAATCATGTCCATAACCCAGGCACAAGGGATATTCCTCACCCTCGGGAACCCCACAGCAACAACAACAAAACTGTAAATGATGAAAGCAAATCATTCACAAGTGAGAGGGAGTGATCAGATGAAAAGAAAAGATGAATTAGCATCTGAAGTCATTGACATAATGTAAGGCTAAGAAAGAAATGAGAAAATAACTTCAGTTAAAATAACTAAAGCGATAAAACAAATGATAGAAAGAACACACCCATCTAGAAAAGAATGGGTGGATCTAAGAAACCAAATAGAACCTTATAAGTGAAAATTATAGTCATTGAAATAAAAAGCAAATGAGCTTAATAGCAGATCAGGCAACAGGTAGGAAGAACTGTAATTTAAAAGGGATATTTAAGGAAGTCATCCAGAATGCAGCATAGTGAAATGAAAAAGTAATAATAGATGAAATAGAGCCAAATAGCTATAAAAAAAAAAAACATCAAACAAAAGTTCTGGAAAGAGAGAGTAGAGAATGAGGAAGAGGTGGTATTGAGTGATAAGGACTGTGGGTATTTCTGAATTTAAAGACACGAGTTTTCAGATTATAGAAGTGAACTCTGATGGAGGGATACACATGATCTCATACGTGGCTAGTAGGAGTAAATATTTCCAAACTCCTTTGAGAGTTATTTGTAACATCTAAATTTTTGATTCCACCTCCCATTCCCATTCTCGCAGTCTTCTGAAGCTCGGGGAATGGTTACACCATCTTTCCAGTTATTCAGCCTGATAACCATGAATAAATAATTGATTTCTCTTTCTCACACCCGGTATTCAATTCATCTGGAAATTCAGATGGGTCTATCCTCAAAATATATCCAGAATCTAACCACTTGCCAACACAAACACTGATACCTCTTTGTTTTGAGATGCCATTAACTGTTGCCTGGGAGACTGTAATACTCTCCTCATAGACTTCTCTAATTCTACCCTATTTCCAACACAGCAGCCCCAGTGAAATTTCAGAAGAAGAGATATGCCATGTCACTCCTCTGCCACACTAAACTGACCTTGAGGGCTGGCTACCACGGGGACTTTGTGCTGTTTCCTGATATCTGCCTAGCTCACTTCACCTTTGTGGAGTCTTTGCACAAATTTACCTTTTCAATGAGTCCACCCTATCATAAAATTGCAGTCTTATCACCATATCCTGCCATGAGATTCACAATTCCCTTTACCCTGCTTTAATTTTCTGTAACACATACTATTTTCTATTATGTTATATAGTTTATTTATTATGGTTATTATTTATTACCTGTGTTCTCCTAACAGCATATGTACTGCACCGGACTGGAACTTTTTTTTCAGTAGAGCAGGATTCAATGCGTAGTAAATACTCAATAGATAACTGATTGAATCAGTGATTCTGGCGAAGCTAAATATGTGTACACTGTATGAGTTGGTTTAGAGGACATCTGTATTTTCTTGTATGTTTGAAATATTCCTTTAGTAAAGCAAGCTGAAATTTCCTAAGTAAAAAAATATTTTAATGTTCAGATCATGAAGAAAAGGGAGATTGGCACTATTTATTTTATATTCTAAAGGGACAGACCAACTTTACATTATAAAAAACAAGACACTTTGTGTATGCAGAGATGCTATATTTTCATTGAGCATACTTCAAAGTTATTATTATCACTGTTATTTTTTATTGATGGATTCGCTTCAAAATAGTGCAGCAAAAATCCCGAAGGAATCTAAGCTAGAACATAAAGAACATGTGCATAAAGCGTGCATTTCTGCTTAAATTCCTCCAGCTTTCAGTGTTTCTCCACTCAGTCAATTGCTTGTCACGATATTTTGAAAGTCTTTATTATGGAGACCAGGGCAAAAGAAATGAATATTTAGAATATAATTTAAAGCAATGAAATGAAATAGTGGTTGTTGAAGAACACTAGCTTTAATAAAAGGACTAAAATAAAACCAAGGCCCTAAAAGATTCACCCTGGAGGAGGCAGCGGACACCTCTCCGCCTTGGGGTTCTCTCATCAAGCGGTATTCTCCACTCACCCTGGCCCCTGCCATGTGCTGAGCGCCCCGCACCCCAACCCCTTATATAGCTGTCCAACAATAGACACATTCTTCCCCTTAGTTCAGCTGAGATGATTGGAGCTTTTAAAACTAAGAGAAAGAAGTGGAGAAATAAACAGATCACGGAAGAGGTCCAGAAAACAATTTTGTTTTGCTTTTAGGGCACAAGTTTCCGATCTTACCGTTTTGCCCTCTCTCCAAGGTTCACAGGCACGCCTGACTGTACTGAAACACCGACAGGCTGATCACAGCCACAGCTCTTTCTCTGCGGTTCTTATTTATATCTTCCTGGCCTGTTTCCCATGGAGGACATCACTCTGAAATCTCCAGGAGCTTTTCCTAGGAATCCTACCACCTTTTTGGTGAACAGACAGGCTACACGCCGATTCTAGAGCACACTCAAGTGGCTGATACCAGAAACGAGTTCCCGGCATTCTTACACAGAGACACATACCTTCCTTCCTGCAGGACTAGGATTATAACCATATCTTAGTATAAGAAAATTCTAGAAAGTGTATAGAACAATAATAATAAGGAGAGGATTTTTCTTTCATGGGTAGAAACAAATTTTCTTTTATACTTTAAGTATGAAAAAGTGCACAAGATTACTGTTATAATTATTATCTTCATTTAATCCATGCCATCTTTTTTTTTCTTACATTACTTATTAACCCCTAGAAAATAGAGTTGTCTTTATAGCATGTTCTAAAAATGCAGACTGAAGCAAAAGAAATTCTGTTCTTTAGTGCTAACGTACAATTTCCAGCAAAAAACTAGGACAATGTACCATTTATGTTTTATATTGCAGTAGGACTTTGAGCCTTTTCCAAAAGCCCTTTCACAAAATTGATAGATTATTCTTCCTATTAAAAGAGTCTTTTATTCTGGGTGCCAGACCTAGTTCTTAGGGTTGAAATATTGCTTTAGCTTTTTTGCGACCACAGTGGCATTTCACTGCTGAATAAAGTTACAAATTGTGTACCTAATTCTCCAGGGCACAAGAAACTCTCAAAGGGCTCGAAATGGGCACGAGGTGGGGGATGCATTTGTTTGTTATTCCTAAATAGACTGAGGAAGAGTCCATGAACTCATGAAAATTTCTATCAGGCTGTATGCTGTGTATAAAAAGGAGCATTAGGTTGGAAATACGAGTTTTAGGCCTTTATCGGCTACTAAGTGATACTGTCACTTTAACAGTGGACAACGAAAAGTGAACATATAATAATGACAATTTATTGAGTGTTTTGTAAATATCATATGCTTGTTGTGTATTATCTCTGATCCCCTTGACTATTCTGCAAAGTAGGAATTATTGTCTTTGTTTTAAAATAAGAAAATTGAAGGAGGGTATAGAGATGAATTAATTAGTACAGTTGGTAAGAGATGTGGTTAGAATTAGAATACAGAGCTTTCTAAAGGTTACGATTTTCTGGAGTATTATGACGTGCCCCAAATGACTTTAACTTTCTACATCTTGGTTTTCTCATCTATATAATAAAGACATCTGATAACATGACAGCTAAGGCTCCTTCTAGGTATAAAACGTTATAATGTCTAGAATATAAGCTTAGCCACATGTAGCAGCAAGCATGAAATCAAACTAGCTTAGTTCCACATTAAGATCTACTTGAAATTACTTATTCATACAACCAGAGCCAAGGTATGATAAAAACTGAGAATCGGCAAGGGGTGAAACTGTTGTGTGGCCCAGCTGCTATCCTCAGTGGCTTGGTGATATAGGAAGGGCCACAGAGCCTTGGATGGAAAAGGGAGGAGCTAATTCAGAGGCATCTCTTCAGGCTCACCTGAAAATCACATCTTAAGTGGGGTCATGGTCTCTTCACTGGGGATGGAGGCAGCTTGAAGAGACTTTTAAAACTTTCCACTCTGGGAGAAAGATGACTGGGGCAACTGAGCAGCCAGGTTCAAGACTGAAAGTCACATTGGCATTCATCAGAGTTCACATATTTTTTCCTCCAAGCTTGTTCTAAGGTCTTCTGAACTCAATTTATAGTAAAGAATTCAAGAAAGTTCTCAGCTTTTGTAGTAGTGCCAGGGTGTGAAGCAGCACTGGGGCAAAGAAATAGGCTTAGAAGGAAGAAGTTAGCAAAAGGCCTTCGTGCAGTCATGATCACGTCTGTCCTCATGTTCTTTATTCCTCTTTTGTTCATCCCCTGCATCCAATGCATGTGTCCTGTTCAATGTCCTTCCCATATGGATGTAGAATTCTCCCACTTCAATCGTCACTCTTCCTACGATGGCTAAGCTACCATCAGCCTAGATGCCCTGCCCCTCTTCTTCCCTCGCTAGGAATCATCTTCTTGCAGAAGTTGTACTTTAAAGTATAAACTGGGTCATGCCTCTCTCCTGTTTAAAGCCCACTAATGGTTTCTCAATGCACTTAGCATCAAAAGCAAACTCTTCCTCTTGGCCTAGGAGGCCCTCCATAGTCTGGGAAGGCCACCTTGCTAATCCCATCTCAGGCTACCTCCTCTACTGACAGCTTTGCAGCCACCTTGGCCTTCCTTCTCTTCTCTGGATGGTCCAAGTTTTCTCCACTGTCAGAGCTTTGCACACGCTGGTGCTTTCGCTTAGAATGCTCCCATACCTGCTTTGCCCAGGGCCACCTCCTTCTTATCCTGCAGATCACAGGTTAGGTGGCATCTCTTCAAAAATTTCTATTCTGGCCACTGTATGTAATTAGATGGCATTCTCCCCACTTGTTACCTCTTTACAACAACACACTGCTTGCTTTCTTCACAGTGCTTATTGCAAATTGTTTTATTATTTATGAAAGCTTCGTGGGGGGCAGGAAACATTGTTTTCTTTTCCCCCTTTGCGCCTAGAGCCTAGCATGGGGCCTTGGTAATTATAGGGGCCTGCTGCTCTCCCCTTCTGCTTGTTTTAGTCCTGGGCTTTCCTTGGGTCTTGGTTTAAAGCTCACTTCCTCAGGGAGGTCTTTCCTGTCCCCTAGATTAAGCCAGATAGGTCCTCTGCTCTTCGTTTCCATAATTTCCTGTCAATCTCAGCCATAACGCTCAACACATTTCACTGCCATTATTGTTTGTGTTTGTCTTCCCTGCTATTCTCTAAGACTATTACTCATGGTGACAAAGACTGTCTTGTTCACCCCCAGATGGCTGGCACCAACATCTTGCACCAACATAGGACAAAATCAGGAAATGATGAATAGAAAGAAATGGTTATTGAAAGAGTGTGAAGGGTAGGCGAAAGAGATGACTCACAATTTCTACAAAGTAATTAACTAATTAATTAATTCAAATATTACCTATCAGCCACTCTCACATCTGATTCCTTTTCTTTTGATGGAGTCTCACCCTGTCGCCCAGGCTGGAGGGCAGTGGTGCAGTCTTGGCTCACTGCAACCTCTGCCTCCCAAGTTCAAGCAATTCTCCTGTCTCAGCCTCCCGAGTAGCTGGGACGACAGGCACACACCACCATGCCCAGCTTATTTTTTTTGTATTTTTAGTAGAGACGGGGTTTCACCACATTGGTCAGGCTGGTCTCGAACTCCTGACCTCAGGTGATCCACCCACCTTGGCCTCCCAAAGTGCTAGGATTACAGGTGTGAGCCACTGCATCCAGCCCTGATTCTTAATTATGCAAAATAAAGCACTCAGCACTGAGCAACATTCATTAATCCCGTAATAAATATCTATTTACAAATATGAACGGAGTACCTATTATGTGCCAAGCTAGAGTTACATAGCTTGGATATGAACAAGGATATGAAGATTTATGCTATGAGGTAAATAGGATACATGACAGATGAATGATATAAAACAAATGCATTCGGAACCCAGATCTGGAAAGCGACTATAATGGAAATGAGGTTTGTCTGAGGCTTCAAGAATAGGGGAGATTTCCATAAGGCCCGATGTCGGTAGAGTGCGCTTCAAGAAAATGGAAAGGCATCGGTGCAGAGGAGGGAAACCCTGAGATGGACATGAGGCTTGGCTGGGATTCGAGAGTTTTGCAGACCACTGGGAGGTAAGTTTGGAAGGCCTGGTAAAGGCACAGGATCCAGGAGTGCCCGGCATGCAGAGATGAGCCATGTGGGCTTGTATCCAATAGAGAGAGGTCACCTCTTGGCAGCTTTGAGAGTGAAGAGTGGCATGATTGTGGGTGCTTAAGGGGACAAGTGCCATAGTGATGCCCGGTAGCTGGGCAGAGAGAGACTAGACTGAATTAGCAAGGCTTTATTTTCAGGCATAAGGTAGCAAGGACATCCTCTAGAAAGTAGCAACAGAAATAGAAAACAAAAGAGGAATGAGAGTTTCTGCAAAAGAAGAACTAGCCTAGCAGGCTATGGTGGCTTATAGCTCTAGGGACAGAGCTCAGAGCTTAAGGTGGAGATGAAACGATTACGTTCTTCACATTGTAAAGAAGTTGTAATGTTTGTCTCATCTTCCTTATTTATAAAATGACACTAATAATTCTACAGACTTCTTTTCTGGGAATACTATTGCCTTTTGAAAACAATCACAAATGTTTTTAGTTCCATAGAGATACAGGTGTTATTATTAATAAACTGTCTTTTGAATTATACTTCATTTTGCATATCTTGAAAATTACAATAAAACAAGTTGAAAATTAAATGTCAATAAAATGACTGTGAGTTTCCTAATTCACTATGTGTGAGCCATGTGTAATTCAGAAGTTTTCT
Source organism: Homo sapiens (assembly GCF_000001405.40). Classification (NCBI taxonomy): domain Eukaryota; kingdom Metazoa; phylum Chordata; class Mammalia; order Primates; family Hominidae; genus Homo; species Homo sapiens. Next base: position 181,935,030 of record NC_000004.12, on the reverse strand, counting down.
TCAAAGATTAGAGGAAGTCCTTGGATAAATTTCTCAGGGAAGAAGCAGAATCCAACAAAGTCTTTTCTGGTTAATCAAAATATAGAGTTTAAGCAAATTAAATAGACAAGCTAGCATCATATCAACTTAAAACAATTTTTTTCATTAAAAAATCAACATGTTATGTCTCATGTCAGTTTTCCTTCTGAATAAATGTGAATTAAAATGCAAAATTTAGTCCCTTCTTTTCTAGTACTCGAACACTAGGATCTTAATAATTTTTGAAAACAAAAATTCCACTAATCTTATGCCATTAGACACCACATTCTTTCTATTGTTAGAGTTTAAAAAATAAAGAAAAAAGAAAAAGAATTGACCTAATATGACCTCTTTCTCATAAATTATATTAAAATTTGAAGTTATGCTAAAAATCCTTTTTTAAGCATTGGTCCATCTTTTATTTACTGTGTTTGATAGTAGGCAAATCACTTATTTTCTCATTCCAGTCCCATCCATAACAATAATTTAAAACCAGCTAATAAACATTATGGCTTGTTAGAACTGCTACCGATTAAATCTTAAGTGTCTAATACATACAAATATAAACAGAATGTAATTAGAGCTATTTAAAGAACCCATTTTTAACTTAGATTAACCATACTTTCCATTTGCTGAGGATAAACACTCATAAATGAAACCCATTGCTGAGCAAGAAGCAATTACTTCAGTTTAAAATATTAATATGCACCGCCTTTTAAAAAGCCATGGAAAATCATTTATGTAGTGCACTGTACAGACTCAAGTCATACTCAAAAGGAAGAATGGGATAGCAATGTGAGTCCTAATCGAGAAGCAATCAACTGAGGTATGGCATGTCCTTACCCTCTATCAGGTCCATTAAACTCTTCACTTCAATTAGCGCATTGTCCAACATCATATTCCTATGTATGTTTAAGTGTGATTTAAAAGCGCGCGCACACACACACACACACACACACACACAGAAAGGGGAATTTTACTATAGAAAAATCAATTTAATCAAACTGTTTCTAGAAATAATAGAGACACATTGATAACCTAATAACTGATTTGAGCATATTAAATAAAGATAGCCAGGAAGAGAAGGAAATGCAGACATCCCATACACCTTAATTTCACATTTCTCACCTAAAAATACACAAAAAATCTATTGAGTCTGATTGAATGCAACTAACTATTCAATTCTACAATATTTCTTGTGATATCGTAGGCTGACTAAAAAGCTTGGTTTGGGCTAGAATTAAATTCAGTGTAGTTAAATGCCTGCATTTTTAGTTGCTGATACTAAACCACAGGTCAAATCTGGTTACAATGAGCACCATTATCACAAAATGCTTCCAAGCTGGTCCGGAAAGTCTTCAGAATAGGGCTTTGTTAATTTCATCACAGTGACACCCACTAATGGAAGATGCTAGATAGACCTATTAACCCTTGATTTGCTTGAAATGGCCACAGTCTTTGGAAGCCTCTTTGGTTACGTCTCTGAATATAATATGGTGCTGGATGGGGGTGTGGGTATTTCAATATCAGACGACAAAAGTTCATAGAATAGATTTGTGCTATTAACAGTTCGTGGTTGTGAGTATAATTGGTGTAATGGACCTAGTTTATTCATGACAACCAAATTTCAAGGCAGATGCATTTAGTAGATGATTGGCAGTCATGGTGATATGCCTTGAACTGTAAATAAAATTTATGATTTTAGGATCATATCTTATTTTCTGATTGATAACTGCAAGAAAATATATTTATTACTCTTTCTAAAGCTCAATTCAAGAACTTCTAACCTTGGGTTTGACTGGGCTTCAGAAACGTTCATGCAGTCACACATTTTCTTATTTTATTTTTTATTACACTGTAAGTTCTGGGATACATGTGCAGAACGTGCAGGTTTGTTATATAGGTATGCAGGTGCCATGGTGGTTCGCTGCACCCATCAACCTGTCATCTACATTAGCTATTTCTCCTAATGCTATCCCTCCCCTTGCCCCCAACCCCCTGGGAGGCCCCAGTGTGTTATGCTCCCCTCCCTGTGTCCGTGTGTTTTCATTGTTCAGCTCCCACTTATGAGTGAAAACATGCTGTGGTTTGTTTTCTGTTCCTGTGGTAGTTTCTTGAGAATGATGGTTTCCAGCTTCATCCATGTCCCTGGAAAGGACATGATCTCATTCTTTTTTATGGCTGCACAGTATTCCATGGTGTATATGTGCCACATTTTCTTTATCCAGTCTATCATTGATGGGCATTTGGGTTGGTTCCAAGTCTTTGCTATTGTGAACAGTGCTGCAATAAACATATGTGTGCATGTGTCTTCATAGTAGAATGATGTATAATCCTTTGGGTATACACCCAGTAATGGGATTGGTGGGTCAAATGGTATTTCTGGTTCTAGATCCTTGAGGAATCGCCACACTGTCTTCCACAATGGTTGAACTAATTTACACTCCCACCAACGGTGTTAAAGTGTTCCTATTTTTCCACATCCTCTCTAGCATCTGTTGTTTCCTGACTTTTTAATGATCACCATTCTAACTGGCGTGAGATGGTATCTCATTGTGGTTTTGATTTGCATTTCTCTGATGGCCAGTGATGATGAGCTTTTTTTCATATGTTTGTTGGCCACATAAATGTCCTCTTTTGAGAAGTGTTGTTCATATTCTTTGTCCACTTTTTGATGGGGTTGTTTTTTTCTTGTAAAATTGTTTAAGTTTCTTGTAGATTCTGGATATTAGCCCTTTGTCAGATGGATAGATAGCAAAAATTTTCTCCCATTCTGTAGGCTGCCTGTTCACTCTGATGATAGTTTCTTTTGCTGTGCAGAAGCTCTTTAGTTTAATTAGATCCCATTTGTCAATTTTGGCTTTTGTTGCCATTGCTTTTGGTGTTTTAGTCATGAAGTCTTTGTCCATGCCTATGTCCTGAATGGTATTGCCTAGGTTTTTCTTCTAGGGTTTTGATGATTTTAGGTTTTATGTTTAAGTCTTTAAACCATCTTGAGTTAATTTTTGTATAAAATGTAAGGAAGGGGTCCAGTTTCAGTTTTCTGCATATGGCTAGCCAGTTTTCCCAATACCATTTATTAAATGGGGAATCCTTTGCCCATTGCTTGTTTTTGTCAGGTTTGTCAAAGATCAGATGGTTGTAGATGTGTTGTGTTATTTCTGAGGCCTCTGTTCTGTTCCATTGATCTATATATCTGTTTTGGTATCAGTACCATGCTGTTTTGGTTACTGTAGTCTTGTAGTATAGTTTGAAGTCAGGTAGCATGATGCCTCCAGCTTTGTTCTTTTTGCTTAGGATTGCCTTGGCTATACGGACTCTTTTTTTGGTTCCATATGAAATTTAAAGTAGTTTTTCCTAATTCTGTGAAGAAAGTCAATGGTAGTTTGATGAGAATAGCATTGAATCTATAAATTACTTTGGGCAGTATGGCCATTTTCATGATATTGATTCTTCCTATCCATGAGCATGGAATGTTTTTCCATTTGTTTGTGTCCTCTCTGATTTCCTTGAGTAGTGGTTTGTAGTTCCCCTTGAAGAGGTGCTTCACATCCCTTGTAAGTTGTATTCCTAGGTATTTTACTCTCTTTGTAGGAATTGTGAATGGGAGTTCACTCACTATTTGGCTCTCTGTTTGTCTGTAATTGGTGTATAGGAATGCTTGTGATTTTTGCATATTGATTTTGTATCTTGAGACTTTGCTGAAGTTGCTTATCAGCTTTAGGATATTTTGGGCTGAGATGATGGGGTTTTCCAAATATACAATTATGTCATCTGCAAACAGAAAGAATTTGACTTTCTCTCTTCCTATTGAATACTCTTTATTTCTTTCTCTTGCCTGATTGCCCTGGCCAGAACTTCCAATACTATGTTGAATAGGAGTGGTGAGAGAGGGCATTCTTGTCTTGTGCTGGTTTTCAAAGGGAATGCTTCCAGCTTTTGCCCACTCAGTATGATATTGGCTGTGGGTTTGTCATAAATAGCTCTTATTATTTTGAGATATGTTCCATCAATAGCTAGTTTATTGAGAGTTTTTAGCATGAAGAGGTGTTGAATTTTATCAAAGGCCTTTTCTGCATCTATTGAGATAATCATGTGGTTTTTGTCATTGGTTCTGTTTATGTAATGGATTACATTTATTGATTTGTGTATGCTGAACCAGCCTTGCATTCCAGGTATGAAGCTGACGGGATCATGGTGGATAAGCTTTTGGATGTGCTGCTGGATTCGGTTTGCCAGTATTTCATTGAAGATTTTGCATCAATGTTCATCAGGGATATTGGCCTGAAGTTTTCTTTTTTTGTTGTGTGTCTGCCAGGTTTTGGTATCAGGATGATGCTGGCCTCTAAAATGAGTTAGGGAGGAGTCTCTTTTTTTCTGTTGTTTGGAACAATTTCAGAAGGAGTGGTACCAGCTCCTCTTTGTACCTCTGGTAGAATTCGGCTGTGAATCCATCTGGTCCTGGGCTTTTTGTGGTTGGTAGACTACTAATTACTGCCTCAATTTCAGAACTTGTTATTGGTCTATTCAGGGATTAGACTTCTTCCTGGTTTAGTCTTGGTAGGGTGTATGTGTCCAGGAAATTATCCATTTCTTCCAGATTTTCTAGTTTATTTGCCTAGAGGTGTTTGTAGTATTCTCTGATGGTAGTTTGTATTTCTGTGGGATCAGTGGTGATATCCTCTTTATCATTTTTTATTGTGTCTGTTTGATTCTTCTCTCTTTTCCCCTTTATTAGTCTGGCTAGTGGTCTATCTATTTTGTTAATATTTTCAAAAAACCAGCTCCTGGATTCATTGGTTTTTTGAATGGTTTTTCGTGTTTTTATCAGTTCTGCTCTGATCTTACTTATTTCTTGTTTTTGTTAGCTTTTGATTTTGTTTGCTCTTGCTTCTCTAGTTGTTTTAGTTGTGATGTTAGGGTGTCGATTTTAGATCTTTCCAGCTTTCTCCTGTGGGCATTTAGTGCTATAAATTTCCCTCTAAACACTGCTTTAGCTCTGTTCCAGAGATTCTAGTACATTGTATCTTTGTTCTCACTCGTTTCGAATAACTTATTTCTGCCTTAATTTTGTTATTTACCCAGTAGTCACTCTGGAGCAGATTGTTCAGTTTCCATGTAGTTGTGCAGTTTTGAATGGGTTTCTTAATCCTGAGCTCTAATTTGATTGCACTGTGGTCTGAGAGACTGTTATGATTTCCATTCTTGTGCATTCGCTGAGGAGTGTTTTACCTCCTATTATGTGGTTAATTTTAGAATAAGTGCAATGTGGTGCTGAGAAGAATGTATATTCTGTTGATTTGAGGTGGAGAGTTCTGTAGATGTTTATTAGGTCCACTTGGTAGGAGCTGAGTTCAAGTCCTGAATATCCTTGTTAATTTGCTGTCTCATTGATCTGTCTAATATTGACAGTGGGGTGTTAAAGTGTCCCACCATTATTGTGTGGGAGTCTAAGTCTCTTTGTAGTTCTCTAAGCACTTTCTTTATGAATCTGGGCGCTCCTGTATTGGGGGCATATATATTTAGGATAGCTAGCTCTTCTTGTTACATTGATTCCTTTACCATTATATAATGCCCTTCTTTGTCTTTTCTGATCTTTGCTGGTTTAAAGTCTGTTTTACCAGAGACTAGGATTGCAACTCCTCCTTTTTTTTTTTTGCCTTTCCATTTGCTTGGTAAATATTCCTTCATACCTTTATTTTGAGCTTATGTGTGTCTTTACATGTGAGATGGGTCTCCTGAACACAGCACACTGATGGGTCTTGACTCTATTCAATTTGCCAGTCTGTGTCTTTTAATTGGGGCATTTAGCCCATTTACATTTAAGGTTACTATTGTTATGTGTGAATTTGATCCTGTCATTGTGATGCTAGCTGGTTATTTTGCCAGTTGGTTGACGCAGTTTCTTCATAGTGTCGACGGTCTTTACAATTTGGAATGTTTTTACAGTGGCTGGTACCGGTTTTTCGTTCCATATTTAGTGCTTCCTTCAGGAGCTCTTGTAAGGTAGGCCTAGTGGTGACAAAATCTCTCAGCATTTGCTTGTCTGTAAAGGATTTTATTTCTTCTTCGCTTATGAAGTTTAGTTTCACTGGATATGAAATTGTGGGTTGAAATTCTTTTCTTTAAGAAAGTTGAATATTGGCCCCCACTCTCTTTTGGCTTGTAGGGTTTCTGCAGAGAGATCCACTGTTAGTCTGATGGGCTTTCCTTTGTGGGTAACCCGATCTTACTCGCTGGCTGCCCTTAACATTTTTTTCCTTCATTTCAACCTTGGTGAACCTGAAAATTATGTCTTGGGGTTGCTCTTCTTGGGGAGTATCTTTGTGGTGTTCTCTTTATTTCCTGAGTTTGAATATTGGCCTGTCTTGCTAGGCTGGGGAAGTTCTCCTGGATAATATCCCGAAGAGTGTTTTCCAACTTGCTTCCATTCTTCCCGTCACTTTCAGGCACACCCATCAAACGTAGGTTTGGTCTTTTCACGTAGTCCCATATTTCTTGGTGGTGTTGTTCTTTCCTACTCATTCTTTTTTCTCCAATCTTGTCTTCCTGCTTTATTTCATCAAGTTGATCTTCAATTTCTGATATCCTTTCTTCTGCTTGATTGATTCAGGTATTGATACTTGTGTATGCTTCACGAAGTTCTTGTGCTGTGTTTTTCAGCTCCATCAGGTCATTTATGTTCTTCTCTAAACTGGTTATTCTAGTTAACATTTCATCTAATCTTCTTTCAAGGTTCTTAGCTTCCTTGCATTGGGTTAGAACATAGTCCTTTAGCTCAGGGGAGTTTGTTATTACCCACCTTCTGAAGCCTACTTCTGTTAATTCATCAAACTCATTCTCCACCCAGTTTTGTTCCCTTGCTGGCGAGGAGTTGTGATCCTTTGGAGGAGAAGAGGCATTCTGGTTTTTTGAATTTTCAGCCTTTTTATACTGGTTTTTCCTCATCTTCGTGGATTTATCTACTTTTGGTCTTTGATGTTGGTGACCTTCAGAAGGGGTTTTTGTGTGGACGTCCTTTTTGTTGATGTTGATTCTATTCCTTTCTGTTTGTTAGTTTTCCTTGTAACAATCAGGCCTCTCTGCTGCAGGTCTGCTGGAGTTTGCTGGAGGTCCACTCCAGACCTTGTTTGCCTGGGTATCACCAGACGAGGCTGCAGAGCAGCAAAGAAGATTTCTGTCTGTTTCTTCCTCTGGAAGCTTCGTCTCAGAGGGACACCTGCCAGATGCCAGCTGGAGCTCTCCTGTATGAGGTGTCTGTCGACCCGTGCTGGGAGGTGTCTCCCAGTTATGAGGCATGGGGGTCAGGGACCCACTTGAGGAGTCAGTCTGTCCCTTAGCAGAGCTGGAGCACTGTGCTGAGAGAGCTGCTGCTCTCTTCGGAGCAGGCAGGCAGGAATGTTTAAGTCTGTTGAAGCTGCGCCCACAGCTACCCCTTCCCCCAGGTGCTCTGTCCCAGGGAGATGGGGGTTTTATCTATAAGCCCCTGACTGGGGCTGCTGCCTTTCTTTCAGAGATGCCCTGCCCAGAGAGCAGGAATCTAGAGAGGCAGTCTGGCCACAGTGGCTTTGCTGAGCTGCGGTGGGCTCCGCCCAGTTTGAACTCCCTGGCGGCTTTATTTACACTGTGAGGGGCAAAACACCTACTCAGGCCCCAGTAATGGCAAACGCCGCTCCCTCTACCAAGCTTGAGCTTCCCAGGTCGATTTCAGACTGCTGTGCTGGCATTGAGAATTTCAAGCCAGTGGATCTTGGCTTGCTGGGTTCCGTGAGGGTGGGATCCGCTGGGTTCCATGGATGGTAGACCACTTGGCTCCCTGGACTCGGTCCCTTTTCTGGGGAAGTGAACGGTTCCGTCTCGCTTGCATTCCAGGTGCCACTGGGGTATGAAAAAAACTCCTGCAGCTAGCTTGGTGTCTGCCCAAACAGCTGCCTGGTTTTGTGATTGAAACCCAGGGCTCTGGTGGCATAGGCACCCAAGGGAATCTCCTGGTCTGTGGGTTGCGAAGACCATGGGAAAAGTGTAGTTTCTGGGCTGGAGTGCACCGTTCCTCACAGCACGGTCCCTCACGGCTTCCCTTGGCTAGGGGAGGGAGTTCCCAGACCCCTTGCACCTCCTGGGTGAGGTGATGCCCCACCCTGCTTCTGCTTGCCTTCCGTGGTCTGCACCCACTGTCTAACCAGTCCCAATGAGATGAGCTGGGTACCTCAGTTGGAAATGCAGAAATCACTGCCTTCTGTATTGATCTTCCTGGGAGCTGCAGACCGGAGCTGTTCCTATTTGGCCATTTTGCCAGCCACACCAGGACCATATCTTTTGATGCCATTTAAAAAGTTATAAGCAATTATTTTTATTCTGAATTATAGAAAGCTCCATTTTCATTAAAGGTAGGGAAATGCAACAGCTTCAAGGACCAGGATTTAAAACAACAACAACAACAAAACCCCAAAACCCAAAAAACCTTAGCAGGGAGATTTTATGGTTGGTCTTAGACAAACTTACCAAGCAAGGATGCCAGTCTCAATTTTCTTCAATGATCTATTCTGTCCTGGTATACAGAAATGTCACAAGGTTCTTTGGGTTGCTGGACATATCCCCACCCTACCACACATAGTTTTATGTTACTTTAGCTGGGTTTCTTGCCTCAACAGAACTTTCTTCTCTTCTTTATTTTCTGACAGTATTTTCTCTGTCCCTTCTACCTCTTGCCTGATATATTTCATCTAAAAATGAATTCTCGTGAATTCAGTGATAAAGACCATTCATATTTCATTCACTGTACATACTATAGTTGCATTTATGGAAGCTTTCTGGATCAATGCCTAACCGCAAGGATTGTTTCTAATAATAGAAATTTCAGGTTTATTTAAAAGATACTGAATTTTAAAGACTTTTCAAAACACACTGTATAGGTGGCTGCATATTCTATAGAACATTTATGGCTCACCATGTGTCTTTCTTTAGTTATCTTCAAGTGAAAGGGTGAGGTCATGTGACTTTGGCCTACTGCGACATCATGCCAAAACAAGGCTGTTTACAAACTTTGAAGAAAATTCAAAATAGTGATTTTACTAAGCTAACCACATTATCTTTCCCAATCTCTAGAATCACAATAGATTCAATAGATTGAAATTTTCACTATTCCACCTTCTGAATCAAGTAACTTGGAAACTGTAACATCAGGAAAGCTTGTTTAGGAATATTCTGATTGATGTCTACACCAGTCCCTCTCCAGTGCCATCCACCCAAACATAAAAGGAGATGCTGGATGTGTTGCTTTGCCAAATAAAATGTTGACCAGAGTTCTACCAAGATTAATTTGAAACAGTGTTATTAATGGCGGCAAAGTTGCACTCCATAACTTTATAACATTTTATAACCCATCATCTAAATTGCCTGAATTAGTTGACTTTATTGTTTGTTAAATGCTTGACAGCCAATAGATTTAATACATTGTTAATTATCCTGTTCTCCTTAAAATAGTATTTTCATTTTTATAACCAAGAATATTTAGGGGCTAATTAGAAATCCGGTAATGTGAATTGTAAATTATGTGTAATTACAATAAAACTACTGAAGAATAACACACATTACTTATAAATTGTAACACTGTGATAAATTAAAGCAATTACAGGTAAACCAATAATGTTCTTTAATTAAGTAGTTATGAATGAGAATTTGTGCTTTGCATTTACAATAACCTATAAGGTTGGAGATTGCATTTATAGCTTCTGCAGAAATCGATTGCACTCTGCTATGATACTTTGCTAAGAATAACTTCTAAGTTCATTACTGTCATTATGCCATTATCATGTAAAAACACCCAAGACTGTTAAATGTAAGTGTGCTGACAACCAATCAACCATGCTTCTTAATATAATTATAATTATGTCACTATCTCTTCTTATGCCTTTATGAATCTGAGAAAAAGTTCATATTTCCACCAGTCTTCACTATTGGTTGCAAAGGAATAGAAGACGCTCTGTCACACACTTACCGAAAATACTATTGTATTTGACACCAATAAGGCTATTCATCCTCATAATTATCTTACTTCAACCTGCCGTTTATAAGATTATAGCAATATTTTTATGTTGCCACATCTATTTATTATTTTATATATTGTTATAAGGTTGAGGTAACTCCTTGACATGTTCAAGTTGCAATCAATGTCACAGTATGAGTAGAGAAGAGAACCCCAACAGACCAGCTCTCTATTTTTAATTCAAGTTGTGTGTTTTGTGTGTTCAGGTCTCTGGAGGAGAAAGAGAGCCAATACAAACTGGTGAAAAGGGTAAGAGTTGGGAGGTTCAAATGATGAGAAATTGTTGATGAAGCTTATTTAAAAGATGAATATGTAAAAAAAGTAAGAAAAGGATTCTGAATTATTCAGGTATATACATGTTACTAATTTGCCTTGAGGCATTAACAATGAACAGTTCTCCAACAAGTAAGGAATGATTAGACTAGTAGCATAACATAATATTCCAAATACAGTATTTTGAATATTCTTGAGTGATATACCCAACCAGGGGAAGTCATGTGCATGGTAAAGACTACACATATCAATGATGATTCTCAGGTCTGAGATTTCACCCTGCATACAAGCTAGTAAACTAGCTAATTAATGCTTCATGGATAACTGGCACAAAACACAAGACTCCTGGGTCAGAAACAAAGGACTTCAACACTCAAAGGTCCATCAGCAGCATGAGCATCATCATGTTTGTGTTGTTTCCTTTGTCCCTTCTTCAGATCTCATGGGAGTGATGTGGAGGGACGAGATGGATGCTATATGCACAGTGGGTTTGCCTGTAGCCAGGTAACACTGAATTTGGGGAATCCATTGGTTTTAAAGCAAGCAGTAAGAAAACAAGCTCTTTGTCCCAGAGAGAGACTTGACATCATCTCTCTAGGTTGCTCTGCAAACATGACCCTGAGAAATAGCCCCAGAAAACAGCAGTCAGTGCTTTGCATTCTTGATAAACCCAGTAAGACATGTAAGAGCCCAAGAGACTGAGGGGGGACTGTCTTTCCCAACAATTAGCATAAATTAGTATACTCATATAATGAATGTACAGTTAATATACTCAGGAGTTTGATGTACAACTAGGTACAACAACAGTTTTTACCCACTGATTTTAAGTTCAAAATTCTGTTCCTAGATCCATGCTTACCTCCATATATTAAAAATTATTTAAAATGACACAAGAAACTCCTGGGAAGCGGTATCTTTTGATCTACTTCCTCGCTGTATTGCTCTTCAAATGATGTTTCCAGGCTATCATTTCTTTTGAACCACTCACTCACACTGTTGCCTTTCCTGTCTTTATTCACTTCTTATCCAATTAACTTTCAAATTGTGCCCTTAATGAAATGGTAGTTTAATATGTTTGTTTACATCTTGATTTACTTGGTATATTTAATAGTGGGGGCTAATAATCGGCTTTGATAAGCCACTTAATAAAAATTTCTTAAAGAAAATGCAGAGCATTTGAAGCCATAGTGTATTTTTATTCTCTATGTTCAAAGTCAATTTTCAGATTTTAATTAGTTTTGCAGAATGATCCACTGAACTTTTTAGGCAACAGGGCCACAGTTTAATGTGTCCCCAGACTTTATGATGTCCAAACTCTAAAGTTTTCTGTAACTGGTCCCCAACTCTTTTCCAACCTTTTTTCATTTTGTTTTCATGAAAATTGTGTTGTTCTCTGCAATGCACACTCATCTCTTTTATTTGGTTTAATAATTGCACCAAGCGGACCTAATAGACATCTACAGAACTCTCCACCCCAAATCAACAGAATATATATTTTTTTCAGCACCGCACCACACCTATTCCAAAATCGACCACATACTTGGAAATAAAGCTCTCCTCAGCAAATGTAAAAGAACAGAAATTATAACAAACTGTCTCTCAGACCACAGTGCAATCAAACTAGAACTCAGGATTAAGAAACTCACTCAAAGCCGCTCAACTACATGGAAACTGAACAACCTGCTCCTGAATGACTACTGGGTACATAACGAAATGAAGGCAGATATAAAGATGTTCTTTGAAACCAATGAGAACAAAGACACAACATACCAGAATCTCTGGGACACATTCAAAGCAGTGTGTAGAGGGAAATTTATAGCACTGAATGCCCACAAGAGAAAGCAGGAAAGATCCAAAATTGACACCCTAACATCACAATTAAAAGAACTAGAAAAGCAAGAGCAAACACATTCAAAAGCTAGCAGAAGGCAAGAAATAACTAAAATCAGAGCAGAACTGAAGGAAATAGAGACACAAAAAACCCTTCAAAAAATTAATGAATCCAGGAGCTGGTTTTTTGAAAGGATCAACAAAATTGATAGACTGCTAGCAAGACTAATAAAGAAGAAAAGAGAGAAGAATCAAACAGATACAATAAAAAATGATAAAGGGGATATCACCACCGATCCCACAGAAATACAAACTACCATCAGAGAATACTACAAACACCTCTACGCAAATAAACTAGAAAATCTAGAAGAAATGGATAAATTCCTCAACACATACACCCTCCCAAGACTAAACCAGGAAGAAGTTGAATTTCTGAATAGACCAATAACAGGCTCTGAAATTGTGGCAATAATCAATAGCTTAGCAACCAAAAAGAGTCCAGGACCAGATGGATTCACAGCGGAATTCTACCAGAGGTACAAGGAGGAATTGGTACCATTCCTTCTGAAACTATTCCAATCAATAGAAAAAGAGGGAATCCTCCCTAACTCATTTTGTGAGGCCAGCATCATCCTGATACCAAAGCCAGGCAGAGACACAACCAAAAAAGAGAATTTTAGACCAATATATTTGATGAACATTGATTCAAAAATCCTCAATAAAATACTGGCAAACTGAATCCAGCAGCACATCAAAAAGCTTATCCACCATGATCAAGTGGGCTTCATCCCTGGGATGCAAGGCTGGTTCAATATATGCAAATCAATAAATGTAATCCAGCATATAAACAGAACCAAAGACAAAAATCACACGATTATCTCAATAGATGCAGAAAAGGCCTTTGACAAAATTCAACAACTTTCATGCTAAAAACTCTCAATAAATTAGGTATTGATGGGACGTTTCTCAAAATAATAAGAGCTATCTATGACAAACCCACAGCCAATATCATACTGAATGGGCAAAAACTGGAAGCATTCCCTTTGAAAACTGGCACAAGACAGGGATGCCCTCTCTCACCACTCCTATTCAACATAGTTTTGGAAGTTCTGGCCAGGGCAATTAGTCAGGAGAAGGAAATAAAGGGTATTCAATTAGGAAAAGAGAAAGTCAAATTGTCCCTGTTTGAAGATGACATGATTGTATATCTAGAAAACCCCATTGTCTCAGCCCAAAATCTCCTTAAGCTGATAAGCAACTTCAGCAAAGTCTCAGGATACAAAATCAATCTACAAAAATCACAAGCATTCTTATACACCAATAACAGACAAACAGAGAGCCAAATCATGAGGGAACTCCCATTCACAATTGCTTCAAAGAGAATAAAATACCTAGGAATCCAACTTACAAGGGACGTGAAGGAGCTCTTCAAGGAGAACTACAAACCACTGCTCAATGAAATTACAGAGGATACAAACAAATGGAAGGACATTCCATGCTCATGGGTAGGAAGAATCGATATCGTAAAAATGGCCATACTGCCCAAGGGAATTTATAGATTCAATGCCATCCCCATCAAGCTACCAATGACTTTCTTCACAGAATTGGAAAAAACTATTTTAAAGTTCATATGGAACCAAAAAAGAGGCCGCACTGCCAAGTCAATCCTAAGCCAAAAGAACAAAGCTGGAGGCATCACGCTACCTGACTTCAAACTCTACTACAAGCCTACAGTAACCAAAACAGCATGGTACTGGTACCAAAACAGAGACATAGATGAATGGAAGAGAACAGAGCCCTCAGAAATAACGCCAAATATCTACAACTATCTGATCTTTGACAAACCTGAGAAAAATAAGCAATGGGGAAAGGATTCCCTATTTAATAAATGGTGCTGGGAAAACTGGCTAGCCATATGGAGAAAGCTGAACCTGGATCCCTTCCTTACACCTTATACAAAAATCAATTCAAGACGGATTAAAGACTTAAACGTTAGACCTAAAACCGTAAAAACCCTAGAAGAAAACCTAGGCATTACCATTCAGGACATAGGCATGGGCAAGGACTTCATGTCTAAAACACCAAAAGCAATGGCAACAAAAGACAAAATTGACAAATGGGATCTAATTAAACTAAAGAGCTTCTGCACAGCAAAAGAAACTACCATCAGAGTGAACAGGCAACCTACAAAATGGGAGAAAATTTTTGCAACCTACTCATCTGACAAAGGGCTAATATCCAGAATCTACAATGAACTCAAACAAATTTACAAGAAAAAAACAAACAACCCCATTAAAAGTGGGCGAAGGATATGAACAGACACTTCTCAAGAGAAGACATTTATGCAGCCAAAAAACACATGAAAAAATGCTCACCATCACTTGCCATCAGAGAAATGCAAATCAAAACCACAATGAGATACCATCTCACACCAGTTAGAATGGCAATCATTAAAAACTCAGGAAACAACAGGTGCTGGAGAGGATGTGGAGAAATAGGAACACTTTTACACTGTTGGTGGGACTGTAAACTAGTTCAACCATTGTGGAAGTCAGTGTGGCGATTCCTCAGGGATCTAGAACTAGAAATACCATTTGACCCAGCCAACCCATTACTGGGTATATACCCAAAGGACTATAAATCATGCTGCTATAAAGACATATGCACACGTATGTTTATTGCGGCACTATTCACAATAGGAAAGACTTGGAACAAACCCAAATGTCCAACAATGATAGACTGGATTAAGAAAATGTGGCACATATACACCATGGAATACTATGCAGCCATAAAAAAGGATGAGTTCATGTCCTTTGTAGGGACATGGAGGAAATTGGAAATCATCATTCTCAGTAAACTATCGCAAGAACAAAAAACCAAACACTGCATATTCTCACTCATAGGTGGGAACTGAACAATGAGAACACATGGACACAGGAAGGGGAACATCACACTCCGGGGATTGTTGTGGGGTGGGGGGAGGGGGGAGGGATAGCATTAGGAGATATACCTAATGCTAAATGACGAGTTAATGGGTGCAGCACACCAGCATGGCACATGTATACATATGTAACTAACCTTCACATTGTGCACATGTACCCTAAAACTAAAGTATAATAATAATAAAATAAAAATTAAAAAAAAATTTTTCTGTATTTCATAGTGAACAACCTTGGTGGTCCCTCATGCCGATCGATTGTGTCACTTCATCTGATGAACAGGACTAGGAAGGGCACCCGAAGGAAACAACGTCATCATTTCCTTCTCCTGCCACCTTTCAACCTACTTTCAACAAACTGTAGTTCCAGAACTTGGGGTAAAAATATCAAGTAATCTCATACTTTTCAAGATTACTCTCAGGTAAAAAGTTAATGGCCCCTCAGGTTTGGCTTTAAAAAGCTGAATTCAGGGTCAAACGAAAACCTCCAATCTTTTTCTAATATTTTCTTCCCAATACACCAGACACACACACACACACACACACACACACCTGCTTTGCTTCTGCTGGGGAGGAACCTGATGATGGTTGTATAGCTCACTCCCAGCTCAGCTCTTTCTGTTCCAGTTGGCCACCACTTTGGTGCTGGAAAAGTCAGACATCAGTCTCTGGGTTCCTGAGATGCCAAAGACACACACTAAACATTTTGGGTGGCTACCCTTAAGTCCTCCTCAACTGAATTAAGTTTACAAGGAATTTACAAGGAAACACTCCCCTGCCTGGTATCATGGTACCACAACTCCCCAACAACTTCCCGAAGGAATTCTTATCCTCTCGCACTGGGTCAGTCTTCAATGTCTGTTTCATACCTTTGAGGTGGTTTGGCACCTATGGCATTGCTCCCAGGTTTTGTTTTATTTTGGGGAGTGGGGATAGTATCTCATCTGAAAATTCAATATATGCAGAAGAAACAAAGTTAACATCCTATTAAAGTTGCCTTTTTGTATTTAATTATTTTTTGAATTTATTATTTATTTTTTGTCACTCTTACTACGTTGCAAGCCTTTTGAGGAATAGGGTCCATTTCTGATACTTTTTCTTTGATCAATGAATTGAGATTGTCAATTTATATACCTTCAGGGACAGAGGGGAATATAAATATATACATGAATGAGGCAGACAGATAGGAAGAAATGAAGAGTATTAAACTTCTTTTTTTTTAAAGGAGAAGTCAAGCAGCTAGAATTTTATGGAAATTACTGATGTATTAATTGAAAACCTATAAACACATTAAAGTCATGTCTGCCCAAAGCCAAAATAATCAGGACATTTAATCTAACAAAATAACTCCATTATTGGGAATAAATGAAAATAATAATTGAATATATGACTTTTAAACTTATTGTAGTTAAGCTTTAACTTATATAAATAATTGGAATCTATTTAACAAACTGTTCTTTCGTTTAAAAAATAGTCTTCCTGTAGACTAAGATAATGAAGAAGTTAATTTATTCTTTTCTTACTGTTTAGGTAATGAGCAATTAAAAAATATATTTACCTTCTGCTTTGAGAAAGTTTCTAAGTAAACAGTGTCTTAACAAGTTGAATTGTTCCAACTGTTTTCTAAAAGTTAAGGAAAAGCTATTAAATATTTATTATCTTTTATTATGTTATTTACTGTTAGAATGAATATGCAAATTTTATTAATACTATTCAGAAAGCCATGAAAAATTATAATTCATGAATGAAAAATTAAATGTAGCTAACTAGTTATTTAAAATAACTTTCACCCACAAATAAAATGCATTGTCCAGTGCTTTCCTGTAGGTTAGTAAGTCCATGAAAGACTTTTAGAGAGAAGAAACTGATGAAAAGTGAGAAGCACAAAAGTAGCTTAAGAAAATATTTTCAGCCTAAGAAAATATAATAACAAAATTAAGGAGTTGGTTAGAAACCTGAGGAACAGGCCGGGCACGGTGGCTCATGCCTGTAATCCCAGCACCTTGGGAGGCTGAAGTGGGTGGATCATTTGAGGTCAGGAGTTTGAGACCAGCCTGACCAACATGGTGAAACCCTGTCTCTACTAAAAACACAAAAATTAGCCAGGTGTCATGGTGGGCACCTGCAGTCCCGGCCTCTCGGGAGGTTGAGGCATGAGAATCACTTGAACCTGGGAGGCGGAGGTTTCAGTGAACTGAGATCATGCCACTGCATTCCAGCCTGGGCCACAGAGCAAGACCCTGTCTCAAAAAAAAAAAAAAAAGAAAAAAAAAAAAGAAGTCTGAGGAACTATGCTGAGATGCTGAGCGCTGAGTTGGGAGAGGAGCTGAGAGCTCCTGAACTGATGTGTAGAGTGCTGGTGCAGAACTCTTGCTCCCAGCTCCAACCAGGAGCTTTCTTCCTGCTTCTGTGATACCTTGCTTCTTCTCTGCCCTTGAGGATTTTATCTCCAAGAAACAGATGAGAAAAAGAGCAATTACATTTCACTGAATGCCTACTTGGAACGTTTCTGGGTTTCATTAGAAGTAAAACAAACAAAAAAAAGAGAGATGCTTTTAAAATTAATACATGTTATGTGCTATAGATAACTGGGGTAGTGCTACTGGGCTGTTTCTATCGATCCCTTTTACACTGTTCTACTTTTCTTTTTCCTATACCTACCGCCTTTGAATGTATACTATAATATGCTTATATCTGCAGTTTACCCTTTAGGTTCTGTACCTTTCTGCCAAAAATGTAAGCTCCACGAATGTTGGGACCTTTGCTTGCTTTGTTTGCTGATGTGTTCAAGCACCCATAAGAGCGCCAGGCACATAGTAGGTGCTCAATAAATATTTTTAGACTGTTCTATAAAGAATGCATAGGATAAAAGGAATGGCTATTGGGAGATACTATAACAGACCTGAGAAAGGATTTCTTTAAAATCAGGAAAGATAGAAAACCAATGGAACATGTTAAATTTTTTTTTATCAGGCCTCTCAAGTTACTTAGACATAATCCATTCAATAAATTCCAAGTCCTGCTGCTTCTACCTTTTTTTTGTTTGTTTGTTTTTAGACGGAGTCTTGCTGTCACCAGGCTGGATTGCAGTGGCGCGATCCCGGCCACTGCAACCTCTGCCTCCCAGGTTCAAACGATTCTCCTGTCTCAGCCTTCCAAGTAGCTGGGATTACGAGCACGCGCCACCATGCCCAGCTAATTTTTGTAATTTTAGTAGAGACGGGGTTTCACCATGTTGGCCAGGGTGGTCTCGATCTCCTGACCTCGTGATCGGCCTCCCTCAGCCTCCCAAAGTGCTGAGATTACAGGTGTGAGCCACCATGCCTGGCCTGCTTCTACTCTTAAAATACATCTCAAACACACTTCTCCATTTCTATTTGTGTCATACTTTCAATAACCCTTTTACTAGATGTCTCAACAGCTTCCTTATCTTTTCATCTCAGGGCCTTACATCAAATAAGTCATCTTCAATCATTCATAGGCTTGAGCTGATTTATGTATTACTCTTCTGTGTTAGACATGGAGATAATGTTTATTAGCCGGTTTTACGTAGTTCCTGCTTTCATGGAATTTACAGTTTAATTTTGCAGATGGGCATTAAACAAGTAATGATCCAAATACCTATAGAATTATAATTCTAATTCGATGTTAGAAAGGACAGTTTGCCTTGAAGTTATAACTAGAGGCACTAATCTAGCCTAGAATATCAGAGGGTAAATTCTTCCTGAGAAAGTGATGTGTATGTTGAGATTTGAGAGAAAGTGGGGCATTTCCCAAGGGAAGAAGGGGAGAGAGTCTTTTAGGGGGAGCAGAATATGTTAAACCCCTGGGGTGGGAGGGCTGGGAGCAGCATCGAGTTAGGTTGAAACCAGGTGATGTATGACTTGAAGGGGCCTGATACGGATTTTAGACTTTATTCTAACAGCAATGAGAAGCCACAGAAGGATTTTACTTGAATAATAAACTTGACCCAAATCTGTAAAATCACACTGCCTGTATTGGAGTTTTCTTCAAGCCTCAGTGGCTCCCTAATGCCTGCTGGGTACGGATCTTAATAATATCTTAGCCTGTAACTCAAAATTGTACACGTTACTCGTGGTGTTTAATCTTAGCCTTTTCCAGTGATACACACTGGACTACCTCTGGCTCCCTGAATCACCTTCCTGTTCCTCACAGTCAATCTTCTGTGTTCTCCTCTCCTCTCCTCTCCCCTCCTCTTTTCTCTCCTCCCCTCCCCCCTTCCCCTCCCCTTCCGTCCTCCCCTCCCCTCTCTGCTTCTCCTCTCTCCTTTCTTGCATTCCTTTCTTTCTGATGGAATGCCTATCCTGCCTTCTTCGTTTAACATAATCTCTTCCAAATATATCATTAGATTCAGATCAATTATTGTCTCATCTTTTTCTTTGAATCACTTTTACAGCATGTATAATATTCTTCTCATGGAATAGTGATTTTCTTTCTATCAAAACTCCATTAAAATATCTTTTCCTTAAGGACTATGTCTGATTCTTATTTGATATCTCACAAGAAATTCCCCATACTGAGCACATAATAGCATGTGCTTCATGGGTATTTGTGAAATAAAGTATCTAATACAGTCTTTCTGAATCCAAGGGAATGTGCTGGAAACATTCAGAAGATTATTGCAAACTCTAAAACATAACAGTAGCCTTTTCTTTCTCAGCCCAAGCTGGTAAAGGAGCAGGATAAAATATGCCTATGTGAATGTAAGCAGCCTTCTGGCTTCACTTATCTAGTAACCCAGCCCAGACGCACTCTAAGTCATTTTAATTTTGCCTTCTAACCGTTGAAAATGCCTTGTCCTCCTGATCTCCTAGTGTGGCCTCCAACCACTGACAATTTTTATTTCATGGAAAAAGCAGGAGACTGGGAAAAAACGGCCCAGGGCTCAAACTTGACTTCCGTGACTAAAACCAAATTCTAAAACCCTTCAATTTGGCCTGGTCATCTGTAAATGGACAGGTCACAAGGCTTGTAATGCTACATAATGAGCAAAGATACATAAAGAACCTATCCCAGTACCTGGTGCATAAAAGGGGCTCAATGACTGTCAATTCACTTATGGTCTCCTGTCCACGGTCTCCTGGTTCAGTTGACAATTTGTCTCTTTTTCTTCCCAAGTCTCACTTCACCATCTTTGTTATTTATATCATTCATCCTGTCTTCTTCGGGATGTAGCTCATTAATTATCTCCTCCTTTCCCTCTCTCAGCGTTAGCCATCTTTTCCCTTGACTTATTCCTTCTGTTCTGCCTTCAAACATGCTCAGCTCTCTACATTCCCAAACATCTTATATTTTAGCAGCCATTTTATGCATTCATTCATTCAAAAGCAGTGAAAGACAACATATGTGGACAATGCTGGGTACCGGGGCTATAAGAATGAATATAATACTGTCATATGTTTTGTACCACATTAGGAGAGACACGATATATAAACAAATCATTATTTAGTTAACATGATATAATAACCCAATAGCAACCCCTGAAAAGTTCTATGGAAGCATTGAAAGGAGGCATTCATTTTGCCTGCAGGATTAGGGGTGTCCTCACACAGGAGGAGATACCTGAGATAGGTTGTGAGGCCATTGGTAGAGATTAGGAGGTATTTTATTTTGAAGGGCCAGTATTAGCAAAGGCAAAAGGTATTAAAAATTAGGACCTGCTAAAGAAGGGCAAATAATATAGAGTTGATTGTAGCAAAAGGTGTCAGTTGAGCGTCACCTCAATTGGGAGAACTTTGAAGTCTTCAGGCAATGGGAGCCATCAAAACATTTTAACCAAAGGAGTGATATCACTAAATTTGGCTTTTAGAAAGATAACTTTGGGTAGAAAGAAGGATGGTTGAAGAAAGGAAAGGTTAGAAGTAGAAAGTGCAGTTGAGAGGTGATCGCAATAGACAAGGCTAAGATGCGATTTGGCTTTTGCTCTACTACCATCTTCTCCATTGAACATCACCAATCACATTGCTTCTCAGCCTCCTGGCTAAGCTCAAGTGTGAATAGCACCAATCACATCCTATGGACTGTAGGATACAGTAAATTCCTCTTCAAAGTTTAGCCTGTTAACTTCCTTTAAAATCCAAGAGAGAGACAAATTGTTAAGTACAATGAGTTCTGAGTTCCTCCTCAAAGAACCAATATGTCAGTATGTTCAGCTTCCCTGTTCTTTGTTCTCCATTTTAAAGTTTGACTTCCTCGTTCCTTACCCTCCTTGCCCCTAGTTTCAGTAAACAACCCCCTCCTAGCCTCTATCGCCTGTTCTGTCCTTAGGCATCCCTGGTCACCTGTTCTGTAACTGTCCCTCCCGCCAAAACTACTTACCCCACCACTCTGACTCGTACCCTTGCTCTCTTTAAAATAGCCATTTGGAATTAGCTTAGACTGTGCGGTCTAACCCTAGCCAACAGGGAAAAGACACAGCAGTAGGGACTACTGGGTTAGGAATAAGACCCCCTTCCCCTCCCTTGTCCGGTGTGCTCTCGCCATTGCTCCATCCGCAAGATGCAACCTTCTATAGAAGTAAATTGCCTTGCTGAGAAAATTTTTGCCTGAGTGCTATTTTCACTTGGCGGCACTGAGCATTTACTTCCAACAGGACCAAATTAAATGGCACTTTCTCAGTCCTTGACTTCCTTTGTTTGCAAGGTATATTTTATATCTCAAATCATTCAGTTCTTCTCAGATCTCCTTCCTGTCTCGGCTTCTGCGTTAGTGCACATGGCTCATTAACCTTATCACTATTTCATTCCCGCATTGGTTCCTGCTTCAGTGAGATGGACAGCTCATCCCGGTCTATTTTCTTTTCCTCTCCGTGTTATTTTGCATATATTCCTACCCTCACCCATGTATTCAAGTATCCTTTCTAAGCAGATTAAAATCAAACATGTGACCCTTGTGCTGTTACTGCTTTAGAGCCTTCACTTATGCATTTCCAAAGGTCTGCTGGATATTTCTGCACAGAAGCCCTGCCAGCTCATTGACTTCAGCATGCTGTAACTCTACTTCAAACTCACGTTTCCTTGCATCCTCCCCAATAGTACCACCTTTCTCCTTATCTCTCAAGTAGAGATTCAAAATCCTGAGCTGCACCTCTTACTTTTCTTTCATCCCCTGCAACAATCTTTTTTTTTTTTTTTTTTGAGATAGTCTTGCTTTGTGGCCCAGGCTGGAGTGCAGTGGCATGATCTCAGATCATTGCA
Organism: Homo sapiens; assembly: GCF_000001405.40. Lineage (NCBI taxonomy): Eukaryota > Metazoa > Chordata > Mammalia > Primates > Hominidae > Homo > Homo sapiens. The sequence continues at coordinate 181,912,709 of NC_000004.12, read as the reverse complement.
ACCTCCACCTCCTGGGCTCAAGTGATTCTTCTTCCTCAGCCTCCAGAGTAGCCAGGATTACAGGCTAATTTGTATTTTTAGTAGAGACAGGGTTTCACTATGTTGGCCAGGCTGGTCTTGAACTCCTGACCTCAAGTGATCCACTCATCTCATCTCGGCCTCTCAAAGTGTTGGGATTACAAGCATGAGCCACCACACCAGACCACCTTCACCAATCTTAAAAACTCTCATGTTGCTTCTTCCTGAGCAACGGTTCTTCAGTCATTTTGTTCTTTTCATCCCCGCTGCTACTGTTCTAGCTGTACTTATTTTATTGACTCATATCACATGTATCACATACCATTTCATATTAGAGAAGTCTGTGTATGCTCATCATATTCTCTAGATTTTAAGCATCATGAGGGCAGCATGTATCAGAGCTTGGAATGAAAATTCCTAATGAAGCTTTGAGACCCATCCTATCAGAATCCTGTCATGTAAGTTTATCCAACTAAGTTGTCAACTTTCCCTTGCCTTTTCCCCTTCCTCATTGCTGAAATCTCCAATGTGGAATTTGAGCTGAAGATCAGTCCAGTGCTTAAAATCACAATAGCTTAAATAGCTTTGTGGCCCTGGCCCACCCCATCTCTGCTTTTATTAAAGTACTAGGTTTCTTCATTTTGGAGACAGTATCCCCGGCGTATGATCCTAAAATACACTTGAGGTACAAAGATTCTGTGTCTTGTGAGTTGTAGCAAGATGCCTTATTTGTAGTAGGCCATAATTATTTGCTGAATGACTAACAATTTATCTAATCTAATTGATTTCTAAGCCACTGATATTTGTATGTTATTTGTGTATTTTAATGTACATAATTATTAAAACATTAGCAAGTATTTTCTGCCCATTTTAATGGCTCATTACCTTCTATATCATGTTATATCCTGGTTTATATAAGAACATCTGTGTCTAATATATTCCTGTAAATCATCCCTGTTCATTTTCATAAGGATATTAGACTCAGCAAATATGTGTCATGTGGATTTTTATGTGCCAGCCTCTAAACATCACAAAAACTTCCCAGAGCCAGAGATAACTGCACTGACTCAGCTGTTCCCAAGTTTACTTTTAACCGTTGCTCAAATTAGATATCTATGAGCTCCCCTTAGAGTCCAATCCCAGGCTGCCAGCTGCTCCAGATGTAAGGAGCTTTTATAGCCTTCAAACACATTTTATCTGTCATCATTTTCATCAACACGAATATCTTTCTCTTTATTCTCTCTCATAGAACCTGGTAAACAAGGAAGAAAAAAGCTTGGCTTTATTGTAACTCCAAAGAGGTCAGTCTGTGGGGGAAAAAAACAACACAGCATGTCTTTCTTTGCATCTTTTTCCATGCAGTTCTTCAAAGGTTTGTCAACCACCACCTTAATCCATTTATTGAAGACGCCCAATTTTCCAGATGACCTTTTCTTTGGAGTTCATTGGAAATGCAGCTTGAAGTGATAGAAAAGAAATGAAGAATGCAGGCAGGTTTCAGCGCTAATTTTGTCTCTACACATTAACCGATCATGTGTTCTGACCAAATTACCCGCTTTTTCTCATCTGTAAAATGGGCAGTGATTTTGAGAGGGTTAAACATGAAAAATGATTATAACGTTTTTAAATAAAATAAGCTACAAATAAATTTACATACCTTTTGATCCTAATCACAGAGTTAGGATGTACTCAAATAAGTTTGCCAAGATGTAAAGTTAAAGGATGCACATTGCAGCAACATTGATAATAGCAAACAACTGGAAAAAGCTAATGAAACTATGAAAAGGGAGCTAGAATGGAAATGATGAGATAGCCATATCATGGGATATTATGGAGTCACTTTTTAAAAGTCGTGTGGTTTTGCATAGCTTATAAGGAAATGTTTCTAAGGAGTAGTATTAAGGGTAAAAAGTGAGGCCAGGCACAGTGGCTCACACTTGGAATCTCAGCACTTTGGGGGGCTGAGGCAGGTGGATTACCTGAGCCTAGAAGTTCCAGACTAGCCTGGACAACATAGTGAGACTCCTCTCTAAAATACACACACACACACACACACACACATACACACACACACGTGTATTTATATATATATATATATATACAAATACATATGTACATTATATATATATATATGTATACACTTTTTTTTTTTTTGAGATGGAGTCTTGCTCTATCGCTCAGGCTGGAGTGCAGTGGCACAATCTTGGCTCATTGCAACCTCCACCTCCCAGGTTCAAGTGATTCTCCTGCCTCAGCCTCCCAAGTAGCTGGGACTACAGGTGTATTTTTAGTAGAGGCGGGGTTTCACCATATTGGCCAGGCTGGTCTTGAACTCCTGACCTCGTGATCTGTCCTCCTCAGCCTCTCAAAGTGCTGGGATTACAGGCATGAGCCACTGCACCCGGCCTGTATATATATTTTATAAAGAGTAAAAAGTGAGGTATAGAGCACTTATTTAGCATGTTATAAGGTATAAATAAGAAAAGAATGTGTGTGCACATAGGCTACTATATATATGCATGGATATATTCTGGACTAAAACATAAAACTGATAAAATGACCAACTTAGAATAGAATAACTGAGGACAAGAAGGTGTCATTACTTTATGTTACACATGTGTCTACATTTGCATACGTTTTATTTTCTTTATAAAAGTAGCAAGAGTAACATGAATAGTATAACAATGAGATTTTTGATATTCTTTTGTATACATTTGTTTAAAAAACTAATATATAACCTGAAAATAAATGTAAAAAATTCTACAAAATTTCAGTGGATATATTGACATAAAAGATTGTTTTGTCATACAAAGAATATCAACATTCAGTCATAGACTCAAAGAAAATTAAGTCTGGAAGATGTGCTGCTTGTAGTGATTTAGTATTGCGTAGGTTAATGCTATACACTGTATTGGGGAGAGTATTTATGTAATCAGCTTTTATCAAGTACCTGCTGTTTCCTTTGCCCTCGAACACCTAGCGTGTAGACATAAAAGGATTGGAAGGCAGCTCTTGTTCATTGCATCATATTGCTTTTTAAAATCTAAAAAATCATTACTAGATGATACATGAACAAATACAGTATGATGTGGGTGGGGAAATTCTCCCCAGCTGTGCTGAGGCAATGAGCATGTGGATCTGGAAGAACAGCAGCCGGGCTGAGTCACCACGTCTGCCCCCTGAGTTGTTGGGTGAGGCGGCCGGACTTAGGGAATTCTGATGATTTGCCCAAGGTGAGCTAGATGAGCTGAGTAGGGACTGTGTCTCTAATCAGCCATTTCAGTATGGGGCTTTGTCTGTGGCAACAAACATTCTGTGGTCAAGATGTGGGGAATAGACCCACCTGATTTAGTCCCCACAATACCACAGAAGGTGTTTATTTTATGAATAAAGATATTCGAAATCACAGAGATTAAATAATTTGCACAAAGACACAGGGCTAAATGATAGCAGAACTGGAATTTAAACTCCTATCTGACTCTCTCCATTGTTTATTGTCTTAAAGACAGGAGTGAAGATACACAAGTGGGAATTGATAAGGTGTGTAGGCAAAACAGTCAGCTGAAGGCTTGTTAAAATAGTCGAGAGAAATTCTTCTAGGTGCCAGTAGTATGACAGTAAGAAATGAATTCAGAAAGGAAAGGCAGAAGTCAAGTTGAAAAACCAGTGAAATAAAGATTTCCAGGAGACTCTATGGAGCTAGCCTATAAATGTTATGTTCAAATATTCTAATACCTATAACCAAATAGTGGGAGTACTAATAAAAACCTCTACACCTCGCTTGCACTTCTTTTTCCCACAGGCCAAATCTGCAATCCACTTTAAGGTTAATGGCTCTGTCTTTGAGGTATATTTAGTGTGTTCACCTTTTAAGGGTCACACACATAACTATGATAACCTGATTTATCACCTATACCGTGTAACACTATCTTTTACTCCAAACGAAAAATTAAACTTCCTACAAACTCCATAAAATGCATATTAAAATATCATGCACAGGGCGAATAAAAATTTTACATAATGACAGGTTTAATTTTGTTTATTCTCTTAGCATCTATTCTTGAAAACTAGGCCCCGAATTTCTCTATTTATGCTTCTAAATTCAGAATAGTCTAAAATGTCATTTTTATTATTCCTTATATTAGAGTGCTTAAAATTAAAAACATTCATCAGAAAATTGCTGTCTTTAAAATGTATCACCCAATATGGAATGTAAATATTATCTTTAAATATTTTAAAATTAAATTATTGTTTAATTTATGATTGCATGAGCACAGTGTAGTTGGGCTATGTGTGGGTGGACAGCTCTGTTCTCAGGCAGAAATATGTCCCTTAACACCACTTTAAAAGCCACAAACCAAAAACCTTCAGCTGCCAGACTGAGGACAGAAAGGTTACCGAAAGCCAAAGAGAAACTGTCACTACTAGACATTTCTAATCAGTCCCTAATTATTGAAAGTCACTTTAAAATATATGGGCACATTGAATTTTCAAAACTGCTTTTATGGAACTAACAACCTAAGAATCAACTGATTTTTTTTTCAGCAAAGAAACTATAAATAAATGCAAAGGAAGAAAGGATGGAATAAGACAAATACAGTGACTTGCACTCCCAGGTATAAAATATAAACATACGACCATTTGATTTAAAAATAGAACTTGTATAGCTTTAGCACTCGAGTCAAAAATACACGTTGTCTTAATAAGATGGTAACAAACCCTTATGTGCAAGAAATAGACAATATAAACTTCATATATGATGCCGGTTCTAGTTTGTAAATAGGAAATACTTCTTTAAATGCATGGAGTGTCTTATGCATTTCAGAACATTAAACGTTCATTGTTTCGTCTGAATCTTGAAACGCGGAGGTACCTTTCTACTCATTCAAGCAGTTGGCCTCGAATGTTCGGGGTCTGCTCAGATCCCGCTTGCTCTATGATTCCTGCGTTGGCTGCCCCAGATGGGAGTAATTCTCCCTCCTCTGAGAGCTTGTGGGGTGATGATCTCATAGGGCAATGGCGCTGTCTTGTGTTTGTCTTTCCTTCCTTCCTTAGGATGTATCTCCGAGCTGTCTCTCAGGTCACCTTCTCTCCCTCTTCCCTTCTCCACGTCTCATCCCTTCACTGTAATACCCAGCACAGGACTCTGGCCAGGATTTACAACCACGGTGTCTGTGGGCTGACATGCCTCTGTGTCCTGGCCTGCAGACAAGCCTTGTATGGTCTCTAGTGCTTGTCTGTGTTTACCTAACATTGAAAATCTTGGGAGATTTCATAGAAAAATCTGAATTTCCAGTTTCTTTTGAGGTAGTGGAAGATTTGGCTGCTCTGGGCCAGTCTTACTTCATGGCAGTGACTGGCTAGGGACACATGGGATCTTCCCCTTCAGGATTTGCCCATACACTCCAACTTGCCACGGTCCTCCTGGCTCCCTGTTGCACTCCTGCTTTGAAGCATCATCATGAATTAGTGACTACCATTTTTTCTTTAATGACAGAGAAATACCTATCTGCATTCTGATTTCTATTAAAAGTGAGTTGACAGGCTGGGCTCAGAGACAGGCGAATAACCTGAGGTCAGGAGTTCGAGACCAGCCTGGCCAACATGGTGAAACCCCAACTTTACTAAAAATAGAGTGCGGTGGCATGTGCTGGGTGTGGTGGTGGGTGCCTGTAATCACAGCTACTGGGGAGGCTGAGGCAGGAGAATCGCTTGAACTCACGAGGCGCAGGTTGCTGTGAGCCAAGATTGTGCCAGGGCACTCCAGCCTGGGCGACATAGTGAGACTCCATCTCAAAAAATAAAAAATAAAAAGGTGAGTTGACAAAAGAAAACAAGAAGAAGCCTAGTACAGTGGTGGCCCATGCCTGTAGTCCCAGCTACTCGGGAGGCAGAAGCGAGAGGATCGCTTGGGCTCAGGAGTTCCAGTCCAGCCCGGGAAACATAGCAAGACCCATCTCTAAACAAAAACAAAAACAAGAAACAAGAAAAAGCAAGAAAGGCCACTGGATGATTCCCAATCTGCAGCCCTCATTTTCAATATGGCTTGGCCCTATTGGCATTTGAGTTTGTGCTTTGTGTTAAAGCGAGAAACTTAGGAGCACAAAGTCTGTGATTCGTCACTTACTTCTTAACTGTGAAGCCCATCCTTCTGGTTTCTCATCTCAAAAGGAGAATCCGAGGTAGTTTCGCTTGAGGATTAAGTAAGGTAAATAAGTAATAACTATCACTCCTGGATAATAATGCTCACATGTGCATTTTTGGCCTACAAAGTAGATAAACTGAATGTATCTAGTCCCCAGTTTGTTGGAAACCTTCGGGAGAGTTCTCTCGTACAGGAGGAGACACTTGAACAGAGTTTGGAATACGAACTACCTTTTATACAGCAACGTAAATTTCCATCTGACTGTCCACAACCCCTATAGACCACTGGAGTGCTTCCTCACTGATTTAAAGACTTACTATGCAATGCTGGAGAATCCAGACATTTTGAGGAAAACAGATGATGAACTTCTTAATAGAATCACATTGATGGCTGCTTACTGTTTATACACACCTTCCCAAATTGCCCTGCCTGCCATTTTATCCAGTGCCTTCAGGACTGGAATTACTACGGAAAGTTATTTATTGGACAGTCTGATGTTGAGAGAGAACAGAACTTGCTTGTCACTGTTACGAGATATAATGAAAAGCATGAGAAATTGAGTAAAAAAGTATGTACCACCCAGATCTGAAGAAGCTGCTGTTCTGAAACCGAAGTTGGAGCAATGTCATTCTGCTGAGCTTGCACTTAATGTAATTATGAAGAAGAGGAAAGGCTGTGAAGATAATGATGATATCTCAAAGAAATCCAGACATGAGGAGGAAGAATAGACTGATGATGACCTGGTAGACTCTCTCTAGCCATTTCAAGTTGACTTGTCAATGCTAACTAATCAAGAGAATTAGGAAGCATACCAGGCTTTTAAGGTGAGCCGTGGTTGTGCCACTGCACTCCAGCCTGGGTGACAGAATGAATGAATAAATAAATAAATAGTGTATCATATGTAAACATCAAAACATATTAAACATTTCTATTTGCTATCTAATTTTTTTCTTTCATAGTAGTTCATGTAAAAGAAAACATCTTCAAAAAAGCCAGAAAAAAAAAAAAAAAAGCTCAGCTCATTATCTGCAACATAGTGGGCACGTTTTGTTACTATCCTTATCATGTGTGATGTTAGGAAATCCTTCAGAACTGAGCTCTTCCATGGGATCACCTCAGCAGCACAGGTTAGATTTGCCCAGCAGCTGGAACTCATGAATCAAGGCTATGAGTCATGATCTAATACATATTTGTTAGATACCTACTATGTGTCTGGCACTGTTGTAGATACTTGGTATCTATGTTGTAAACAAAGCACATCTGCTCTTATGAAGGCTTACCACCAGTAAGTGAAGGAGATAAGAAATACATACTTAAATATATATAATTATGCCAGGAACAATATGTGCTGTAAAAAATAAGGCAAGACAGAAGAATAGGGAAAACACAGGAGCATGTACTATCTGTATTAGTCCGTTTTCACACTGTTGATAAAGACATATCTGAGACCGGGCAATTTACAAAAGAAACCTTTTTGACTTTTTTGACTTATTTGACTTACAGTTCCATGTGGCTGGGGAGGCCTCACAATCAAGGCAGAAGGTAAGGGAGGAGCAAGTCACATCTTACATGGATGGCAGCAGGCAAAGAGAGCTTGTGCAGGGAAACTCCCATTTTCAAAACTATCAGAGTTCGTGAGACCCATTCGCTATCATGAGAACAGCATGGGAAAAGACCCACCCCCTCCATGATTCAATCATCTCCCACGTGGTCCCTCCCACATCATGGGAATTATGGGAGCTATAAGATGAGATTTGGGTGGGGACACAAAGCCAAACCATATCACTATTTTATATAGCTTGGAACAAAGAGACGGTTCTCCAGCAGGGACCTGGATGCAGTGAGAGAGAATCATGGAGCATTTGAGGGAGGGACATGGCTGGCAGCGAGGACAGAGTGTTGTGAACAGTGACAAAGAGGTCAGTGAATGAGTGACAGAGACTTGAGAGTTTTCCAGGGGTCACATCCCTTTAGGCCTTATAGGCCATACATAAACACCTAGATTTTAATTGTGATCAGAAATCCTTGGAATCGTTTTTTGAATTTTTAAATTTTTAATTAGTATGGGCATATACTAGTTTTATATAATTATCGGGTACATGTGATGTTTTGATACAGGCATACAGTGGATAATGATCAAATCAGAGTGATTGGGGCATCTACCACCTCAAGTGTTTATCCTTAGAATATTTTAATCTTGTAAGTTACATGATCTGCTTGGTTCTAAAAGGCTGCTAGGTGGGTCATAGGCTCTGGGGAAGAAAGAGAAGAAGCACGAGAGAGTCAGGGGGGTGTTAGATCCTCCGTAGATCATGTGAGGACTGATAGTGGCTTGCATCCAAAGGTGGTGGCGGTGGAGGATGTGAAACAGTCAGATCGTGGGGATGCTCTGGGGCTGCAGGCTTCAGAAGAGATCTTGATACTGAAGAGTATCAAGTTTTTGCAGTAAATATGGAAGTGGATATCAAGAGCTCAGTTTTCAACTTAAGTTTTAGATGCCCAAAGAACATCCAAGAGGAGATGTTGAATGGACAGTTAGATACACATCTGGAGTTCAAGGGAGAGGGTGGGGCTAGAGATATACATGGAAATCATTGTTTTATAGAGACAACATCTAAAGCCATGGAATTGAACTCATCCAAGACTCGAGTGCAGAATGAAAAAGAAGAGGCAGGAGGATTGAGCCCTGGGTCACACACTTAGTGATCAGGCCCAGAATGAGGATGCATCAGTCAGATGAGAAGGTGTAGCCAGCACAGTAGGGGTAGAACCAGGAGGGGCCCTCCTCAGGGCCCCAGGTTGCATTCAAATCTTGACTTGCAAGGAAGGAAGCTTGCTTCCCAAGGTGATGTATTTTTAGACCAAAGGTGTTTTAGGTATGGAAGGACCTTAGCAGCAATATTTTGCAAGTCCTGCACTTTACAGAAGTTGAGACTGAGACACAGGGAGGTTAATTACCCAAAGTCACACAGTAATTGGTTTGAGTTGATTAGGGATGATGTGTTCCGTTGGAGAGATGACAGGCTGGGCCAGAGGTGAGTATCGCCTAATGAAGCTGGAATTGTTACCAGTCACTCCTATCTCTAGCCAAGAAAAGGAGGGGACAGGAACAGTCAAAGGCATCAGCTGTTGAACTGGTTTCTTAGAAATGCAGACTCTTACAGAGCACTTTCTGTATGCATAATATAATTCTAGACACTGTTCAACTGTAGAGTGAGAAGGTAAATGTTCTTTCCTCCAAGGTTGTTTTTTTCTCCAAATTGGTGGAAGAGTTGAACAATCATAGCAAATATATATACACATATAAAAAACTAATTCAGAAGTTGAGTTTTTTTTTTAAATCAGAAATTAAGTAGATCTTAAAGCAATATAGATGCTTCCTTAAGAGAGTGTGGTGAATAGGATCCCTCGTACTAGGTGGGGCATCCAGTGACTATTTGCTGAGTAAATTAAGGCTTTCTGTTTTCCTCAGTAGGAAACCACTCATGGATAAAGCAATCAAACTGTGAAAGAATAGAAGCATTTTTCCCCAAACTTAAAATTGAAAAGTTATATTCATACAGATGATGCTGAAATCAATACCGATTGTAAAACACAACGTACTTAAATATTCTACAACGAATGCTACTTTCAGTTAATCTTCACCTCATCACTCAGTATCATGTGAAAAAAACTTCCTGTTCTCCAAGAGCACATGCTTTGAATATCTAAATGTATGTGTGTCTGGATAACACCCATTAGGTATTTATCTTAATGCTCTCCCTCACCTTGCCCCCCACCCCCTGACAGGCCCTGGTATGTAATGTTCCCCTCCCTGTGCTCTCATTGTTCAACTTCTACTTATGAGTGAGAATATGTGGTGTTTGATTTTCTGTTCCTGTGTTAGTTTGCTGAGCATGATGGCTTCCAGCTTCATCCATGTCCCTGCAAAGGACATGAATTCATTCTTTTTCATGGCTGCATAGTATTCCATGGTGTATATGTGCCACATTTTCTTTATCCAGTCTATCATTGATGGGCATTTGGGTTGGTTCCAAGTCTTTGCTATCTCAAACAGTGCTGCAATAAACATACGCGTGCATGTGTCTTTATAGTAGAATGATCTACAATCCTTTGGGGCAAAGACTTCCTGACTAAAACACCAAAAGCAATTACAACAAAAGCCAAAATTGACAAATGGGATCTAATTAAACTGAAGAGCTTCTGCACAGCAAAAGAAACTATCATCAGAGTGAACAAGCAACCTACGGAATGGGAGAACATTTTTGCAATCTACCCATCTGATAAAGGTCTAATATCCAGAATATACAAGGAACTTAAACAAATTTTCTGCTCTTTTAATAGGGTTTTTTTTTTTTTGGCTCTTTTAAGATATACAAATATACCTATCTCCAAATTGTATATAAGTGTGTGTGTGTGTGTGTGTGTGTATGCTCACATGCACACGCATTTACCTCTTTATTGAGAACATATGGACTCCCAGATTTTTATGCAAAGCCATACGTTTCTGTCTGGTATCATATGGCTCTAATTCGATTAACACTATCCAGTCCTGTAATGTGCTTCTTTGTTACATATTATCTAAGTCACATGAGTGAAAATTCCCATTACAGAAGAGGGGAAAAAGAACTTGCTAAATAATCCTTTTGCAGTTTTTTTGGGTGGGGGGGAATGAAGGATGTGAAAACTTGATAAAAACATAAAACTTTACTTTATAATAATAATTTGAAGACTCTGACATACCCGGTATTTTTGCTGGTATTTTATATTTTAATCCATAACTTTACACTAAACAAGATCCAAAAGTGGGAAAACATTGTGGTGAAATTCTGTGATTTTAAATTTAGCGGGCAGCTGGAAAGAAAGTGGAAATGTGTGTGCTGATGTGAGGGGTGTGTTAGGGGCTTTCAGCTGTGAGTATTTTCAGTAAATATCTGCAAATATTATAGAGCACATGCCATGGAAGAAAGATCATAAAGCTCATAGACTCTCACGACATATTGAGTAATTTCCATTGGAAATCTCTAAAATAATTCTTGTAGGCAGGATCAGAGGCTCATCTAAACAACTGTTTTGGCCAACACTGATGCCTTTTCCTTTCGTTTGGGAGATCAGATATTGAATTTAGCCTCAAAGGTGGATCCCATTCTGGGTAGCCCCATAGGACAGGCTAGAGGCTTGGTTTTGGTTGGGTTTTTCCCTTGTGGCAGAGGAATTGTAAAATTTATTTCAAGATCCTTACTAGGGTGGCGTGAGTAGTGGATATGGTCACTCCATGAGTGACATCACCAGGTGACTTTGGCCATGTGATTCCATCCAGTAATTTTGATTCATCATGACAGACAGGCTCATATATTTTTTTTGGTACAGAGGTAGAATATACTTGGGGCACCTCACACCATTAGAAGTTTCTTAGTTATAGAAGGGCTATGATTTTTGGGAGGAAGCTTAGTGTCAAATTCTTCCTGTCCCTTGATCATTGAGAAGGTTTGCTGCAAGTCAGCATCATTGGTTTCCTCTCTGTACTAAAAATTGGGCTCCAATCTGAAAGAAAGTTAAAAATACGGAAGTCTACCTGCCTTGGAGAAAATGACGGAAATGAGAGTGTGTGCACATGTGGGCAGGTGCACAAAAACTCAGGCAGAAATAGATGCCTCTCATTGAACTGATTTGCCACTTGAGAGAGAATAAAGAAACTAGCAATATCCAGATGTTATAATTCTGTTCTCAACGATACTACTGGCAGCTCTTGTGCTCCGGGGGAAAGGAAGGGAGCAGGTCTCTCCTGTGGTGAAATCACGGAGGAGAAAGACGGAAGCCTATTCTTTGTTGCACTTCACACTGAGTGCTTTACACAGAGCAGAGGCCCAATTAATGCTTGTGGAATTGAATTTATTGAATTGCACTGAAGGAAAAAGAGGACTCAAGGGGCTTGGAGACTTCAAGAGTATATTGCAAGAGGGTCAGTTTCAAGTCAAGACTGAAATTCTAAATCTCTAGGTATGTCTGTTGTGAACTGGAGCTATATATAGGTATATCTTAAATGGGAAACAAACAACAAATATACGTATTGGAACTGCTGAATGTTTGGTATTGGACCATATTTATATATGATATGTGAAAGAATATACTGATTTTCAACTAATATTATTTTAATACATCTTGAGCCAAAATTTATTTACTTTCCTTTAAGTTTTTGTGAACTTTTGAATGATGATAATCAGGTAAAGTGATTAAAGATGACATATTTTTACTTAATTAAAACTCTTAATGGAAAGTTTTTCCACTAAATTTGAAGAGTAAGTTAAGCTATTTTTGAATCTAAATTAATCAAGAAGCCAAAATATTTTTGGCATTGGCAATCAGGATGCCTTTAAAATGTTCTCATAAATCAATGAAGATTTAAGATCTTCCTCAAATTTTGAAGATAAACTCATATTTGGGCTGTGATGAAGTGTGAAAAATTTCAGCATAGAAGTTGTTATTTTCATGAATTTATGAGTGTGTGAGAACATCTCTCTGCTAAATTAATTACAGCAATAAATACTACAACCAATATAAAATGAAAGGTTAAAAAATTTGTCCTAAAATTTTTAAAAATCAAGAAAAAAGGTCAGTGGGAAAAAATTAGGTTTACTTCAAGAATAAAATATCCAGGGTAGTTGATAAAAATACTGTTAGGATCCTATACAAAAAACATAGCCTGTAATCCCACCACACTGGGAGGCTGAGGCGGGAGGATCACAAGGTCAAGAGATTGAGACCATCCTGGCCAACATGGTGAAACCCCATCTCTTCTAAAAATACAAAAACTAGCTGGGTGTGGTGGTGCATGCCTGTAGTCCCAGCTACTCAGGAGGCTGAGGCAGGAGAATCACTTGAACCCGGGAGGCAGAGGTTTCAGTGAGCTGAGATCGCGCCACTGCACTCCAGCCTGGTGACAGAGAGAGACTCTGTCTCAAAAAAAACCCCAAAAAACAAAAAACAAAACAAAACAAAAAACAAAACAACAAAACAACAAAACAAATAAAAGAAAAAACCCACATAAAGAATTGGGTAAAATTAGTTTAAAAATTGTTGTTGGTTTTCTTTCACTTTTTTGTAAATACCGTATCAAGTATTTTTCTTTCTACGTTTCTCTAGTTCTTGTAGTTCTTAAATACTCTTTAATTTTTAAATTTATAAGCAAATAAAAACAAAATTAAATTCTGTTACCTAAGTCTTAAGGATAAAAAGACAATATATACCTCAAGATTTTTTACTTTTAACTTCTGAGATAACATGTGGACCTAGAACTAGTCTTCTAATTAATCTAGTACTTTCAGTTCAAAATATTCAAAAACTGTTAAAAGAAGAAGAGAGACAGTATTAAAAGTGACATAAAAAATCACATGGTTTTTACTTCTTTTCTCTGGAAAAAAAACATTAGCCCAAATTATTGGTATTTAGATTAAATCTTTGAAAATATTCACTATAAATATTTTAGAATGTAGAAAACAAAAATCTCTATTACAATGAATAATATGGTAATGTAAAATTGTTGCTTTTGTTTTACAAATTGTTAAATAATAAAAGTTAAATAATACATTAAAGACTACCTTATAATTTAGCAACTGCTTCATCATTTCAGCAGAATGTTCTTTTTTAGAATCAGTAAAAAACGAAATAAAAGATGTAATTGCAATATCTTCAAAACACCACTTACTTTGAAAAATAGTGAATGAAATGCATTTAATGGTAAAAATTTTGAAATATTATTACAAGCAGAAAGTTTGGGCCCTTGGAATCACACACACATGACAGATGAAAAATATTAAAGGAGGTATTTACCACAAAGAATATTTTCCCAACAGAAATGTAGAAAGGGGTCTGGTCTGATAGAGTAATGGGTTATATGAAAACCTTCAAACATCTTAATTCAGAAAGATGAATGCCAGGAAGCTTAATGAGTTGGGGGGAGTTCAAGTTTGCTGATTAGAACATATAGCAGTATACATTTCAGTGGGACCAGAGAATATTTTACTGATCATGAAAATGTGAATAAGCAAAGTTGATGGGTCTTAGACCACCTTCACTTTCCTTTCCTTTATGTTAATAATCAGAGGAAATTTAATCAATGGAAAATATAAACCAGGAACAGGCTTTAGATATAAATATAGAAGAGACGAGTAAAAATGTAGAACAAAACAGTAAAAACACCTAGAATAAAACACTGGAATTGGGTAACTATTTTATTATCTGTTGACAGAAATATCACAAAGGTGTGTGTGTGTGTGTGTGTGTGTAGCTGCAGATGTGTTGACTCACCTACTACTGTTTTTTTCAAAGATTATATTTAAAAACAAGCAATGAAGTACCACTAAAGTATTTTTAGTATGAACTGATCCTTTTCCATTTTCTCTTTTCAATGAAGTTGGATTGCATGAAGTGAATAAAGCTGCTTGACTTGATCTTATCAGCCTACAGCAGAGGAAGAAAGAATTTCTAATGGTGCCTACGTCATTGACTGCAGTTGTTAGAGAAATAGAGAAATAGAATTGTTGGTGAGTCATATGGCTCTGATATTGCTCTAATGCGATGGCAGTTTTGGTGAGGATTTTGATATTTAATGAGTGAATAAGGGCAGAGCAAGTCTTTTAAGCCCATTTCTGATGGAAGCATAACCATATAAGTTTAAAATAAGAAAAGAAAAGAAGGGGAAGAAAGAATGAATAAATTTATTGATCAGATAATGCTGAAGGCATTAGAAGATGCCAACATTAATACAGTTAATAAATGCATTGTTTACACAAGTGTGTCACTATCACTGGCCAGCATAAAAACTGTCCTTGCCCAACAGTGTTTCCTCAAACACTTGAAATTGAAGAAGATAAAGCTCAGTATTTCCAGTGATCTCTAACTTTCAGATTTAGATGTAGATGATAAGCTTTTTGTATCAAAATCTTTGATCAACGCTATGAATCTTGTTCTTGCAAAGCTGTAAGAACACCAAGGTTCTTCTAAATTTTAACTTAAAGTCAGTATCATAAGAATGCCAAGTTTAAAAATGGAACAATGTTCTACCTTTTAGTTAGTATGAAATTAGTTGAGAAGAGACTAATTGGATAGTCACTTGTAAATGTATTCCTGGATACACTTAGCCAAGAATGATGGAGGAGCTCTTCTTTTGACTAATAACACATTTCATGCTCTTTAGTATGTCTTTATATCTGCGTCAAAGCTGAAATCAATGAGGTATGGATAAAAAATGGGCTGAATATTGGAAGATGCCAATAAGACCCATTCCACTAACCCCTTCATTTGTGCCAAAATAATTTGTTTGAAATGCTGAATTTATGTGCTGAATAATTTGTTTGAACTGCTAGGCTGCAGATCTGGGGGCAGAACTAGTGAAAAATAGCCAGCTTTGGAGCTGGCAGGCTGAAGGGAAGAAGGAACAATTGGGCTAGGGTGAATCCCTATGGAGGAATCGAGCCTTTTCAGGAAGGGAATGTCAGGGTGAAAAGCAGGAGTTCTTTTTCAGGGCTAGGATGGACAACAAAGGCTGCACAAGGTGGGTAATAGAATTTCAGTTTCTGAAAGATGACTTCCAGGAAGAAGGTCTCCCGCAGTGTGGAGACATATCTTGGGGTTTAAATTGAGCCCTCATCCTGTAAGAGGTCTGTGATGCTGCAGATTCTTTCTACCAGGCAAGGCCTCCTGGAATTAATCAGAGCCCAGCTATGTGGAGGAGGAACAGCTGGAGCATCTGGGCAGAGGCTGGCCGAGGGCCTGGTAAGCTGGTGTCTACTGAGAGACAGCATTCCTTCGGAACACCTAAGCCCACTGCTGTAGCAACGAAGAGAAGGGAGCCCTGGTCTTCCACTCTCATCAAATACACCCCAGTGGTCAATGCATGCCTCCGTTTTTTGTGAGAATCCTCATTTCTCATGTGTGTGCATTTAGAGTGTACCATGGCTTCAGATGGTTCACACTTATTATTTTCCCACCTGGCTTTGAGATGCATCTGGGGAAAGCTGGTGCTGTCACCTTTCAGGATGAAGAGCAAACGCTAAATTTTAATTACAAAATACCAGGATGTCTTTGAGAACATTGTTCTTAACTTCAGTAAGACTTTTCAGTTCTTTTAAAAATCCTTTGTATGGTATCTCAGAATCACAAAGTTTAATTTTAAAAGGGATCATCATGATGAGCTTATTCAACACTTTCATTTCATAGGCAACAGAATGGAAGTCTAGAAGGATTAATTGACTTACTTAAGGTCAGTTTTATAGAAACG
Source organism: Homo sapiens (assembly GCF_000001405.40). NCBI lineage: Eukaryota > Metazoa > Chordata > Mammalia > Primates > Hominidae > Homo > Homo sapiens. Next base: position 181,896,267 of record NC_000004.12, on the reverse strand, counting down.
AAAAAAAAATCTTGAACAAATTCTCTAGCTTTTAGATTGGGGGAATAAGACTATTTACTCATTCACTTCCCAACAAATCACTCACCCACTGTCCCGAAGCCCAGGGCCTGCTCTCTTCCATGGATACCCACTTTCCCTTGATTCAGAACTTGACAGTAAGTGGAGTGGGGAGGAAAGCCTATTAAAGGCTATGCTCTTTAAACAGAGTGCTTACATTTTAGACACAGTAGGAATAACAGTAGAGAAAGCAATTAGCAGGGGGAATGTCAGGAAGTCAGTCTGTTCTATGAAGAAAATCAACTACCTTTAAACAGTCAAAGGAAGCTTGGGTATATAACAGACTTTTGCCAATGGAGACACAATTAAAATAAACTTTGAGGCGGGCATGGTGGAGGGGAAAGGTTTATATAGAGAATACAATCAGGCTGGGTACAGTGGCTCACAACTGTAATCCCAGCACTTTGGGAGGCTAAGGCAGGAGGATCACCTGAGGCCAGGAGTTTGAGACCACTCTGGCAACACAGTGAGACCTTGTCTCTATAAAAAATTTAAAAATTAGCTGGATGTTGTGGTGACATGCCTGTAGTCCCAGCTACCCAGGAGGCTGGTAAGGGAGGATTGCTTGAGCCTAGGAGTTCAAGACTGCAGTGAGCTATGACTGCACCACTGCCCTCCAGCCTGGGCAACAGAGCAAGATCCTGTCTCAAAAAAAAAAAAAAAAAAAAAAAAAAAAAATCAGCCAGATAGAAAGTTGCACAGAAAAGATGGAAAGATGGAAAAATTGGGGGACTGGGAGCGCGAGTGTGTACTGAATGAGGGTGCTTAGAACCGCTGTGTAACTGTGTGTGCTGAGATAATGTTTATTACTGGAATAGCTAATGATAAGTTAATTAGGTTATCTTACGTAGTTTGATTCAGAAAGAAACTTATTGTTTGCCTCATGGAACGACCTAAGCCTTTACAGATGTTTAAATTTGCGAAAATACTAATTTTGTTTAGGCCCTCACTAAAAGATAAAAAATAGTCAACAGACACATACTTACACAATACAAACACATTATTTCCACTGACAGGGAATGAAATCCAACAGTTAATACGTATTTATTAATTTAACAGCGTATGTTAATGTGTTAAACCTAACTTCCTGCTTATTAGAATGAAATGAATGAATGTTATTAGAAATAACATTATAGGTCAAGCAGAAGATAGGCCTACACAATATTCTTGCTGAATAAATAAATAACTATGGCGGATTGACTTTCTAAAGGAGACATCAATTGAAAGAAGTGATTAAAGTTGACAACGGAATTGTACAAATGACCCTAATTAATGAATTTTCTAATATTTTTCATGTTTATAAACATCAGCCCCGTTTGCACACTGTGTGCATAAATATGCATGCATTACAACCAGTGACGTCCATAACTGGATGCAAATCATGCTCAGACACCTAACTCTGTGGCATCCGTGAATTCTTACATATCATTCTATCGTAAGCTGGAGAAAGTTCTAATTTCCCCGTTTTTTTTTTTTTCTGCCACTGACTTGGAGACCGTTGACTTGGCAAAGCCCCTAACACCAGATCTCAGATAAAACTGACCATTTACAAGACATCAAATCTTCTGCAGCTTTGGATTAAGGATTCTGACCTTAAAAAAAGAAAAAGTTCGACTTCCAATCACTTCTTCTCTTTATAAATACGATAAACCGATGGCTGTTTTGCTCATACTCCCTGACAGTAGTAAGATAATGTCACTCTTCAAATAAGTTCTTACTTATTGGTTACCTTTTGATGGGTTTATCAGCTGCCAACAAATAATAGAGAACTATTTTGGTGAAGCCAGTCACGCCAGGCCTGTAAATGAGAATATCTGTGTGTGAAGTCCGAGCAGTACAGGTAGGTCTCCACGGCACAAGCTTCTGAGAGAATTAGAGCTACCTTCATGCTCTTACTTTTCTCGCTAGCCCTCATGTAATTACGGTAGACAGTGCCATTACTCATGACATCATTACTGCTAATGATGATCAGAATGTAGGCTTAAGTTAAAGGGTAGTGTTACTGTTTCATTAGGAACTCCGAAATTAGTAACATCATCATTGCCTCATATCCTATTAATTAAGACCAGCTCCTTATCCAAAAACATGAGAACCTCATAGCTGGTGACATTCTCTTTGCAGGTGTTTAGGTTTAAAACTGTGTTTTCTTCTTACCTGCTAGAACTCATTTTTTTTTTTCAACTTCTCAAAAATGTAGACAGGATTATCCAAGCCTGTTTTTTCCCTCCTACATATAAAACACAACATCTTATGTTTGATGTTTGTTTATTGGTAGTTTTATGAGCAATAAAAATGCTTTGCTAAGTGTATAGTTCTCTAAAATATACATATTTTAAATGGATAGAAAAAATTACAAATTATTTCAAAGGCTTTGGTAAAATATCGGGATGGCTCTGTATAGTGTGGGACTGTCTTGTGTTGCTAAAACATTTTAACCTAAAGCTGTGCTCTCCTATTCTGATTAATCATTTAAAAACCAAATACAAATCAAATGTAGAAACAGGACCAAATACTAACAAAAGCATTTTCCTTGCATATTCACGAGAACATTTCATTTGGGATTAGTAGTTTCATAAAAGCACAAATATAAATGTCAATGAATTTTACATTACACAGATGATATTGCAGAAGTAAAAATCTTTGCATTTATTGATGCCTAATTTGGAAACCACAAAATACTGGATGCATCCTAAGAGGAATGGTGGGGGTGGGGGGGGGGTGGGCAGGGGAAAGTGGAAGTAGAGATGCCTGCCTGTATATTTTTGAAATGTGTCTTAGATGACTATAATTTATTAGCTATATTATCATAATGTTAACATTATAATAAAAATTAACATTCAGGTCTATTCCATAGGTTTATAATTTTAGTGGGCAGAATAATGCAAAACAAGTTCGGAGTGTGGGTTCATGAGTGGAACCCCACTTGTTCTGTATTTTTGCCTGGAGTTACATGAGAATGTAGACATTAATTCTTACATTTATGGAACACCGTTTTTGTCATTTAAATTCATTTTTATTCAGTCTTTTTCATTTAAGCATGCTTCAATGTATTTATAATAAATGAGAATACATATAAACCTTCCAGAACATCTCTGGGAATACGGAATTATATTAATGACACTCTTAATGTCATTTATTTGACATGGGATCTGATTATGCCATTAAAGACCTAGTTCCTCTGATACTCACACAGGGATTAGAAATAACTGAATTGGGGAAACATCCCAGAAACTAGGAATAGTTATTTTTAAATTCAATGGTAGAATTCACACATTTAAAATGGTACAATTCACAGTTCTTCCTCTTCTGGAATGTTAAATCTTGTTTGAGAGGAAATTCATATATTCATGATAAATTAGAAAACAATTTGGAAGCAACCTATAAAATGTATAGAGAGTTTCAGCCTGTATGTGTCATTCAGAGGCAATTCAGAACATGAGAAAAACCACCGCGGGCTCATGTTAATTCAGACAAACTTCATGGAGAGGGAAAATTTTGAGCTGAGTATTAACGATGTGTAGGATTTAGCAGAAACAGAGAGAAAAAAGACTAGGAGTGAATCGGAGCATGTGAGGGGCCAAGGTGGCTAGGAGTGCTCTAAGAGGCAAGAAACAATTCCTCTTAGGATGCATCAAGAATGTTCCAAGATCGAGAAAGTAAACTGGGACCAGTTCATACGGACCCTTAATGTGGGGTTGAAACTTTCAAATTTATTCAAATATGCAAAAGAAGCTAATATAGATTTTTAACAAATGGAATACATGGTGAAAATTACTCTATTGTATAGCCACCATTAAATAAAATGGTGACACTCAGAAACTAGGTAGTCTACTATTAAAAATGAGAAGTAAAGTCATGATGGTAAATTAGAGTAACCATAGTATGACACGGGAAGGAGAAGTAAACCAGAAACTTTGCGAAGCATATATACTAGGACTCAGTGGCTACCTGAGTGTGGGATGGGAGAGAGATGCAATAAAGTTGACTTCAGAATATGCAATTCATAGAAGCAAGGAGACATTCATTGAAGTAGGAAGTGTCTTAGTCTGTGTTGGGCTGCAACAACAAAATCCCACAAACTATGTAATTTGCAAAGAATAGAAATTTATTTTTCACAGTTTTGGAGACTGGGAAGTCCAAGATCAAGGCATTGGCAGGTTTGGTGTCTGGTGAGCCTCCAGTCTATCCTGGACAAATGCTATGTCCTCACATGGCAGAACGTCAAAGGGTAAGAAGGTTGAATTCCCTCTGTCAAGTCCTTTTCGAAGGGTACCTAATCCAATACATGAGGAAGGAGTCCTCATGGCTTAATGGCTAAATCACCTCTTAAACAACCTCTCCCCTTTCCGCCATACTATCACACTGGCCACACTTGAATTTTGGAGGGTACACATTCAGATCCTAACAAAAAGTTAGGCAAAGGATTCATTTTTGATCATCACATACACTAGATTTGACTTTACAAACATGACCACCTGATTGGACGTGTTCTGTAAACAACTGGAAATAAATGAAGGATAAAGGCATGGGCTGAAACTGCAGGTTTAATAATGAGCATATAGGTGATAGTTGACATGGCAAGAGTGGATGAGCAATCTAAGGATTTGGATAAAGAAAGAAAATTGAGCAAGAGTAGAAAGTCTGAGAATTTGATCTGAAGAGAACTGGTAGAAATAGAAGCAAGAAAGGAGATAAAGAAAGAGAAAATAAGAAAGGTATTAGGATGGCTAAGAGAAGCCAAGGAAGAGGTTGTGAAGGAGGGAATCACGGTATCAAAAGCTGCAGAGATGGCAGGTGCTGAGTGGTAGGAAAGACCATCTGGATTTGTATACAGGGGTTGTAAATATTAGATTAACTGGGTTGTTTAGGGAGGGAATAATTTAGTGCAAATGTTAGTTTCTTAAGATGACAAGGTTTCAATTTATGTTTTAGATGCATTTTCCTCCTATTAGGGAACAAGTAGCCAACTCCTTAGTTTGTTTCTTATTGGAATTTAGCAGTTTAGCTGAACTAATTTACGTTTTTGAGCTTATGAACAGCTGCAACGTTGTATTGAAATTTCATCTGCTCTCTGTCCTACTTAATGTTCCAGTAACAATCCATCTTACTTTCAAGTCTGACAATTTCATAAGGGTATTGACCACCCACAGAGAGTATGCCTTCAAAAGAGAAAGCCCTTTAAGAGCTGTGTTGAGTGAAGCAAAAATGCTTAGATTGTAGTCAATACTATTAGAACTGAACTGGGGTAAGAGTGCAGTGATTCAGAAGAATTAGTTCCATTATTTTTACTGATGCTTCAGGAAAGCAATAGCATCCAGGAAAACAATAGAATTTAGGGCACTGTGATGGTCATTGGGATACTATTCTCCGTAGTTGAGCAACCCACTAAAATATTTCAGTAAAAGTGCAGTTAAACACACAGAGCTGAAAACTTCACCAACCCTACAGACACTAATGATTTTCCATACAAATGGTTGGGGCCCCTTTAAGTAAAAATAATGAACAAGACTATATTCTGCTTGCTGTATAATAGACACTTCTGATAAGAAGTGATTTCATTCTAATAATAGAGTGGGGGCACAGTTTAGTCTAACACGTTAGAATAAATTGCTTGATTTTAATAATCTTAAGTGCAAAAATTTTTTTAAAAGCCCACAATGAATATTGACATTTAGAAACCTTTTAATAGTAGCATAATTCCTATATATAAAGCTAAGATAGTAAGGGATCTATTTTTTTCTTCTTTCAACTGAGCAGCTTTGTATTTTAGTAGTCTTTTTTTTCTTTGAAAACCAGATTCCTATTTATAAATATTTCTGCATCAGGACAGTACTCCTTTAAATTAAGTGTGTCCTGAAGTGACCCATATCTGGCCATCGGGTAACCTGTATCAGGTAGTACCACATGTTCACAATCAACCCCAGCATGCACCCCTTGGGCTGATAACTAAAATGTGACAATTCTGATAATTAAACCACCTAAAGCTGGTGGCTGATGTCTTGCATTAATTCAAAACAGCTTAAGGTGAAACAGCACACTATCCAATTACCAGAGACATGCCTGTATATGCTCTCAGCCATGTTGGCATGGCTTTCCTCAGATACACTGAACCTCATACCTGACAGAAACTCTAATTTAAACAAATAAAGGGGGTGGCTGATGGATTGTAGCCTGCTTAATCTAACTATTAGTCCCTCTGAAGACTTCTCTTGATTAGCAAGGCTGAGTAGGTCAGAGGATGACATTTTCCAATCAACCTAACATTCATGGAGAAATTATATTTTTCTGTATCATTCATTAAGAGCTAGTGGAATTCAGATTTTTGGCTTATAAGGAAGATCCCAATTAATTAAAATAATGAAGAAGAAAAATAAAAGCAAATTATTTTATACTGGAGTATAGTTTTAACATTTATATGCATAGATTCCGTCAGCAGTAGAGGATGTTAGGATTTCCACACTCTTCCCAAAATGCAACCAGAAAATACTACAATGGAAGGCACAGTTCCAAGGATTATAGTTTTCTGTATCTTTGCTGTTCAAAGCAAGAGCAGTCTTGAAGCACCTCACTAATTTGAGGATTATTTTATAATTATTGCCCGTTCAAGTAAATTGTTCACACCTCTTCTCTACCACGACTACCACGATCATTAAATAGTATTGATTGTATGCCAAAAACAGCCTCAAAAAGCATACCATGTGTGCTAGGCTGTTCTTGCGTTGCTGTAAAGGAATACCCGAGGCTGGGTAATTTATAAAGAAAAAGCGATTTATTTCTGCTTGCAGGTCTGCAGGCTCTATGGGCAGGGTGGTGCCAGCATCTGCTTCTGGTGAGGTCCTCAGAAAGCTTCTAATCATAGCAGAAGGGAACGGGGAGCCGGCATGTCACATGGTGAGAGTGGAAGCGAGAGAGCAGGCTGGGAACGGGGGTGCCACACACTTTCAAACACCCAGGTCCCACGTGAACGCACGCATCACCACGAGGATGGTGCTAAGCCCCTCATGAGGGATCCGCCCTGTGATGCAATATCCCCCCCACCGGGCCCCACCTCTAACACTGGGCATTACGCTTCATTGTGAGATTTGGAAGGGACAAATATCCAAACCATGTCACCATGTAAGTGTAGTGTGATGGTTGATTTAATATGTCAACTTTAGTGGGCTAAGGGATGCCCGGGTAGCTGGTGAAACAGTATTCCTTGGTGCGTTTGAGGGGATGTTTCTGGAAGAGATCAACATTTGAATCGTGAACTGACAAAGGAAGATCCCCCTCCCCAGTGAGGGTGGGCGTCTACTAATCTCTTGAGGGCCCAAATAGAACAAAAATGTGGAGGGAAGGTGAATTTTCTTCTGTCTGAGCTGGAACACACATCTCCTGCCCTTGGACGTTGGCACTCCTGGTTCTCAGGCCTTCAAACTAGAACTGTGGCTTACACTGTTCCCCCCTCCTCCAACGGACCCCTGCCCCAAGGCCTTCGGACTGAACCACCGGCTTTCCTGGTTTCTCCAGTTTGCAGATGTCAGACTGTGGGACTTCTCAGCCTCCATAATCATATGAGTCTATTCCTGTAAGTCTCTCTCTCTCTCTCTTTCCACACACACACACACACACACACACACGCATATATATATGTATATATATACATATATGTATATATATACATATATATATATACACATATATGTATATATATACATATATATATATATATATATACACATTTCTATTGGTTTTGTTTCTCTGGAGAACGCTGACTAATACAGACAGTGAATTTAACCTGATTTGAATTTGTTCTTTTCACAGGCTATCTAAACGTTTACCTACAAGCCTAGGGTTTATCTGGGTGCAGGTTGGGAAATGACAAACTAAAATTGAGCCTTGGCCAGGCACAGTGGCTCATGCCTGTAACCCTAGCACTTTGGGAGGCCGAAGCGGGTGGATCACTTGAGGTCAGGAGTTCAAGACCAGCCTGGCCAACATGGGGAAACCCCTGGCTCTACTAAAAATACGAAAATTAGCCTGGCGTGGTGGCGGGCACCTGTAATTCCAGCTACTTGTGGGGCTGAAGCATGAGAATCGCTTAAACCTGGGAGGCAGAGGTTGCAGTGAGCTGAGATTATTCCACTGCACTCCAGCCTGGGCAGCAGAGCAAGACTCTGTCTCAAAAAAATAAAATAAAACAATAGGCTAGAATAGAATAGAATAGAATAAAATTGAGCCTCATCTGGGAAGCTGTTTAAGATTATTGTGTCTGATTTTTATTGCTTGCCTTTTTTCTCATGTGTACATATATAGTGAATATATTGCAGGAATGAAATAGCCAAAAGTTAAATCCTTGAGGTCTTTCAATCAAGGGAATATGCTTGATAGTTTAAGGAGGAAGAGTGATTTGAATTCAAGATTTTTCTATTGTAAAGGCTATTCTAGGTTGTTCCCCATTTTGAAGCTGCATCTCGTCTTTAAAATGCCAAGGGATATACAATTATCCAATGTATCCTGGAGTCCGAGAGGCTGATCAGAGCGTGTGCAGAAGAGAGACACTGTTCTCAGATACGAAGCACTGAACTTAAAATTTTGTCGTGAAGAATGTCGGAAGAAGGCAAATGCCCTTGGAAATATTTTAAACAGTTGTGGTTGCAGCCAGAATATAAAGCATGATTCAAGGGAGCATTCACTCCAGTGAAGACTGGATAGAGAGGCACAGAGAAAGAAAGAGAATGAAGAGAACTAAACGGAAAAAAAGAGAACCAGAATACTCCTGTAGCCACCTACTAACAGATTAAAGGTATCATTACTTTCCTAATAAAGAGAAATTGGAAATAGTCATTAGAAATCTAATGTATTTTGTCAAGTCTATCATTAAGCTTACATTAACAGCCTTGTAAATACATTTAGTTTTTAATGCATACTGTAAGTTTGGGTTCTGGCTGTAAAATGTCCTATCTAAAAAAAAAAAATCACACAGGTACGTGTAAAGATAGCCATATAATTTGGGAAGACCCGACCAGTAACTGAAGCTTAGAATCTGGGGCTCAGAAAGGACATTTTTTTTTCTAGTGTTTCTAATGCCCATTATAATCAGTCTTTTAGACTGGCACTTAGGGGAAATAAGGTGAGCAGGAAGAAAAACTTTTTAAAGTACACTGTAGAAGAACTCATGAAATAAAACAGGAAAGTATTTAAAGTATTTGCTGGGTTCTTATGAGCCAAGTTTCGTCAAGGTAGCTATTTTCTCTAGCTCCCAGATTTTATTTACGTTGGCTCAATGGAAAACTTTCCTCATGGTAAAGGACATTCAAGCAGGTGTCAGGCACTAGGAATAATGTCAGATATTCATTATCCAATTTAGAAATATCACTGAATTAAAACTGAATTAAACTGAATTGAAACTGATGATTAACCCAAAGTTTATTAGTAAGGTGTAATATCAAAATTAAACCAGTAACAATGTAAGATTTTTAAACCAAATTTTTAAAATTACTTCTAAGTTTTAGTTTGAATATGAAATGAAGGCTTGTGAAATTAGAAAAAAACCTAAGAGATTTTTCTTAATGATGGTAATGTACAGCTGAATATTAAGTGCATGTGCATATGTAAAATACACTTGATTTGTATCATATATAATATCAGATATGTAGAATACATATAAATTATGAACACTGGGTGAAATAGAGAATCCAGAGAAAATGCCAAGAATCCATGTGATTTAAATGTTATTTAATTAATGATTTTCATGTATTGAACCAATATTTATCTCAAAAGTTTGCTTCCAAATTAAAATACATTTGTAGTTCATTTAATATCTAGCTACTTTCAAAATTTTTAGCACAACTTAATGAAGAAAAAGTTGTAGAGGCCGGGCATGGTGGCTCATTCATGCCTGTAATCCCAGCACTTTCGGAGGCTGAGGTAGGCGGATCACTTGAGGTCGGGAGTTCGAAAGTAGCCTGACCAATATGGTGAAACCCCATCTCTATTGAAAATGCAAAAATTAGCTGGGTGTGGTGGCACGCGCCTGTAGTCCCAGCTACTCAGGAGGCTGAGGCGGGAGAATTGCTTGAACCCGGAAGGCGGAGGTTGCAGTGAGTGGCGATCACGCCACTGCATTTCAGCCTGAGTGATGGAGGGAGACCCTGTCTCAAAAAAAAAAAAAAAAAAAAAACCCAAGAAAAACCACAGCGAAAAAACTCGTAGGAGAAAATGCTGCCAGATCTTTTTCCAGCAGGTTGATCTACCTATTGAAATGTTAGGCAAGATATGACTTGCCTAAAAACACATGTGTGGGACTGCACTTTCAAATCCATATTCAGAAGATTAACTAGCTTTTAATATTAAGTTTATTCTTTGAATGTTTTATCTCTAAGAATGGCCCAGTGAAAATACATCATATTATTTTGTTAACATGTTATGAGATATAGGTATACCTAATAGAACAGTATTTTGTAAGTGGCATTTAATTTTTGAAATATTTAATTTTTGAATTGATAGTTTCAACTTAAGATGTTATTTGATATAAACCTTGGTCTCTATGAATTATTTTTATATGAGTCAAATGAAACGAACATGTAGCTATGGGAGTGATTTTTTTCATGCTCAAGTAGAGGTTGTGTTGTTTAAATTCTAGTCAATGGTCTTAAAATCTTGAATCTCGGCCAGGCGCGGTGGCTCACCCCTGTAATTCCAGCACTTTGGGAGGCCGAGGCGGGCAGATCACGAGGTCAAGAGATTAAAACCATCCTGGCCAACATGGTGAAACCCTGTCTCTACTAAAAATATAAAAATTAGCCGGGTGTGGTGGTGCATGCCTGCAATCCCAGCTACTCGGGAGGCTGAGGCAGGAGAATCACTTGAACCCGGGAGGAGGAGGTTGCAGTGAGCCGACATCTCACCACTTCACTCCAGCCTGGTGATGGAGCTAGACTCCGTCTCAAAACAAACAAGCAAACTTGAATCTCTTTAAAGTTTTTGAACTTTTTGTATAGTTTTTGCTTAGGCTGTGGGACTGAGCGAGAAAATTTCAATGATTGCTAGTGGGCATTCTCAGGAAGTAAGTAGCTGCTCAGAACAAGGGGAAAATAGATACAACTTGTAGTGCTTATACATTATACAAAAAGCAATGTGAAAATATTTGATAGTTATATTGATCAATGAAGAAAATTAAGAAAAATTTCACATGACGCCCCTTTGAGACCAAGATCTAGAAAGTGTAATTTTTTAAACAAAGAAACAAAAATAAGATTTAAAAAATGTTTTCCATAAAAACATTTCCAAAAATTTTTATAAAAATTAAGAAAACATTTTCCATATGGAAAATTGCTTGCAATGAAAGTCTCAAATCAAATCATAATAGATAAAGGAATAGTATCAAAGGAAAACCTTGAGGTCAGCAAAGTAACTGAGACAATGATTTGAATTGTAGGGCTTTTTAAGAGATAGGCAGATGTTATTTTAGATAATTTTGCTAGTATTTTGACAACTCAAGGAACAGGGAAAAAAATCTAAAGACTGAAAAGATTAGATTATTTTTTTAAAAGAAAGGGATAAAATTGAATATTATCCAGCCATCGAAAGAGATAAAATTCTGATACATGCTACAACACGGATGAACCTGAAAACATTATGCTGTTAAATAATCCAGATGCAAAAGGACAAATATTGTATTATTCCACTTATATGAGGTACACAGAATAGAGAAATTCATAGAGACAGAAGGTAGAATAGAGGTTACTTGGGACTGCGGACAGTGAGAATGGGAAGTTAGTGTTTAATGGGTACAGTTTCCATCTGGGATGATGAAAATGTTAAGGAAATAATGGTGATATTTACACAACCTTGTGAATATACTTAATGTCACTGAATTCTATACTTAAAATGGTTAAAATAATAAATTTTACATTATATATTTATTATAATAAAAATTAAAATTAGAAAAATTTCAGAAATAAACGGGAAATTCGTAGTAATTCAAGTCAGTTTAGCATGCATTATTCCTAGATATTCAAGACAGGAGACCTTGAACTAACCAGGGTAGCCACATAAACTGGTTTTCTGGGATAGAAAGTTTCATGTGACGTCCAATTGCCAGATAAACTTATCAGTATGCCACGAAAAAATTATCAATTCATCTAGAGTTCCATGTAAATAATGAGAATTGTTCCACAGGGTTTTGTCCGGGGAACACAACTATTTAATGTATTTATCAAAACTTGTTACTTCCCCGAGGGACCAGGATGCAGCCTCCCATTCATTAATGGGGAACCTTGCAACTGAACACGCTTCCATTTCTTTCTTCCGGCAACCAGAAAGCTCAAACAAAATACGATGTTCAGCAACCAGACCCATCTTAGGATTGGCATATTTCTATTCTCCTTGTTCCTGCCATTAATCTTCTACTTCTATTTATAGTTTATTATTTCACTGTGGGATGTAAAAATTGTATATTGCGGTGGCTCACGCCTGTAATCCCAGCACTTTGGGGGGCTGAGGCGGGCGGATCACAAGGTCAGGAGATCGAGACCATCCTGGCTAACACAACGATGAAACCCCGTCTCTACTAAAAATACAAAAAATTAGCCAGGCGTGGTGGCGGGCGCCTGTAGTCCCAGCTACTCGGGAGGCTGAGGCAGGAGAATGGCGTGAACCTGGGAGGCGGAGCTTGCAGTGAGCCGAGATCGCACCACAGCACTCCAGCCTGGGCGACAGACAGAGCGAGACTCCGCCTCAACAACAACAAAAAAATTGTACATTGCCTCCAATTCTTTGTGAAAAGAGGTGGGCTGTAAATACATAACAACATAAAAATACCTGGATCAGTGACATGGTATGTAGTATTATGGGTATACTCATTAAGTTTGTAGAGCATGGCTAACATGCACGATTTGAATGAGTTGGTGGACCTCTCTTCAATTCAACTAAACACACACACGTGTGCACCCACACAGGTTCTTAGCACAATGCTTTGGTATTAGTTCCTTGGTCTCTCCTCTTGGGGAGTTTACAATTCGGTCAGAGTAATAAGCTTTTTTACCCGTCATTTCAAATGTTAGATGAACTAAACCAGTTATTAAGAAGCAAAAAAAAAAAAGATTAATTGCAAAAACAGATAATATTTAATAAGCACAACTGCTTCTGAATACAAAATGAAACACAAAACATGCCATTACTTTGAATAGGGACAATCTGCAGGAATATTTATCTATTGAAAAAATTGAAATTACAACTGAAAAATTATTCTATCCAGGATGGGCTGCTGTTAATTTGACAATGGTGGTTGTTTTGAAATCACTGCCTACTCTGTTGGCTTGTTTCTCTTAATCATACCTTTTGAGAGCTTAATCTGATGATTATAAGTCATTACTTCTATGCTTGTGACTACAGGTTACATCTCCCATTTCCAATGTTCAAAACTCAATCCATTGGACCAATTTAGAAGAAAGTGTTGGACTAGATGAGTGGACTGCGGAATTATTACTGAAGTCCTTTCTAGCAGCCAAAGCCTAGAATTAATTTTATGGAAATATAAAGTTTAGAATTAGAGGAGACCTTAGGAGTAACTGGTTTTAATCCTCTGATTTGATAAAGAAGGTCTTCAATGCCAGGTGTCTGAAGTCTAACTAACGAGGGTCAAAGTCAGGGTTAAAAACCCAGCTCTTTTGTTTTCACAGCTGAACTATGATGTACTTGAGAATGGACACCCCTGTATATCAGTCTTCACCCTCTAATTCTGAGAAGTGGGCCTATGTGGCAGACTGTGCAGGCCCCAGTGCTAAGAACAGTTCTCCCTTCTGGAACACTGAAATGGAAGTTCCAACATTGAGAAAATAAAGGCTCACTCCTTTCATTTCTCATTTAACACTTCCTTCCTGCAGAAGTCCAAGAGTACACAAAGTGATGAGGAACAAACGTCATGAATGAATTCCCAGCTCCCATGTAGAGGAATAATTAATCCATTTGCTTCTCATTTTGATTCTGCACCTCCCTTAAAATTTATTATTAGAGTCGAGCAGATGCCCTCTACAAAGGGTTTTCCTCATAATGAAGTCACAGCCTGGAGAGTCAGGGTCTTGCAGCCGAACTCTGCAGGCGAACGGGGGGGACTCAGAAGCCCTTGAAAACATATGTTCTTTTTACTAAAACCTTGAACTTCCAGAATTAACTTGAAATTACACTTGAGTATTTTCACCCTGCAGTGTTTGACTTTCTGAATGGTGTGCATATTTTTCTCTCAATCAAAAATTTACAAAATCACGGAAGTTGCATGAATGTGAGGAATAATGCAGAAAATAATTCTAATTGAGAAGACTGTCATTAAAAGTTTGAAACTAAAAAGTAGGAGATTTTTATGGTCTAGATGCCCAGTAAGGAGATAAATATATCAATTGTTCAGCTTACATGTTACAATTTTTGCAACCACTTCATTTGGCTGTGAATGTTAGAAAACCCAGGCAACCCAAGGGTTAATATCTGGCACTTTTTGTTTTTGGAATTGTCTCTGTCATAGTTCTGTAAGTCTCCAGGAAACACACTCAGTCCCACTCATATTTCATTGACTTGTGACAGTTTTAATATGTGCTACTAATGCTAATAAAAGTAAAGCAAAATAAGCCAAGGGGGTCAAAAACAAAGATCAATTTCAAGATCTCGAATATATTTCAGGACCTGGAATAATGCTTTGTACATGATATGTGGTCAACAAATATGAATCCTTTCTTTCTAACTTCAAATATCACTTTTTCCTGATAATTTGAAGACAGACAAAATGAACTTGAAGACATGAATAAATATATTCATGTTCATTTTGTCTGTCTTCTGAACTACTTATTTTAACTTATTCCCCTTAACTTCCTTTTTTCTTTAACTTGTCCTTGTGAATTACTTTCACTGAGTCTCTTTCTTCTTATTGGTGCTAGGTTTAGAAAATTGGTGAGAAGTAACATAATTGATTGAGTCATCATACTTGCCTCTAAATGATTTTTAAATCTCCATTCCCGAAGGGTATCCTAAATTGTGCTATTCTTGTAATCAGGTGGGCAGGGAATAAATCTTCCAGGGAATGTGGAGTTAAAGTAGAGATGAATTATCCTTAAATGGAGAGAGTGGTGGAGGTTGGGGGTAGAGTTTCATGCTTGGGATTTCCCCCAGAATTCTAGCTTCAAGTCTGAGGCTATTTTATAATATATTAGCTCAATGAGTTATTCTCATTACATACTCAAATGAGCTTGGGTCAAATAACAGAATGATAAGCCAAAAGTAAAACCCAAAACATGACTCCTATGTTTCAGGAACAGAAGAACTGATCTGACCTCTATTAGAGCCCCGGGGGCTGGCATTGGAAGTTGGTCATAGGAGGAGCCCTGCACATAGGCTTTGTAGATTTTATTGATTTTGTCACAAGGAGAAGGGCTTGTCATTTGCCAGGTGAACTGGAATTCCTTTGTGAATTTGTATGAATTTTTAACTAAAGTAAGGGTCTATATATTTTTTTCTCATCTGTTTTCAAAGGGTAGGAGTTAGAGCTTACCAAATAATTTTTTTTAGCAGCTACTAAAGTGCCATGGACTATTGTAGTTGTTGACAATTTTCCTGCATTCTATGACTTGTCACTATCACCATATTCACTACTTTTACTATGTTACTAAAAATTGGGTAATAAACTTGAATACAATAAGTTGTCACTATTTTTTAACAATATATCAGTCAAAATGATAAACCAATTGATGAAATGATAATCACACTTTAATTCCTCTATGTCTTTTTTAAACCTTTTTCTGTATCAATTTTTAATGGTTAACATTCATATGTTTATTTGTTAATTAACATTTGCATATTTATTATTTGCATGTGTTATTGATATTTACATATTTGTTAATATTTGCATATTTAAATATTTAAACAATTTTCCTATCAATTAATCTAACATATATTTCTAAGAAGTCAGGAGTATCATCTTCGTTTTATAAATCAATAAGACCACAATCATCTGCATAGGTTATCAGTGGATATCAAACTTGCTAACTTCCTTAGAAAGGAGAGAAGAAGTAGAGGAAGGTGCCTTTGGCTGGTATAGGTCAGGAATCAACATGAGGCAGAGTTTAACAACGTTTCAATTATGAAGTGAATGAATAATATTATGAAGTCTCATGAAAATTATAATAAATTATTTCAGAGAACAGGAAGGGCAATGCAAATGAAAATCCCATAATATTTATCCCATCCCCATTGACTATGCAAGAGTTGAATTTTGGAAAATTAACTTAGACACACTAAAAAGAAGTTCACTTATTTTATTTTTAAAATCCAATCTGAACATGTTAAAAAAAACACTTTTTTTCTTAACTTTTATGTGCATGACGCTTGCAGGTGCTGATTTTTGACAGATCACTTTGGACTGAGCAATCAACGAAGTGCCACAAGTGTGTCTACTAATTTTATGAGAGGGAATAAGAGTT
Organism: Homo sapiens; assembly: GCF_000001405.40. Taxonomy (NCBI): domain Eukaryota; kingdom Metazoa; phylum Chordata; class Mammalia; order Primates; family Hominidae; genus Homo; species Homo sapiens. The sequence goes on along the minus strand of NC_000004.12, from coordinate 181,879,762 downwards.
CAGGGTCTCTTCTAAGTATCACAGGAGTCACATCTGGGGCTTCTCCATAGTGATCTCTAACGTTCCATGAGTTAGAGGGATACAAGATATTTTGAAGAAAATAAAATTTACCTCATTAACTATTGTTATTGCTGTATATGAATTTTAAAAACCATGTCTTCTCAAATTTAAATGTTACTGTAGATATTAAACACTTTCCCATGAGAAGAGATTACGAGCAGTGTCAGTAGCCGGGCACCTTGTTCTCTAAGTTGGTAGCAATTTTCCTTCACTGCTTCTGTCAGTTCTACCTAGTGTTTAGTAGACTGTAGCTATTGCTGGGAGAAATGAGAAATTTCCAGTGCTCAAAATCAGTTAAGAAGGTCATTGAAAACATTTTAAATGTGGTTGGAGGTAATTTCTTCCACTGAAAACTCAGAGAATTTCTTTTTTCCATCTTCCTTCCTTCCTCCCTCCCTCTCTCTACTTTCTCTCCCTCCCCCAACTTTCTTTCTTTTTGCCTGTAATGATTTCTCAAAAACAGCAGTTCATTATACAAATTGTATGGAATATTATTCTTCTGAATTTATGTCACTTGACAGTGTTGATTTCTGTAGGTTGACCCATATATTTCTGCACATGGACTCATCAAATAGTAACAGTCTTGCTCTTCTATGCCAGAGAGATATTTACTGGGATAACACACACAGTATCATGGAGCTACCCAATGTGGCAATCCCACTTTCATCTGAAACTAAGTAAGGAGTTGATCTGTAACTGTGAAAAGAGAATAGACTAGAACTCTACCCTTCCACTAGATGAGAAATGCAGCTGCCAAGAACAGAGACAACACTGATTAGGTCATAGACCAATAGACAAAGAGCATTCATAATATAGATAGATAGAGAGGTAGATAGATAGATAGACAGAAAGATAGATAAGCAGGTAGGTAGGTAGGTAGATAGACACACAGATAGGTAGATAGACAGGTAGGTAGGCAGATGGATGGATGGATGGATGCACGCATGGATGGATGGATGGGAAGATGATAGATAGATGATATGATAGATGAATAGGTATATAGACAGACGGAAGGATTATATATAGATAGATGAATGAATAGACAGATGAGCCATCATCTTATTAAGAAATAAATAAGGAAGACAACATATTATAAAATATTAGGAAAAAAAGTTTCTTTGGGAGTATTTAAGGTAAACTCTCAGCATTTACAAGTGTGGAAATAAAGAATCAACTACCAAAAACACTGAAGATCATAACCAAAACAGCATCCCAGAGTAGAATGATGTGCTACACTATGAAACTAAAGAGTCGAATAGGTTAATACACAGACATATATTTTGATTAGACCATAGACCAGACTATCCTTGATGTACTGCTAAGAACTTTCCCCAATTCCGTTCCTCCCTCTTCTCTCCTCCCTTCCTTTTCCTGCCCCCTCATTTTCTTTCCTTTCCCCCCATTTTTCTATCAACCTAATTATACAATATGTTACCTATATACATACCTACCTATCCATTCACCCGAATATAATGATACACAGCCTTGTATATAAGTTAAACACACAGCCAGATGACCACCATTCTCAAACTAGGTTCAGTCATTTTCAGTGAATTCTTTCATGATCTTCATCTGAGCAGACAACTAGAATGGGTGGATCCTTCCTAAGGACTGAACAATATGTCTGGTGCCTACAATAGATCCACCCAGTGAGTGACAGCCCTTATGTCAGGTGTCTCGTTTCAAATTAGTAACACCGCAATGTGCATCAGGAACCTTAAACATGTTTAGCAGGAATGACAGAAACGCCATACGCCTACACTAGGCTCCTCTGTTTCCCCACTACCACCAAACCCTGTCCTTAGTCTGGGCAATCCATATCCATCTAGAAGACTGCATTTTCCAGCCTCCATGTAATAGATGTGGCTATTTGACAACCTCTTGGCCACTGGTTATGTATAAGCAAAGCAGCATGTGGTACTTCCTTAAGGCCTTCAAGGAAGGGCTGGCACCCTTCTTTGTTCCTTCCTCTTGCTGTAGGCCTGGAAGAGAGATGTGATGACTGGAGCTCCAGGTGCTGTCTTGGACTTGATTCAATACCACAGGGGTGGGTGGTTAAAGGGCTAGAAAGAAACCCCAGTGACATCATGGAGCTGCTATGCCTTGGGATTTGCCTTAAGTGAGAAAATCAATTCCTGTATGTTTAAGTCACGATTTTTTGGCAATCTCTTCATATGGATAAACATAAATGCTGACTCATAGAAGAGGTAAAACTAAATATAAAAAAACTAAAGAAAGTACTAATTAACAGAGTTTTTCTGCTTCTAATTTTTCAATTAGCATGAAACAAAATATAGCTATAAAAAGGCATCTGCTGTAATTGGATTATTTTGTATCTTCCACCCTTATTTTTTATATCCAACCTAAGTTGCTTAGATTTAATAAAACAAATATTGCATTTGAATTTGTCATTCAATATTATTTTTATCACGAATTACTATTATGTATCACCTTTATTCCTCAACTCAAATCCCGCTTCAGACATAAAGTCTTACAGGAAGAAAAAATTGTTTACCCCCTCTAAACTCTAACGGTACTTAAGCCACTCCTTTGACATGTATATTTTTACACATTTCACTAGATCACAAACTCCTGGAAGGCAAGACATGTGTATGTTACACAGCTCACAGGCAAACGATTGATATACAATCGGTTTTAGGTAAGTGCTTACTGATATTTGTGGTTATATATATATATCTTACATAAAATACACTTTCCAATAACTCTGAGAAAAGATAAAATTGTTATTAATCATATAATTATTTCTTTATTTTTCTTTTCCCAGTTTCCTTCACAGTTCCAATTATTTCCTAAAGGAGAAATATAAAGACCTAAAATATATGACCTTGCAAATCAAGGAGAATACAATCTATGAATATCTGAAATCCTAAAACTTTTAAATGCTATTAATAAAGACATCAAAATTCCGTTCAAAATACTTTGCATATCTAATGTTCTTAACAAAACATGCATTTCAAGCAGAAGTTTTAAGGGTTTTAAATCACAGATTTTCACAGCACTTCCTTCCGGCAGCTGATGAAAATTGGATAATATACAATCAGAACACTTTTTCTACACATTTTAAATTGATTGAAAAATAGAAACAGATTTAACATTCAAAAAAACACATTTGCAACCGTTATGTAAAAATGGCTTGATCTGATTTAGTAGATACTAGGTATAGAAACTTAGAGCTGACAGCATTCTTTGGGATGTTTTAAAACAGAGGAAACGTATTACAGCACCCAAGCTGCCACTCTCTCAAAATAAGTGCCTCTGACTAACAGTTTGAATCTTCTATAAGCTCTGTCATAAAAGAAAACCTTCCACTTAATGAAAGGTGTTCCCCATATTTCATGGTAGGTACAAGTCTGACATTAAATAGGCTATAAATAGTTTCAAAATAAAAACATAAAAGTAATAAATTGCCAAACATGAGATATATGGAAATACAACATATTTGCATAAGATTTGAAAGTTCAACATTTATTACTATCCTCAATATGATATATAACTTGGTCATTGAAAAATAACTGGATAGCCATTCAAGTTGTCAGTCTGCATTAACTAGGTGTATAGTCAAAGAAAATAAATAATGAACAAGAGTATTTGTCTTATATCATGTTTACTAAGCTCTCAAGGCATGGACTCCATGGCCAGAAATATAGTCCAGAGGACATTGTACCTTTAAAGAGGAGGAAGCATATTTATGGCCAAAGATACCACATTTACTTTCAAATGCTGTTTTGCTTAAGTAATTCATTCTTTTCCAAAGGTAAGGAAATGTGGGACAGATTTCTCTGCATATTTTTTTTTTCTGTGGGATGTTTGGGCATATTCAAGTTATTATGTGCTTTTCATAAGGCCAGGTAATGATAGCTAAAATGTAAATCACTAAGTTTGTCAGGGGAACTGAGAACAGAAGCTCCAGAATTAAGAACAAATCTTAACTTCTCCCCCTAATAATACTTTATGGCCTCTGTCCATCGGCACACTTACACCAACCCAGGGCTCTGAACGTAGAGTCCATGCAGGAAATTCCATCAAACATGGCAGGAAAGATCAATGTGTTGTCGTCTTTTGACTCATTGAGAGGGAGAAATTTGTGAGTAAATGGGACATGTTTTTCCTACTGTAAGAATTGTCTAATAAAAGTATGGTTTGTGTTGTGCAGTTTATTTCTCAAAGACACATTTTGACCACATTTAAAACCTATTTCAGAGTGTTAGAGAATGGAGAGGTAGGTTGTATGAAGACTTACAAACTGGTAAAAAAAAAAAATAGGTTCCTAAAGAAGAAATAACAATATTAAATTTGGAAAAGATAAACTGAATATGAAAAACTAATGAATAATGAAGGTAAATTTGGACTATGGGATTCTCTAACAAATTGCTATTATTAAGATTTATAAATAGGATAGCCAGGTCATTTATTACAAAAGTGAGGATATTTTTGAGAGTGAAATTAATAATAGGTATTAACTGGGACTACATTAGGTAAACAGCAGACATATCTGCCTTATTTATGAGAGATTGGTGGGTATTTTATTTGGCTAGATTTGAAGATGATGAGATGTCCTTTTACTCTACCAAAATGCGAACAGAGACTTGCTGCAATTATTTTGTCTATCACTAAAAAACATGAAAAAGCAGAAGCACGTCAACACATGGCCATGAGGGAATAACTGGCCCTGGATGTGTTCTCTCATCCTAAACAATAAAACTGGACACGATATATACAATAACTGTATGGAGGCAATGAACAACAGGCAGTGCAGGACGGATCTTTGAAAGAAGGGAAGCACATAGAGGGAACTCTATATTTGTCCTGGCTCCCTGCCTTGTGGCAGTTTCCAGATTGCATGCAAAGAAGCAGAGCCCAAGTAGAAAACTGTGTTAACATTAAACAGAGGAGGCGGAGATCAGCCACCGGGGCTGCTGTAGCATCTGGAACATGCATGGTAGGGCACCAGAAAGGAGGATGGTACAGGGTAGGGATAGGAGGAAGGAGTAGAAGTCTGTGTGGAGTCTCTGTGGGTCCTTGGCTAACGCTTATGTTGTACAAATGGAGGGCAAGATTCCATGTGATCAAGCAGGCATTGGCTATTCTTCATGAGGCTGAGGGCTAATCTCTCTGTTTATCTCTTTTATCATGCAGGATGGAGAGAAGTTGAAGCCAACCCAGTCTGAGTGGTAAGGGTGAAAGAGAGACATTTTATCGTAATAAAAGTCTTCATTGATTAGGAACTTAGAACAGCTCCAACAACAGGTATGTGCGTATGCACCTAATAACAGAGATTCAAAAATATGTGAAGCAAATGTCGACAGAAGAAAAAAGGGAAATTGACAAAATCACACTAATAGTTAGACATTTTTGACACTTCTTTGTCAGTATTTTGTAGAATAAGTAGATAAAAAATAAAGAAAATGTCAACCACATGATCAACCAGATTAAATAAATTTATACTTACAAAATGCCATACTCCGCTGGGTGCAGTGGCTCACGCCTGTAATCTCAGCAGTTTGGGAGGCTGAGGCGGGTGGATCACCTGAGGTCAGGAGTTTGAGACCAGCCTGGCCAGCATGGTGAAACCCTATCTCTAATAAAAATACAAAAATTAGGCTGGGCTCGGTGGCTCACGCCTGTAATCCCAGCACTTTGGGAGGCTAAGGCAGGCGAATCACCAGGTCAGGATATTGAGACCAGCCTTGCCAACATGGTGAAACCCTGTCTCTATTAAAAATACAAAAATTAGCTGGGCGTGGTGGTGCACGCCTGTAATCCCAGCTACTCTGGAAGCTGAGGTAGGAGAATCGCTTGAACCTGGGATGGAGAGGTTGCAGTGAGCCAAGATCATGCCACTGCACTTCAGCCTGGGTGACTCCATCTCAAAACAAAACAAACAAACAAATAAACACAAAAAACAAAAAACCACACACACACACACACACACACACACACCATACTCAAGAACTTCGGAGTACATATTTCTTTCAAATGCACTTAAAACATTTGCCAAGATAGATCTTGTGCTGATGCTGGGCTATAAAATAGAATGTCTAAATAAATCTCCAAAAATAGAAATCTCACAAAGTACATCTCTAATGACAGTGGAATTCAATTAGAGATCAGAATAGGAGATATAGAAAATCCCCAATTATTTGGAAATAAAACAACATGCCTCTAAATGATGCATAATGAAAGAATAAATCATAAGAGAAATCAGAAAATATTTTGAGTTAAATGATGATAAAAACACCATGAATAAAAATTTATGGAATGCAGTTAAAGCAGAGATTCAAGGAAAATTGGTAGCATTAAAATACTTATATTAGGCCGGGCGTGGTGGCTCACGCCTGTTACCCCAGCACTCTGGGAGGCTGAGGAAGGCAGATCACCTGAGGTCAGAAGTTTGAGACCAGCCTGGCCAACATGGTAAAACCCCATCTCTACTAAAAAATGCAAAAATTATCTGGGTGTGTTGGCATGCCTCCGTAATCTCAGCTACTCGGGAGGCTGAGGCAGGAGAATCGCTTGAACCCGGGAGTTGGAGGTTGCAGTCAGCTGAGATCTTGCCACTGCACTCCAGCCTGGGCGACAAAGCGATACTCCATCTGGAAAAAAAAAATACTTATATTAGAAGAGAAGTAAGACTTAAAGCTAATAATTTTAATTACCTCCTAAGTATCTGAAAAAAGATCACATAAAAATCAAAGTAAGAAAATGAAAGGAAATAGTAAAAATAAGAGAATAAGGCAATTAATTAAGAAAAAATAAAAATAAAGAAAATCAACAAATCCAAATGTTGATACTATGTGTTTTTCATAAGGCCAGGTGATGACAGCTGAAATGTAAATGAGTTAAGTTTGTTAGAGGAGCTGAGGACAAAGGCTCCAGAAGTAAGAACAAGTCTGAACTCCTCCTCCCAGTAAGACTTCAATACCTCTGTCCGTTCTCATGCTGGTACCAAGGCTAATAAAATTAATGGGCCCCAGCAAGACTGATCAAGAAAAAAATCTGAAAACAAAAATAATCAATATCAAAAAATGAAAGAGGGAATATGATCACAATTCATAGAGACATTCAAAGGATAATAAAGAAATATTATGGACATTTGTGTAAATACACTTTACGACTTAAATGAAATAAGTATATTGAACAACACTGTTTGTCACATCGACACATAGAGGGGAACAACACACACTGGGGCCTATCAGAAGGCAGAGGGTGGAAGGAGGGGGAGGATCAGGAAAAATAACTAATGGGTACTGGGCTTAATACCTGGGTGATGAAATAACGTGTACAACAAACCCTCATGACACAAGTTTACCTATGTAACGAACCTGCACATGTACCCCTGAACTTAAAATAAAAGTTTAAAAAAAGTAAAACCCTGCAAATATTAACACAAAAAGCAGAAAACCTGAATAACTTTATAGATATATAAATATTATATATGTATACACACATATATTTAAATTGCAATGAAAAAGCTCCCCACCAAGATAATTCCAAGCCTACATGGATGCTCTGGTGAATTTCTATAAAAATTTTATGAAACATATAAATCTACACAAATTATTTAAGAAAACACAAAAGGAGGAAATATTTAAATACTTTCCAGCTCATTTAATGAGGCCAACAGTGTCTTGGAATAAAACTTGACAAAAATATTTCAAGAAAATATAGAAACCAATATTTCTCCTGAATATAGACATAAATAAGTTTTAGCAAAACACTATCAAGTCAGATCTAGGATTACATAAAATAGCCATACCTTATGATCAAATGAGGGTTTATCCCAGGAATGCAAGATGGGCTTAGCACTTAAAAAATCAATTTAATTCACCAAATTATCAGAAAAGGAAGAAAGACCATATAATCATTTCAATGTATGAAGGAAGGAAAGCTTTTGACAAAACTGAACACCCTTTGATTATAAAACACACTTAACAAAGTAGGAATAAAAAGGAACCTCCTTAGTCTGAGAAAACATCTATGAAAAGCCTGAAGTTAATGTCAAACTTAATAACAAAATATTGAATATTTTTTCCTTTCCTGAGATCAGAAACCAGGCAAATATACTTTGTTCTCACCGCTTCTATTCAACATTGTATGGATAGTCTGAGACAGTACAATAAGTAAAGAGAAAGACATAAAAGGCATAAAGTTTGGAAAAGATGAAGTAAAACTCTTTATTCATAGACAAAATGACTGTTTACATAAATATTCAAAGGAATCTATAAAAAATCTACTAGAGAGCTCTAAACTAAAAAATACAAAATATTATAAAAGATCTAAATAAAAGGAGAGAGTTACCATATTCATGGATTGGAAGACTCAAAATTGTTAAAATAGCCATTTTTCTTCAAATTGAACTATAGATTCAATGTAATGTCAATCAAAATCTCAAAAAGCTCTTTTATAGAAAATGACTAGTTGATTCTAAGCCATATATGGAATTGTAAAGGATCTAAAATGGCTAGAAAAGTTCATGAAAAAGAAGAATAAAATTGGGGGACTTATATCACCTGATATCAAGACTACAGTGTTCTTAGTGTGGTATTGATATAGGGATAATAGAATAGATCAATAAAATAGAATAAACAGTTCAGAAATAGACACATATGACCCATCAACGTTCACTAAAATTCAAAAGCTATTCAATTTGAAAAGAAGTGATTTTTTTGCTATATTGAAATAATTGTGTGAACATATAAAAATAAATGCATTTCAACCCCTACTTCACACTATGCATAAAAAACTAATTCAAGATAATCAGAGATCCAATTGCATCAAAACTATAAAGATTTTCAAACCTGGTATTGGCAAATATTTTTTAGAGAGGATACAGAAAGCACCAAGAACACAAGAAAATATTGATCAATGTCATCAAAATTTAAAAAAGCCTATTTATCATAAGGCATCATTAAGAAATAAGGCAAGTCACTAACTGAATGAAAATATTCATAGTACATAAAATCTGACAAAGGTCTACCCAAAAGATATTTTAAAGGAAAACATCCAAAAAGCAAATACCCAAATACCCAAAAGATACTTTAAAAGCAAGTCAGACAAGCATATCTAATGGGCAAAGGACTCAAATAGACACTCCAAAAAAGGCAGACTCATGAATGGCTAACAAGCACATGAAAATATGCATCATTAGTCATAAGGATAATGTAAACTAAAGCCACAGTGAGATCACAAGAAAGTTAAACCCAGAAGAATAATAACACCAATTGTTATTTGGGACAAATGGAGTGCTCATCCATTTCTAGTGAGAGTGTAACATGGGACAAAGACCCGAAAATACTGCTAGACAGTGTGTTATAAGCTAACCAGCAATTTTATTCCTTGGTATTATCCCCAGAGAAATGAATACATATGGCCACAAAAAGACTTCTACAACAACGTTCATAATAGCTTGAATCATAGTATCTAAAACTTGGAAACAACCCAAATATACAGGAGGAGAATGATTAAAAATTTGTGGCATATTAATCAATGAAATACTATTCAAGAGTAAAAAATAAATGTATGACTACTGTCATACTCAACAACAGGTATGGAACTGAAAAACATCACGTTGAATGAAAGAAGCCAGAAGCAGAAATGCACACGTTGCATGATTACCTTTCAATGAAGGTCAAGGGTAGGTAAAACCAACCTTCATGGTAGACAGAACGGTGCTTGTTCATTGGTTGTGGATAAGTAGAATTGCCCTTGTCTTCATTACAGAAATAACTTCTTGTTTTTCACATTAATGGCTCAATGGAGTATTTCCATGTGTCTACTTCTGCAATTTCCAACATTTTTTTAAGTTGAGATACTGTCAAATTGTGCATTTTAATGCCAATTTTATTATTTTTATTGTTTGTTGAGCATTCTTGTGATATTTTATTTACTTTCTACTAATTTAGACACAAATCCCATTAGGCAGTGACTAGGTTGTCCCTTTTTTCTGAAGAATGTCAAGCAAATTCTCAGTGCACTCCATAAATGTTAAGCTTATACATCTCTCTAAATCTCAAAGTCTTGGTTTCAAAAAATTTAAATTTTTAATTTTTGTGGGTACCTAGTAGTTGTATATATTTATGGGTGGTTACATGCGATGTTTTGATGCTGGCATGAATGTGAAAAATATCATGGAGAAGGGTGTATCCATCCCCTCAGCATTTATCCTTTAGATTACAAACAATTCAATTATTTAATACCAATTTTAACTTTGCAACTCACTAACTGCTTTATAACATGCATAACCTTAAATTAATTAGAAGACTCCTAGATAGATTTAAACAAAACTGAGTAGGAATTATTACTTTAAATCCTTTTCTTGCATACATGATTTACATAATTAAAGATAAATTAAATACATGTTTAAGCATATGTAAGGTGACATAGGTATATAGAGGACTGCAAATCCCTCTAAACTGAAGTGTTTCCTAAAATTTAAGAGCAAAGTCAAGAAGTTCTTCTGGGTAACAGATAATTAACATATAATAGATAAGATGAGATAAAATATCACACTGTGATTTGCAGATTAATAATGACACTAAATGTAAAGAAATGGTTTAGATGAGAAATTATTTTTTATGAAAGGAAACAGATACCCTAAAATGGAAATTAATAATGTAGGATTAGAACCCTAACATTTAATAATAGTATAAGAAAATTGGTCAGCAACAGTTTTTTTTTTTGGAAATTTAGGATGGGTAGAAATCCTAATATTAAGTGGAGCATTCGAAGTGTTAGGATTTAATTGCTATTTCTTAGAAAGAGGCCTAAAAATTAGCAGGAATCAAGAGGCTGTTGGAAAGGCCTTCTCTGGAATAAATAACTGGAAATGCAGTTATCTTTCTTGAAATAAAGAAATGCGACCCTATTTTGTCATTTATTATGCTAAATACAATAAAGTCTTTAAGAAACATGTTATTAAGCCGTTTGCTGATCTACCTCTCTCTTCTTGGTTGCTTTGAGAAACCATGCAAAATCTTCATCCCATATTAATTACCAATTTAATCAGTCAATGCTAAAAGACAATCTTTTGCTTTAATTATAAAAGGCAGTTGCTGTAAACATTTGACGTGATGAATACCTTTGCTGATCTTGGGCAAGTTGTAATTTATTAAGCACAAATATGAGAAGAACACAAGTAGAGGCTTAAGCAGTAGCGACCCTCGATTAAAACAGGTGATGTTTGCTGGGGTTGAGAGTAAAGGTGAGATAATGCCAATTAGTTGTCAAATCATCTGGCAAAACAGCTGTTACATAAATAGAAAATCACTTGGCCTTCTTGTTCATTTTCTCAATTTCGTCTTTTTTAAGGCCTTCAAAAAGATAGTTCCTCTGTTTATATAAAATTTAAAAGCGGGGAAATAAATTTGCAGTGTTAGAAGTCATGATCCTGGTTAGCCATGCTGGGGTGAGGGAAGGGAGGTGGGAGGGGTGTGACTAGAAGGGGCTGGGGGCTGGAGATACCTGTTGGCGTGTGGAGAATACGCTGTTTGTTAATGGGGTGGGTCCTGGTGAAAGGATGTGCTCCCTTTGTAAAAACCCATCAAGCTGTGCACTTATGGTTCTCACATTTGCTGAATGCATATTATGCTTCCAAAAAATTTCCCGTAAAATATAAATTATTTCCAGAAATATAGGGAATTACCTCAACATTGTGTCAAAACTGAAAGGTTTTATACAGATGTCTGGAAGAAATAACAGTTTTCTTGAAAACTTTTCCTCAATTCCCTCTCCCTCCAAGAAAATATACCAGAACATCTACAATTTTTATTAAATAGGACTTTAAACAAAATGGAGGCATAAACATTAGCTTTGTGCTTACCATCAGATTTAGAAATGCATATGCTACTTACCAAAAAGGTGTGTTCTCTCTCAATTTTGCGGCAGTTTGCTCATTAGAGTTGCCAAGCAGGGGTATTGGTTATGGTACAAGCCTGGAAAAACAGAACAAATAGAAAAATTGCTATCCTATACAACATTAATTTTATCATAACAGTACATGTTACCTATTTCCTGATGTATTTTTCTACATAACTATAAAATGATAACTCGTTTGCTCAGTCATGTAACAAGCAATTGCTATCTTTGCATGTACCAGGTGGTACAGGAGATCTGTAGCTGTCTATTGTAAAACTTTTTCTTCAAGGAAATTAAGCAAACAAAGAAGTGTAATAAATATACCAAACTGGTGAGTATCATAAAAGAGGTATAATCAAATGTTCTGGGAGTCAGGAGGCAGAAGAGGTGACTTCCAACGGGAGGGGTGATACTTTTTGGAGGAGGTGGGGCCTAAATGGAGACTGAGGATGAGTATGGTCTTCAAGGCAGGGCCTGGGGCAGGAAGATTGGATGGGGGCAGCCCAAGTCCGGGGGACAAAATGACCAAGCTGCAGAGTTTGAATATAATGGAAATAGGAGGGGAAATTTGATGTATTTCAGTTTGATTGAAGAAATTTTTCAGAGGGATTGGAACTGAGGTGAAACTGTGAGAGTAGCGATTAAGTCACTCGTAACAATTCGGGCACTGTGCTAGAAATTCCACGGTGAAATTAGAAAGCTACGAGTCCAGGCCTCATGGAATTCCCAGCTGATGGAGACAAACTGATGAGAAGCAGAGGATTATAATAATGCATGATGAGAAGCAGAGGTTTATTGGGGGATCTGTAGCAGGGGAATCAGTGTGGTCCAAGGCTCAGAGATTTAAAACGAAACAAAACAAAACTTCAAGTTTCAGAAAAGTGATCATTAAGGCAATGAGGTTAGATGAGATCGCCGAGGGACAGTATAGAATATAAAGGGAGGGGATATATGGACAGACTCCCATCTAGGAGGGAGGAAGCAATCAGAGAAGAGGAAGGAGTCTCTGAAGACTGTGGCCTTAGGAAAGACAAGTGACGAAAGTTTTATGGAGGAGGCTGTGTTCAAACGCAGAATGCTTTAAAATTCAGGCAGGGTTAATACGGAAAAGTGGTTATTTGTCTTGTTTGTTGACTTGGATAGATGAAAAAATGACAGTAAAAAATGTGGGGCAATGGAGCTGGCCTGATATTCGGTTATTCTACACACACCAGGGCCGTTGTTCTCTTTTCTGAAAAGCAGCCTCTCTTGAACATCACGCAGTGATTCAGGACTTAGCCTGGCTAGGGTTCACAGATTAGAATAAATGACAAAAATAATCATTTCAAAAGCTATAAATTGTAAATATATAATTGCAGTGACTTCTCATTCTTTTACAATTACAGGATTTTTATTACTTGCAATTATATGCCGAAGAAACAAAGCAAGGCAGTATCTACATAAACTAAGTAACCGCGTGGAGGAGCAGTTGGTTTGGTTGTTTAGTCCATCCTCATGAGGAATTAGCCACAACTGATCACCACACAGTTAACCAGGAGGATGTTAGAAACTTCTAGATTCACTGTGATTTTAGCTATAGCTTAGAGTTAACAGCCTTGATTTCTTGAAAATTACAGAAGATAGAAATAGCACGTTAATTTATGGAGAATAATTACTTAAGGGTGCTATTGAGTTTAGCCATGCAATCAAGATTATGGTTTCCAAATATCAAACGAATTAAAATAATCATTTACTGTTAACTTTTCCCTTGCAAAAACCATTTTCAGCTTTCAGGAATTTCATACCCCTTGCAAATATTTAGAAAAATAACTAAGACCTATGGATTTAAAGAAAATGAATATAGTATACAATTTAGAGCCATTCGTATTCTGTACAGGTTTATAAAGAGTGGTAACTAAACTGATTATTTAAAATGGACTTAAACTGACCAATTTCTCTGTTCATAGATAGATATTTTTCTATATTCTGAGATTTTTTCCAGTCAAGTCTCCTTAAATATATATTTGGGGGATTTTGATAAGAATCATAATGCAAACGGAAGAAGAGTACACTGACCGGATTTCTAAAGCGCTACAAACCTATGGACCTGTATCATATCTGAAGATCAGAGGAAAAAGTGTCTATGATGAAAATAGACAGAGTGGAAAAAAACGGTTATTTCTGTCAGTGCTAAAAAGCTTAGAGAGTCACTGATTAAGGTCACTGCCAATGTTGTCAACGACGAAAGTGCTTTAGTGGGCCTTCAGCCCCTCCTCTTTGCCATCCTCTGTGTAGGCATGCGGGTGACGGTACTGTCAGCGTGTCCATGATCAAACACTAAGAGGATTCGGGGTCAACCAGACTAGAACTTTTTAGCAGAAAACTGAAGGTGTCTAAACCCAACTCCAAAGAATGCATTTTGTGTCTTCTGTCCCTTTGTCCCCTGAAGGGCCATCATCATCGGCAACAAGAAAAAGAAGAAAGGAGAGAAAAAATTAGCTATCAGTCATATTCACATTTGTTCTTGGCTTTTCTGGAAATAAAATGTAAAATCTCCAGGAATGAGCCTTCCTTTAAAGATATATTAATAGAATGACAACTGTTCACAACAGCTAGTAAGATCTAAATCCCGTGCTCTAAGCTAATATCCAAACAGCGTATTGGCAATCGACAGCCAGCACAGCTTGCCTTGTTACTCAGGTGAAGTTTATTAAACACTTTTTCTATCTGTAAGCTCCAAAGAATGGTGAAAGATGCTTGTAAGTCAACTCCAGTAGTATTTGAATAGTGTAACTGGAAATTAGAACAGGATAAGCAATAGTTATTTCACATTAGAACACACTTTGTATTACTTTGTAAGGGTGGATTGATATGTTCAGACAAGCAGGTGTCACCAAGCCTTTATCTGAGCCATAGAATCAGCTCACTGTAGAGCAAGTGGAGAACAAGTAATGAAAGACGCGGTTTGCTAATTTGGCTTTGATAATTCAGAGTCTTGGGAAAAGGAGGGTGCCCTCTGTAAAACACTGACTTAAATGGGTGAGAACAATGTAACACACAAAGCTCTAGTTAAGGAATTGCTGGGCATCGAGATTCCCCATCTGGAATATTAGGGCTCTAAGATCTCAGTTCATACCTATACGGGCGGTTTAACCCATCAGCTTGTTGTCATCCTATCATATCTCCCCTATTTTATTTGGCTCTGATCCATATCTCAGCTCATTTGACCACTGACTACTTTGCTGTCAGCTCTAGTTGTTACCCACACCGGTTTCCCAGTTCGTGGTCTAACTGGATTCTGATTATAAGATGTTTTGTATAGTAAGGTAGATCATTATTCAGATGATAGACCGTTGCTGGCTTACTGAGACACAACTCTCTTTCTTTTTCTTTTTTGCTTTCTCTCTCTCTCTCTCTTTTTGTCTCCTGGGTTATTCAAGTCTGTAGCCATTGGCACCCAAGTAGACGGGGTGAAAATGAAATCTCCATCTGGGAACAGCTTCTGACTCAATCAGGTCATTATCAGTGCATTGATGCTGAAATCCCTCAAATGCAAAGTATATGACCCTTATACTCCTGCAGAAATTCAAAGTTCAGCCTGATGGACAGAACTGATAGTTCTTTGCCTCTTATAGTTGAATAATGTGCAGTTTCACAGAGGCTAATGGATACTCACTAGTATTTGCTGAGTTGGTGGAAGATGCTATTCATCAACTAATACTAGTGTGTTACCAGAATTAACTGAGAACTCTAAGCCAGGATTCCACTAAGACGTTTGATTACAACCTCATGCCCGAGAGCCTTGCAGTGGTCCTGTGATTCATGTTCACATGAAACTTGTTAGAGTTCTTGAAATCTAGGAAGGCATATGTGGTTATTACGGCTGTTTTGGTTGCAAACTGACATGAATTAACATATTTGTGACATTATTATTAGATTTTATATTTGCTCATCATGGGCTGTGCTGTGTTGGTACTATATTATAATATGTTGATTGTTATTTTGTTTATCCCAAAGTATTTTGTTACTATGGGGTCTTTTTCGCTTGGAAAATGGAAATAGTCTGGGGTATGTATATCTGTAAGTGAGCCACAATCAAGAGGCTAACTTCCATAAAGAGATGGAAGTTAGCACACAAAAAGTTTCATAAGTAGGGGACCTGCAATAATGATTCTTGCCTGTGGCCTACTACCCTTAGATCTCTGGACCCAGGAGAAAGGCTTAAGGGAACTGGGTACCCAAGGACGAGTGTAAAGGGCAGGTAACTCACTTGTTTGTATATTGCAGAGAGCCCAAATTTCTTTCAATTTTGCCTTCTTATTCAGGTATCATGAGAACCATTAACTTTTTGCCTATAATTTGTTTTTACCTAACATTACTAGAAATGCATTTTCTACCCAGAATGTACATTACATTTCCTATTTGTCCTCAAACCAATGGAGCGTTTCTTCATGCTTTTTATGCATGATATTTACTGTCTTTGACATTTTTATTTAGTAGTCAGTATTAATAAATCAATCTTCATGAGAGTAGCAGAGTCATTGTGATTTTGTTAAAAATGCATTGCTTACAGTTCTTTGAAGAAGTATGAATGTTGGGTTAAAAAGACAAAGGAACAAACACTGTCCTAGAAGCCATCTAATTCATCTTTGCCTTGGTGAAATTAATATATTCACTGAACTGTTAATTTTATTCTGAGCTCTATTCTTTCAAATTCTCAAAGTATTAAATTAGGGTTAAGGTAGCACTTATAAAAGTTAAGAATGTATATAAATCAGCCCACAAATATACCTACCTAGTTTCTCATAAAAACACCCCAAAAGTATTAACATTTTTCATGCGTATTTGTGAAAGACATGATTCACGTGAGCATTCTTTCTGATGTCTGAGCTAAATTTCTCTTGTTTGTACCTGTATTTTTGTCCATCAATAACTTCAGTGAGAACCAGGATATTCTTTACTTCTTATGGGATAGACTATTTTATAAAAAACTAAATCCACTAGAGTTACCTTTCATGTTTCATATGTTTTATTCCCTGGGAACAGTGCTCTATTGCTCTAAACTGGACATAATAGTCTAGTCATCAAAATAATTGAGGAACGATAATAGAAGAAATATAATACAATGTCATATATAATATAATGAAGTAGCAATTTAGAAAAACACATCGTTTTTATTCCATTTTTTATTGAGAAAACACATGGAAAAGAAATTTGCTACAGTGCCTGGCACATCGTAAGACCTGAAAATATGTTTTGTTTTGCTCCCTTTTTGTCTTGCTTCTCATAGCAGTTGGCTCTGTGACAAAGCTTGAGATATATTTTTTTTCTGCAGGGAGGCACTTTTGTTAATGAAGCTTAAAAGCTTAGATTGGGGTGAGAAAAAAGAAAACGGTGGTATTGATAAAAAGAGATGGAAAGGGAAATTGAAAATATATTTTAGTGTGTTACCAGATAAAATAAAATGATTTACAGGAATTCTAAATGTTCTATTGCATTTTATGAGAAATATAGTAGCATATGGGAAAATGGTTTTAGTTTATGGCCTTTCGTGACCCTAAGCTCTTTTACATGCAGTTCTCCCTAGTTTCATATTTGTAGAAAAGTGTGTGTGTGTGCGCTTGTGTGTGTTAAGTTTGCATAATTAAAAGACATTATCCTGCTCCTTTTTAAGCTTAATTAAATATCTATTTTGTCTTTAAGAAATGCTTTGAAGAGATATCACTTTGTAACACCTTATCAAATAATGACAGTATCTACAAAACACGTCTTAAACGTTAACACAAAATTTAACAGTTTCCACCCAAGCCAAATACAAATCAATATTGAACAGGTGAGCATAGATCAGAAGAGGAGGTCATGGGTTCAATCTGTGGGGATATTTCTCATAGAGACTCAAAGCAAAGAATACAGAAATCACTGTGGCAAAATTCCACAAATGAGTTATCTTGCTGACAGTGAAATTATCCTATACTAATTGTATGTTAACAGAGAAACTCACACAAAGGATAATTTCACAATAAAGTGATTACTTAAAATAACTGGGGTACGTTGGTCAAAAGAAAAAGAGGAAAAATAGAAGTAAAAGAAATATTTTCATGGTACAAAATATATTCTTCCATTAAACCATCACGGAGCTAACCAAATCAAAGACAATGTTTGAGATGTTAAATGCTATCAATAAATTTACTTATCTGGGTATATTATAGCCATTTTGACAAGTCATGGACTTAGAAGTATTAGGGATGTTGGAAGATAGAAAGAAAAAAGAAAGAAAAAGGAAAACCAGAAAAAGAGAAAAAACTTGAACAAATAGGCAGTGGTTGAAACACTCAGCAAGTTCTAGCCCTGCTTGAAGTATTGTCCACATAATGAATATTTCAGGTGCATCTTGAGATCCTTATATTTTTCAAAGACAAGTAAACAAGATGTATTTTACATCTGTTAAAGACTTCTGATTGGCATACATGTTGAAAGACTGCCTCAAGATCGAAAGGCGGAATGTTCCTCAAAAGCCATAGCTATGAAATATTTATTCCACCTTCTTTCATGGAAAAGACTGAATTGACTTCGTGACATAAAGCTCTACTAATAATGCCAACAAAATTACACATCCTGTGTTAAATGACTATTCTTAAAAGGTGAGCCAGGTCTTGTGTGTTGTAGATGATCACAAAGAATAATGCAAGTTACAGTTTACAGTGTTCTTGTAAAAGATAATAACGTATTTTCAAGCTTTATAGCACAAGGGACACAAGGCCTGCTGAAGATTTCTTAAGAAAGATACCGCTGGATGATGTTTTTCCCCAGGATTGTTTAGTTTCTTTCTTTTTAATTTCAAAATTACATTTTTTTCGATATCAACCCCTGTTTGTGAGAATCTTTTGTGTATAAAAATGCTGGAGCGATACCTTTGAGTATACTTTTTATTAAGCAAGGCAAAGACTTGTGTGCCTCCAAATATTGCTCAAATCTCCAAAGCCAGCTGAATAAATAAACATAATGTGATCTGCAGCCCAAAAGTCTGCAAATGACTCCATATGATGTTAAAAAAACTATGATTCCTTCTAAGTATTTCTTGGAGCCAATGATTAGCAGCTTTGTTTAAGTTCTGGGACCCCGGAGCCCCCATAAAAATAACTTTGAAATATTATATTATGTGTGAAAATTTTACACACATTGCACATTTATAATCAGCAGACAGGGCCTCTGCCCTTCGTCAACCTGATAATCAACCGTAGGGTCTACTCAAACATGAAAAAAATAAAAGATGGAGAACTTTAAGCACATAATCTCAGAGCCATTTAGAACCATGTGTATTTCTGAAATCCTCTATTACCACAAATCTCTTGGTTGTATTGTCTATGGCATTGTCTGTTTCTCATTATCAAAGTCTAAAGAAATTTGATACAGTCATGTAACACTTGGCGAAGGAGCGTTAGAAAAATGCATTCCAAAGTGCTCGGCTTATCATTTCTTTCCAAAGCAGTAACTACTGTCTGGCTTTACTCTTCTGGAGAAGCCAACTGGGAGGGCGGAGAGAAAAAAAAAATCAAACCAAAGTAAATTAAGCAATGGCCCTGTGCCTGAAATAATCACAGATGTCAGCTTTTAAACAATGCATTGTAGTTAACAGGCGCTTAAGGCGACATTAACCGGGAGAATTCCTACTCTGTAAAGTCACCTTTTGCTTATAGAGTGTGTACCATGCCATTCTTGAAAGCAGGTTTCAGATGGAACCAGGCAGAATAAGATGATATGGGCAAAGTCTAAGGTTTGCATTGCCTGTAATGGTAATAATCAGATGGCAACTGGCTTTAGGAAATCAGATTATGAGTTCCCAGGGATGGTCTAAGGGACATCTTATTCTTTATTTTGGCCAGAACTCAGGGACTACATGTCATTCTTTCTTAAGAGTCAAGACATTAAAGAAAGTCTGAGGAAAAAAATGACAAATAATAGCTTTGAAGGAAGTTTTGTGTGTCTTACTCCAACAGGTGTTTTTTTTTTCTGCTCATGTAAATTAGTTAAGTTATTCAGATATCACACAAGTAGTATTTAGACAATTCTAGAAACGCATATGATCAATTAAGATAAAACTCTGTTTTTGCAATTCAAGCTTTTAAAAAGCATTATAGTTAAAATACACTGCAAAGACATGCTGGGATAATTGGTTGTCAAAGTACATTGGTACCACTGAGTAGTCTTAAAATAGCGGGAAATGCAACTGAATACTGGAAAGGAAATCACTATTTCACTTTCTCAAATAAAACATATTGCACCTCTGAGTTCACAATGGGATATTTGCTGAGAGCCTGTAATTAACTCATAATGATGAGAACCACAGTAATAAACATTTCCTTAGCAAAACACTCACTTGTTTTCATAATTTCCTACTTTTTTGCTGTTTCCTTGTCAGTTTTTTATTAGCTTGCCACTATTACTCAAGAAAATAATGGAGAAAAGGGTGAATAATTTTTCTAGAAAGGGACTATTTTTAAATGCTATATAAAGAAAGGACACTTCTTGATAAAAGCTATCATATCGTCAGATAGTTCATATGGCATAAGGAAAAATGAGGGATTTTTTTTTTTTTTTTTTTTTTTTGAGACCGAGTCTCACTCTGTCACACAGGGTGGAGCGCAGTGGCACGATCTCGGCTCACTGCAACCTCTGCCCCCTGGGTTCAAGTGATTCTCCTGCCTCAGTCTCCTTTAGTAGCTGGGACTACAGGCGCGTGGCCAAAAATGAGGGAATTTTGACATATATGTAAAATTATTTTACTTTGAAAACCCAGAACCAACAAGACCAACACGCCCCTCAACTGAAGATCACCTACAGCAGCTGCTTCCTGCCTCCTCTCCTGCCTGTCTGGCACACAGCTGTTGGATTAATCTTCCCAAATACCTTTTCATCATGTCACTCCCTTGCCCCAAACCCTTCAAGAGCTGCCCAATACCAACAGTACAAAGCTCACATTCCTTGGCCAGGCATTAAGCCCCCTGTACAACTGGTTTCAATTTTCTTTTCTTGCCTCATTTCCCACTATTCCCTTACAATGTAGCAGCCCATGTGAATTCTCTGGCCCGTCTAGTCAATCACCTTTGAAAAAGCTGTACCTTTCTTCTTTTGCTGTCATCTCCTCAAGCTGTTCACTGTCTGGGGTGCTCCCCTCCTCCATCCCCTGGCATATCCTTCAGCGCTGGTCTGGATCTTAGCACAAGCTGTCAGGTAGGATTACCTGTTCTGCAAACGCATCCTGGCTCTGCATGAGATTTCAAGCTCCATGAGAGCAGGAACGTATCACATGCTTCTCTGTGTCTCCTACCATTTTTAGCCCAGTATCTTGTATTGTCCGGCACTGGATAAATAGCTATTGGTTGATATAACGATGGCTACTCTAACACACAAAGCATTAGCCCAGCATCTGATGTGCCTCACTAGTGTCCTTTAGAAATAGCTGGTTCATTACCAAAACCCCTAATTTCTGCCCCCCACAAATTTTCCAATAACATCCTTAAAAGTAAGAGCAAGGCAAGGAATGAAGCAAATAAATCTTGCAAAGTATTTGGGCTGAATTTGCAAAACCTATAAATCTAAACTTCATTTATTGCATATCAACACATATGCCAAAATTCAGGAGGCTGAGGTGGGAAGATCTGTTGAGCTGCTGCAGTAAGCCGTGATTGCACCACTGCGCTCCAGCCTGGGTGACGGAGTGGGACCCTGTCTCAACATAATATACACATGCCAAAATTAAATGATTTTAATACATGTGAATAGTTATTTAAACACTTAAAAATACTCTAGATATTTAGAAGTAGCTGAATGCAGCATATGTTCAGGATCGCTGGGTCCAGTTTTGGCTGTAAGTGTGATGGCCTGGCTTGGGAAGGGGACTCTGGTTACAACTGCCTAGCAGGACTCACTGCTCCACATGTCTCTCTCTGTCCTTTCTCCTCACAGCAGACAGAGCCATGTTTCTTTAATGAATGTCAGGCCATGCCACTCCTCTGCTTCAACACTGCCAATGGCTTCCCCATTACACCTGCATAAAAATCCAGTCTCTCTCTCTCTTTTTTTTTTGTTTGGGGGAACAGGATCTCTCTCTGTCACCAGGCTGGAGTGCAGTGGTGTGATCTCAGCTCACTGCAACCTCTGCCTCCCAGGCTCAAGGGGTTTTCCCACCTCACCCTCCCCAGTAGCTGGGACTACAGGTGCACACCACTATGCCTGGCTAATGTGTTTGTTTTTTTTTTTTTTGTTTTGTTTTGTTTTTTTTTTTTTTTTTTTTTTTTGTAGAGACAGGGTTTCACTATGTTGGCTAGGCTTGTCTCAAACTCCTGACTTCAAGTGATTCTCCCGCCTCAGGCTCCCAAAATGCTGGGATTACAGGCATGAGCCACTGCACCTGGCCAAAAATCCAGTCTCTTTTCATGACTGACAAGGCCCTTTGCTCAGATCTCATCCACCCCTCCCCTGGTCCACCCCTCCCCTCACCTGCCCCCTCCAGCCACCCTGGCCTTCCCTCTGACGTCTGTCTTTGTATTTACTGTTCACCCAACCAAAACCTCTGCCCTTGATCTTTTCCTGGCTGGTTTCTTCTGTTCATTCTCAAACATTTCTCTTCAATGAGGTCTTTCTTAATCACCAAATCTAAATTCAGTGCCTCTCATGCCCTCACCTTCCCCTCCATCACATCACCCAATATGAAAAAATATTCCCTACTGGTATCTGAAATAATCTCAGTTATTAAGTAATTTACTTGCCTATCTTCTTCCATTAGAAGTAAACACCATGGAGCTTAGTATCTTTTCTGTTTTGATCACCATGGTTTGCCCCAGAAATTGCTTTGGCACAGAGCATGTGGTCAATAACTATCTGTCAAATGAATAAACTTGCCTAAAGTACACAGCAAGTAAGTGACAGAATAAGCCCTGAAACCCAAGTCTGCCTGTCGCTATAACCACTGTGGTGCTGCCTCCTACTCTGTCCAGGTGCTGCCGTGGCCCAGACTTCACTTCACCATCCTTATGCTGAGTGCCGACCTCCTCTGGTGTGTACAGAGCAGAAGCTAGGGATTCAAGATAAATACAACAGAGAGAGCCAGTATGCCTGTCAGTCCAGGAGGAGCAGCCTGCCCAGGGAATCACACAGGACTGGGACCACAGAACCTCACGCCACACCAAGAAGTCATCCCAGAAGTATCAGCTGGAGGGACAATCACACCAAATCACTTATAACTTTGTTAGAAACAATTCGGCACTATTGCCAGTGCATAAGGCACGGGCATTGATGGAATGGGCAAAAAGGGAAACATCTATGTAGGGTACACTACAGAAGATAAATCAGCAAGATTTACTCATTCATGAGATATTGGAGAGAGTAGGTGCAGGCAATAATAAAATCTCAAATGGGTTGACTGGGAAGAAGGGGGTGTCATTGATAGAGCTCATGCACTTAGAAGGCAGAGGAGGCTTTGCAGATGAAGCCGGGGGGAATACCGAGGACTGCTTTAGATTTATAGGTCTTGGCATGTTGCTGGTGCTCAGAAAAGATTTGTCCAAGGTCCCAGATTTCCTTGGGAAGTTAAGAGGAAGGAGAACATTGAGGTAGGGGTAACTGTAAATTCCTCAAGGTCTGGGACCATGTGCCCCTCCCTCCCTTCCTTCCCTTTCCTTCCCTTTCCTTCCCTTTCCTTCCTTCCTTCCTTCTTCCTTCTTTCCTTCCTTCTTCCTTTCCTTCCTTCTTTCCCTTTCCTTCCTTCCTTCCTTCTTCCTTTCCTTCCTTCTTTCCCTTTCCTTCCTTCCTTCTTCCTTTCCTTCCTTCTTTCCCTTTCCTTCCTTCCTTCCTTCCCTCCTTCTTTCCTCCCTCTTTTCCTTCCTCCTTTTGTTCCTTCCTTCTTTCTTCTTCCTTCCCTCCCTCTTTTCCTTCCTTTCTTCCTCCCTTCTTCCTTCCTACCTCCTTCTCTCCTTGCTTCCTCCTATCCTCCCTCCCTCCCTCTCTTCTTTCCTTCCATCCTCTCCCTTTCTCTCCTTCCTTTATTCTCATTTTCTGTTTTCTTTCTTTCTTCATAGCACTTGATATACAACTATTAATATGACAAACACTCCATAAATACTAGTCACATAAAGATTTGAAAAGCAAGACTTAACTAGTTTCTACATCTTAAATATCATTCATGTTCCAAGGAATTTAGCATAGCATGAAGAATAATAACCTTAAGTTCAAATAGATCTGCCCACTACACTTTTTCAATATCTTAGGCAATTATGATTCACTTTCCTTATTTGAAATTGGGAGCCAAACAAACCCCTGTAGGGTTCTTCTGAGAGTTACCAAAAATAACGTACTTGGGATGGTAAGCAGGATGCTTGAATCATAACTGACACTTAATAAGTGATGAATCATTAATATTGCCTCAATTTTCCTCATTTCATGTTGGGCTTTTGAGAATTGTTATATAAGTTTAGAGAAGTACATGCCAATCTTAAACTTGAGCTAGTAATCTTACCTTATCTTCATTAGAAAACATCTGTCAAGTGTCTAATTTCATGTGGTATTTTGAAAGTAGAACTATAAAATTAAGGAGTAATGTTACTACTACCAAACTTTATCCAAAACACAAAGAAAGCTTACAGTGTCTAATAACACAATAACAAGTTAAATGTTAAATTTTACTTCAACCTACTTCCACTGGCCCATTTATGTGAATATCATCTTCTTCCCTCTAAAAATAATATTGCATCAACGTTATTTCACAAAACAGAACAGAACTCAGTTCTTGTATGTTTATTTTCTGTTATATTTCTCCATATTCGCTTGTCTATCTCAACCACAGTATATACCCAACCAATTATTTCAGTTTTCCTGTAAAGAAGCAAAAGTAGAAAACACGGCCTTAAAAAAAAATCCATTCTTGCCAATATTCCAATCAAACCCTTATGCTAGCTAACGCGTACTCTGTAGTCTCTATTATTAATCTGAGAAGGCGGCCTTTTGGGGACAGAGTATTCTTCACATAAGTTCATCACTAGCTAGCACTGACATTGATCATTTTGTGATCCTTCATAAATGATGACCAATTTAAAAAGTAGAAAAATATTACATAAGAATACCACAGGGATTGACTTCTTGGGCCCTACTGACCTAAAATTACTTGAAATGTTAAATGTGTTGGAAAAGAGTAATGGAACACTACCAAGTCTCAGACAAAGGCATGCAGATTATGTTTCCTGGTACAGAGATTGCTTTAAAGACATAAACGTCTATTATGGCATGATTCGGCAACAATTTATTTGCAATTTAACAGTGTAGTAAAGTCAAACATTACCATTTATTGCCAGTTGGAAAGGGGAAAAAAATGGGAAACTCTGTGTCTAGGGAAAGATACCGTAGTTTGGCACATTTGCTGGTTCTTAAATTAACTGCTTTTCTGAACGAGCTTGCCTATGAGTGTGTGGTAGCCCAGTGTTCTTCTGACTAATTCGGATTGCTTGAGGCCATGGAATCATTGAGTGGTTCCATTCATGAACAGCAGATGAAGTATGACAAGGCTGTAATGCTCTTAGGAGGAAGTTAGCTACCAAGAGCTGTACTATACCAGAGGGGGTTTTGATAAAACTTCCATCCAGGCTACAAATTGTAGACATTGATTTGAAATAAATTGTGACTGATGATCAGTGGATGACGATTTCCATAATCATTATGCCATCAGTAATTTATCAAGGTAATGATATTTGTGTCCCTGATGTCACATTCATCCTGTACTAAGGGACTGAAGAACATGCTGTGATTTTTAAAAGCCCTTATTAAGAACCAACTGGTTGTGTTATACTTCCAACTGTAATCAGTGGGATGGCTACAAGTGAATAAAACATTTAAAAAATCCTGCTAGGTTTGTAATAAGATTCTTTCAACAAAATCTTCTATAGCACGAAGGCAGAGATCTTACGCTTACAGCATTTTAATTAAATCTCCCTTATCAAGATCGTTCAGCATAGTTTGCCAATATGCTTTGGAAAGGGCTACTACAGCATGCTGGGCAGAGCAATCTGCCAAAGCACCTCCTCTTAACCCTCCGGGACCGTTTTTTCCCCCAGTATATTTCCTTTCCCTTTTAGATTGCTGTTATTTCTTAACAACTGTGATTCTTCAGCATGTGTATAGTCAACAGATGCCTCCACATCCTGCATTTATTCCTGTTAGATTTCAAAATTGCTGAACAATATTCCCACCCTTATTCAGAAAAAAAGCTAATGACATTAAACACTAAATGTCATAAGTATCTCTTCACCAAAAGGGAAAGTGAGCTGAGAAAGTCAACGAGAGTGATATAATTAACACAATTAACAAACGTGTTTTGAGATTGCCGTTATAAAATGAATTACGATTAGGTTGCAAATGTTATAGGATCATTTATATTTTCACGGAACATGGTTTAAATACATGTAACCCAATATAGTTTTGAGAATTTCATGAATAATTCTAGTTTGGCAACGTAAAAGTTTAACTAAAGTTACAATAAAGCAAAATACTTTGGTTTGAATCAGAAAATAGAATATCAGATATTTGTTTTTAAAACTCTATGTATCCAGTTCGTGGAGATAAATTCCCTTGAGGAGATCATGCATCTAACTCATGTCCAGGAGAGCCACAGTTAGAGATCAAATAATCAATAAAATTGCTTGACATTGAGTACACAAACTTCAGTTTTTCTAAACACTAAAAAGTAAGTAGATAAAACTATAGATCTACAAATGCCTATTTGTTTTAGAAAAATAAATGCCTGTCTTTGCTAGTCTGAGATAACTGGCATGGCCCTGTGATCTCACCTCTTAAGGTATTTGCATACTGTCTGGCTTTGGTTCCTGGCTTTTATTATTTATTCTTATTGTGGTAAAATACACATAACGTTTATCACTTTAACCATTTGTAAGTGTAAGATTCAGTGGCGTTAAGTACGTTCACAGTGTTCTGAAACCATCACCACTACGCTGGCTTTCTTATTTTAAGGTGTTGCTCATCCTCCCTTGGTCACCTGTAAAACAGGAACCAGGATTATAATAGCAACTTCATATTGTTTTGTGAGAATTACATGAGATGATATGTGTAATGCTTGCCTGGTGTATACGAAGCGCTGAAATATTAATACAGACTATTGTTCTTTTGAGTTGTTTTCTTCTAATGTAGACATTACCTCTTTTAAGAGCAAAAATAATTTTTGGAATAGCACAAAGGAATAACTGACATTTATCTTATAGAGAAGGCTATGTATTACAAGTGCTTCCACAAATATCTCATTGGTACCTCACCATAAAACCCCTTGCAACAAACAAGAAGGCCAGATTTTGTTTTTTGATTTTAAATAGGAAAAGTGAACCCCATGAAAAAGTTTTAAATAGGAAAAGTGAGCCCCCTGAAAGAGTAAATGATTTACCCAAAGTCCCACAGTCAGTGAGTGGTGGAGGAAGGACCTGAACCCAGCACCTGCCACTCAGGGGGTACCCAGTTATAAATGTTTGTTGAATAATAAACGAAGGAAAAGACGTTAAGGTTTCTGACATTAAGTTCTCTCTTCCTTCTGTCACACAACACTGACTTATTCATGTCCAGCCAATCAGGTGTCCACACATCACCCGATGTTTTAGTGTCCCACTTTTATTTAGTACTCCCATTCGCTAAGACCTTCTCTTGTAAGGTATTAAAAGCCTGAGGATCCACTGTGGGTTCTTGCTTCTTTAAATTCTTTGAAGTTGACCTTTCTCTTGGTTTGGCTGGAAAGACGTGCCCTGAGTTGACTTTTCTCTTTTGGTTTGGTCAGAAAGAGGTAAATTTGGTAATTAAAACTGGAGCTCTGAATTTGATGGTCTGCTCAACAGGTAGGCAAGTGGCTTTGGAGGTCATTTAAAATCTATGATCCAGGCTTTCTTTGGGCATGTAGAAGATATTTGTCAAGGGGCAAACAGCTTGGTAGACTTAAAATGTCGCAGTGGTCGCTGTATTTTATGTACTTATAGGCTTCTGAGCAAGGTTTAGAATTCAGA
Organism: Homo sapiens; assembly: GCF_000001405.40. NCBI lineage: Eukaryota > Metazoa > Chordata > Mammalia > Primates > Hominidae > Homo > Homo sapiens. Next base: position 181,851,803 of record NC_000004.12, on the reverse strand, counting down.
GGATGATGAAAAGGCTACCAACCCTACACAGTACTGATGTTTTCCTAAGCGTGTTTAGTTAGGTAAATATTGCTTTTCCTTACTATGCTTGTATGCTTATTCTTTTTGAAAATTATTGTTTGTCTTTGAGTAGTGTGGATGTGCATGAGTGTGTGTGCGTGTGTGCATGTGTGCATGCGTGTGCGTGCGTGCGTGTGTGCGTTTGCGTGCGTGCGTGTGTATATGTGCATGCACACATGCGCACACTGTTGATTCAGTGCTTGTTGGAATACCAGGAAAAGGAGGGCTCGTATCTACCCTACAGATGGGAGATCTTTAAAAGCATCAGATTTGAAATGACACAACCCTGTCTAATGGTTTTACTCTTCTGGGAGTGCTAAAACTCACCTTGTCTATCCTGATGCAGCATCTATCCCATGAGGGTTGTGGTGTATTTCTATGCTGGGTAACTCCGACTTTGGGACATGGAGTGCTACAATCGACTATGTTGTATGGGTTGAACTTTGAGAGTGCTGGGAGGGGTAGGGCATGAATGCTAAGGCGATATGGAACCTGCAAGTAGGTGGGTTTGCCCCAAAGAAAGTTAGAAAGTCATATTATGATAGTTTGTAAAAGTATTCTCTCAGAGGAAACTGGCCCTCAGAGGAACAAAGCCAGGAAATAAGGGGGTCTTGTAGTGGAGAAGGAGGCTGACACTTGAGTATTTTCTATAAAAGAGGTATCTCTTTGGGAAGTGGGTTTCCGATCACTTGGACCAGAGTGACCTGAGACTGAAAATGCAATTCATCCTTTTCCCATTCCCAGCTTTATCCCGTCTGTCCCCTCCGGCAGCAGCTAAGCATGGGAGATGAAACGGCTTCACCTCCAGTGGTGATGTAATTTGAAAACTAAATAGTTTTGGACGTGTGGAATGGAGTGAAGGAGAAAACCGGAAATAAGAGGCAATATACTTAACTATTTTAAGAGAAAGGTAACTTGGGCTGTGTCTCAAAAACACTCAGTGGAACAAAGGATGCTTCATTAGAGTAATGGAAAATAAATTCTAAGACCAATATTTTACCCATCATACTTAGAATATTTTAATATTAAAATTTAAAATGTAGAACACATTGGCACATCACAAAGCAGCAGTAATTCACCTAGTTAAAAAAACACGTAAGGAGAATATATGTATTTCATGCAAATAATATTTTTATAGCAATAACATGGTTTGCAGAGTTGTAAAAATTATAATTCAAAATCTAAAAAACCTCTCGATATAACAAGTACTACTGTACTATAGAAATATGGATTTTTGTTCAACTTTTAAAGTTTTGAGAAATATAAATTTCCTATGTGGCTTTTTCAAACAAATGCCATTTAAAAATATTTTAAATGTCATATGAAAGAAGCAAATACCAAAATTTATTTCTAGACAAATTTGATACAAAAATGTATCAAATTTATATTAACAGCATATAAGATGACTTATATGCTATTAAAATTTAATCTCTTGTTAATCAAATCATGTTGACTAACAAAGTACATTAAAGCATTGGAGATATCATCATAATTTTTAAGTAAAGAAAGGGTTACTGAGAAATAGGAGAAAAATGAGAATTGAGAGTAAGGAGAGTAGAAATAAGTAAAAATAAAATTAAAGATAAAACGAAATCAGCAAGGAAGAAATAATGAGTGAATGAATTGGGAAATATGGGAAGGAAAAGGGGGAAGCAGAACGGAGGGAGGGAAAGAGAGAGAAGAGAAAGGCAAGAAGGGAGAAAGAGGATTTAAATTTGACAAGGAATATTCAAGGTCGGGGGCTGGAGGAAGACTCTGTGTGTGTGTGTGTGTGTGTGTGTGTGTGTGTGTGTGAGAGAGAGAGAGAGAGAGAAAGAGAGAGAGAGATGCTTTTAATCCCAATATGCAGTCAAGCCAAACATAGCAGCCATGCCTAGCTAATCCGCCTTCCTCTTAAAGGGGAGTAACATTAATTTTGGTCTTTCATTCAATCCATGGCAGAACTATAGAGATTATCCTTGTGTCTGTCAGCAGATCATAATGGGTATTTCAGAATCTTCTAAGATAATTTAGAAAAATTCCAATGATGTCTGTATAATGTCATACAAAAGGACGTGGGGGAAACTCAACATACATCAACTTGAAGGATGACACCATCTTCCATTAGCTTGCTTTTGCTTTGACTTTTTAAGTGGCTTTTAAAAACATTTTTGAATTTTTAAACACATTAAAGAAATACTATAATGCTTTTTAGTGTGTGAGTATGTAAAGTACATTTTTTTCTGCAGCATAATTGAAATCTAATTAATCATTTTCTCTAGAGATTTTTTTAAAGACAACTTATTGTGACAACAATAGGAAAATGACTTTGCTCATCATTGCTGAAAATGTTTCTGTTGGGGCAACAATATAATTTTATGAAAGCTTGCACACGTTTATTAGTTATAGTCACACAATTTACAAATGAAATTAACAGTCCAACTGAGATGCCTGTAAACTCTCACATCTTTCTCAGAATAAGAATTGTTTCTTCATCTTTTAAAACAAGAAACTGATTTATATAGCCATTTCAGTTATACTAATGTCTTTTCCATTCACTAATTAGGGGAGTAATGTTCCTCCTTTGGTTGTAGACAGGAATATTAAGCACTTTTACTTATGACTGTGTTACCACTGATATAATTCTCTGGAAGACCCCTCACTGTAGCTGAAATGTGAATGCTTGGTTGTACTGTTTATGAGTGAACTGTACATTTTAATGTCAAATGGTTATTTTCTGCTTATCCATCTGTAGCTCACAAAAACAAATGGATGTGTGGGTTGTTCTATACATTGGCTCGTAAAGGAACTCGGATTGTGGCATCAACTCAAACAATCCCTAAAAGCAGCCTGTTCTCTCTATGAGAATTCCAGAAGCAAAAAGGTTTGGGGCTCCTGGATTACTACTCCAGTTGCCCCAAACCGTGTTTGACATTCGAAAAATTAGCCTTGGCGATTCTGGGCTGAGCCTGATTCATCACATCACTTTTATTCCATTGTAAACACATTCTTACATCCCTCAATTTATTTTTGTCCTTAAACAAATTTGTTCTTTGGGATTTGGATATTTCCAATATGTATTATATTATTACACTTACCACCAAGAATCTCAGTAATACGTGAATCTAAAAACCTTTAGTATTCGTTTTGATGTTGGGGTTGATTTGATGATTGACATCTGTCACGGTAAAAGCACTCAGCTTTCCATTATCATGCAGTGTTAACACAGGCAGCTAGAACACTGTTTGTGGACACATGATAACTGAGTTGGATACTGAGTACCCATCATCCTTCATATTGCACTGCAGTGAGGTCATGCATGAAAATAACAACGTGGACATTTCTAGAAGAGCTCGTGTCTGTTGTGTCCCATCGATAGACTTTAAAGGACTTTGAATCTACTTCTGGCTTCATCACCAACAATCTTAGCCCAAGCTTCCTCATGTTTCTGTTTCCTTGTTTGTAAAATAAGAGTCACTAGATGACCTATAAAGCTTCTAGCTTAAATGTTCAACTCCGTGCACTTGGACGTGAACTTAAGGTTTCACAGGAGAGTACAAGAGACATTAGCAGGTTTTGTTCTTTCTTAATTCGCTTCAGTTTTAAGATGAGATTCTAAACTCCACGATTTCTAAAAATAGAAATGTATTGATTTGTCTGTTGGCACTAGAATAGATAAAGGGCGCAATGCAAAAGTGTCACTATATTTCATACAGTTTCGTGCACCCAATCAACAATAATAATTTAAAAATAACCAAAACAACTCTCTGGTCTTTAACTTCAGTTTCAAATAATATTTCTTGTATAAACAAGGACCGACATTGTGAATTTTAGTCTTTTCAGTCCTGAGCAGGTTTTGCAATTACACATATACTGGAATACAACTTTTTGACTTAAAAATTGTACTCTAATATAGACTTTCTTTCAAGTTATTTATAAATAATCTTTAAAAGAAACTCTAATTTAGGTCTAATATACAAGCTTGGAAAGTTAATATTCTTAATCAATATTAGATACATATGTGTACGTACACACATAGTATAGTTTGCCAAAATACATATAATTTATATATAATACATATTTATACAAAGCACATAGTTGGTATGTCTATCAATATATTTCTATTTGCATATAAATATATGTATTTTATAGATGTTTTATCAATCATACATTACAATATGTTATATAATATGTTATGATCAATATAATGTTTTTCCCCCAAGAAAGGAGGAAAGATAAGAAGTAAATGCAACAATTTTCGTTGTTAAGGGGATTTAATTTTTTCTGAAAACATATGGGTCATAGAAAGCCCATAAGTAGGGTAGGATTGCAGACAGATTGAAAGGGAACCAATGCAAATGATACCTCCTCAAATTTAATAGTTATCTCTTTACCTTTAATATGATTATGGCACCATGTCTATTTTTACTTAAAAGAAAATAGTGACCCTCAAGAGCAAGGCAGATTTACTCTTTTATTTTCCAAATTTAACCAGTGAAAATTACCTTAATGCTAAAGGTTTAGGTGTGTAAAGCTGTGAAATTACTAATTCACTTGTATTCTCTGTTATAACGTTTTCCATATGGATGGGATTTTCATATCTAAAATAGATCCATATGGAAATTGTGAAGCCATGAATTTCCTCCTGATGTAGCAACTAAGCTTCCAGCTGCTGGTGTTCGGAAAGCAGCACTGTCTCACTGCAGGACAGTAAGGTCATTGCAAACCCCACCGTTGCCACACTTTGGGACACAGGGCCTAGGGGATGGGACAGCAGCTCCTATTTTGGCTGCGTTGAACAAAATTTATTTTTGTTAAAGGATTAATTCCATTGCCACAATTTACCAGTTCTATATTTAAATGCATTTGTACACAAAAATATTATTTCTTAAAGTGTGGTCCATAAATCATTAGCATCAGAATCAACCTGTGGTAGTTGTTGTAATACAGATTCCTGGGCTCCAAATGCACGATTTAGGGCAGAGATCCTGTGTGGGGTTTCTCTCCAGTATTTCCCAGAATGTAGTACATAGTCTAACACACAGTGGTCAATTAATAAATATTTGTTCAGGGAATCAACTAATGAACACTAAAGAATCAGAACCATTACTTTAAAATAAAGAAAAAAATGAATTGAGGAAATGCAGACCCAGGCAAAATTGTCTTGTCTCTTAATAATCTTCAAACAATTGTTTATCTCTTAATAATCTTCAAATAATCATTTTCTCTTAATAATCTTCAAAAAATTGAACCAAAATGACTCAAACAAAATTCTTACTAAATCTCGAAGTTGAGTCAACAGGAAAATTAGATTTATGTCACCACAGTCTTCCCTGGAGAGAGCCTCACAAAGACATAAAATATCCTATTAAACAATCTAGAATGCAACCTACAAACAAGCTGTTTCTAGAAGTTTTTTCTCCTTCAGTCCTGAAGAGAAGCTCATATTCTTAGCAGTATTCTATATTTTTTTCAAAGCAAGATTTTTTTAAAAAGATAGCATTTCAAAATTTCAAAATATTTTCACATGTTTATTTTTATTATTTATAGACAAACTCCAAATGACTTATGAATTTTAGACAATAAGCAGTTCTAATGTTTTAAAGATATTCATAGTCAGGGAAATAGTAAAAATGGCAGGAAAGAGGCCTTGAAATATATTAAAAAACCATGTAGGAAAATGACTTCAAATGCCTACAAGTAAACAGCACAGTGAAGAAAGAGCATGCACATGAGAGAGTTCAGAAGGGGCTTTCAAATATTACAAAGAACCTTAGCGTAAATAGGAATGACCAGGCTCTGAAAGCTTATTAGTAGGAAAATGAAGAAAGGTGCAAGATGCCAATAGGAAAGAATAAGAGGCTCAAGCCACTGAATAATCCTTCTCTGAGAGAAGCACATTTGCCCTCTTCCAGTTTAAACAGGATTCAGGAACACCCGCTGTAACCTGTAGTAATGACTAATATGTCTTTGCAGAAATTCAGGAAATGGTTTATCTTTAGTGTGAGACCAACTAAATTTCTTGCTCTTACAAGTCTTGTTTTTAGGTATAGAGCGTTAATAAATGCATGAATCCAGGAAGGTCTTACCAGTCATGTGGTGCAAAGACCAAAGCAGGCAGAAATTTTATAACTGGATCTCCATACCTGCCCTTGCACTTGATAGAGAGGAATGGCAAAGTAAGTGTGCCAGATAGGGAGGTTGCACAAACGCTTAATTCTGTATTAAGGTTGTATGTATGTGTGTGTATGTGTATATATTAGAGATATAATATATATTTCCTTCCCCATCCACTAACATGTTAACCTAAAAAATAGAGATTTATCTAGTAGATTTCACATTCTAGCATTTAAAACAATCACTACAGAGATGAGTAAATGTGAAAAATTAAGTCTGTGATCTACAGATTTCCTGGTTATATAGTAAAATTTGTACAAAATCATCTCACTGTCATCACTTAACATTTCATAATTCAAATTCATTTGAATCTTATTACTATAGAGCTTCAATGCACATAATCAAATACTCCTGTTAAAATATTTTTTAAAAAATTCTGCTTACTAAAACATAGTCTCAAGTTTTGAAAAGGATAGAAAAAATTTCGTAGAAAACAATTCCCAGAACAAAGTCGATGTAGTAGGATATTTAATTGAATGTCTTTAATTATACAAATTTAGAAACAAAGTAGACTTATTGATCCCCAATACTTAAATATCACATTGCATGAATAACAAATTATATAAAATATGCAAAATAATAGTACATTAGCTTAAATAACACTAATAAATTGCAAAGCTTAGCATGAAATTGAAAATCACTAATGGAACACTATGCAGTTTGTTCATGCAACAAGCGAAGACTCATACATAATGTAAGAGTACAACTGTTAGCAGCAGGCTGAGGGAGGACCATTTAAATGCGTTTTTATGGACAAGCTAGATTGATCTGGGAAGTGGTTCCTGAGGAGATTCCACTTACCCCGAAGAGCATCTTGGGAGATTGTCATAATTTTCCACTTGTATCTGAAACTCCTATTATTTAGATCATCTGTATCCTTTACATTCAACTTATTTTATTTTATTTTATTTTATTTTTTTGAGACGGAGTCTCACTCTGTCGCCCAGGCTGGAGTGCAGTGGTGTGATCTCAGCTCACTGCAAGCTCCGCCTCCCGGGTTCACGCCATTCTCCTGCCTCAGCCTCCCGAGTAGCTGGGACTACAGGCGCCCGCCACCACTCCCGGCTAATTTTTTGCATTTTTAGTAGAGACGGGGTTTCACCGTGTTAGCCAAGATGGTCTCGATCTCCTGACCTCGTGATCCGCCCGCCTCGGCCTCTCAAAGTGCTGGGATTACAGGCGTGAGTACATTCAACTTTATAAGGAGAAATAAATAGAATTAAAGAACTGGTATAAAATCATCAGTAATAAAGGTCATTTCATCTGGGGTGTTCTCCCACAGCGTATTTCCATGTCGTATTTTCTATGGTTTGAATGTGTCCCCCCAAAGTTCATACGCTGAAAACTTAATCCCCAATGCAACAGTGTTGAGAGATGGGGTGATTACGTCACGAGGGCTTTGCCTCCATGAATGGGTTAATGGCCTCATCTCAGGAGTCGGTTAGTTACCATGGCAGTGGGCTCCAATAGAAGGATGACTTTGGCATCCTTCCCTCTTTCTCTCTTTCACACACTCTTTTGCCCTTCCGCCTTCCACCAGGGGATGAGGCAGCACAGTAAGAAGGCCCTCGGCCGGGCGCGGTGGCTCATGTCTGTAATCCCAGCACTTTGGGAAGCCGAGGCGGGCGGATCACGAGGTCAGGAGTTTGAGACCAGTCTGGCCAACATGGTGAAACCGTGTCTCTACTAAAAATACGAAAATTAGCTGGGCATGGTGGCAGGCACCTGTAATCCCAGATACTTGGGAGGCTAAGGCAGGAGAATCGCTTGAACCTGGGAGGCAGAAGCTGCAGTGAGCCAAGATCACGCCACTGCACTCCAGCCTGGGCGACAGGGAGAGACTCCGTCTCAAAAAAAAAAAAAAAAAAAAAGAAGGCCCTTACCAGAGGCGGTGCCTCACTCTCAAATTTCCAAGCCTCCAGAATATTTATCCAGATCCATTTCTTTACTTTATAAACTACCCAGTCTCCGGTGTTCTATGATAGCAGCAGAAAAAAGACTAAGACAATATTCAAGTTCTATCTTCTGTAAATTTCATAAAAAGTTCTTCATTCTGCAGACAACACTTACTGTGATGAAAGCTAAAAATCTGCCTAAAAGATGAGACTCAAATTCTTAGTATACTGGCGCCTCACAAGATTTAAGATTCAATATCATACAGAAGTTAGTATATATCAGGGGCTACCTTGGACCCCATTCAAGGAAAATGAGTTATTGAACATATTACAAGCAGCTTGTTAGGACTATGTTTCAACCCTAAGTTGGTCCCCAGGCATGGAGATTGATGATAACATTATTAAGTAAAGCTCTAGTGTTTTCTACTTTCATTTTTACCTTAATATCACCTCTAAATTTAATTGGTATTTCAAAAGAGAATATAGTTTGAATTTGAACATTTTGTATCTAAAGGTGAGTGTAAGGATGAGTTTGAAGGTGATATGAAGTTGTCAAAAGTCATAAAGCTGCTACTAATTTCAAGATAAAAATAAATTGCGTTACTGAAGGAAAAGCTTAGTTAATACAACAGGGAATATAATAACGAGTTCACCTAATATAGTCCCTAAAAGTGAAGAGAAGGTTTTAGTCAAAGGAACTTAGAGAAGATGGAATCTGTTTGTAACAAAACACTCTAGGGATACAGAGTAAGTAAAAATAGAGGTTTGTCCTTCACTCATTTCTATCCTCAATGGCTCATTTCTGAGCTTCTTCTGAATTATCATCCTGCAGGCTCACTGAAGAATTAGGAAAGATGCAAATGTATACTATGTCCATCCATCATATTGTCTATGATACTTTAGTGATCAATAATATCAATACACACAATTTCAATGTTAACATTTCCTCAAAAATGATAATTTGAAGCATACTTAATACCATGATGTGTACCTAACCTTACAGATGTCTGGACTTGGTCTACCATAAACAATTGTGATTATGCTCAGGTGACCTCTTAACATCTTAAGCTAATTGACCCAGCCAGAGGACACCTGCTTCATGCATATGATTTGCTGCTACTGAGCTTCACATAGCAAAAGCAACAGCGAAAAGGGAGTTGCAGAGAAATATTTAAAATGTGGTGCAAATATTAAGATTTAAGAGATTGTTATAAAACTCATATATGGGGAATTGGTTAGTTATGCACTTCAGTCATGCCAATTTAAAAGCTTGTTATAAGAATAAAAGAAGAGAATGAATTAAACAGGCAGATATAGAATTAGATATTTTAAATAGAATAGAGGCTTAGGGTAAAATAGATATCAATAAAATAAAAGTAAAAAATGACCACTGGTAAAAGAGTAACAGTAGCTTATTTCCCTCTTGATTTTCTTGGATAATTAAAACACACTGTAATTCCCAGCTTTTCTTTTTAGGAAGATCACAGGTAATCCTACAAAGCGTCTTATCTATTATTTGATTATTTTGATAATATGTAATTATTACATTTGACTGGCCTTTTAATTTATTTAGTAACAATGCTTATAAATGTTATCAGAAGAATATATTCTTTTAATTTTGCATATAATCAGTCTTCAACTCAGAAAAAATCTGTGATACAGTAAGTATATATAGATATGTGAAATATGAAGAGAATCCACATATATAGATATGGAATATGATAAGTCAAGGCCACTTTATCTATAAAACTCCCCTTTGAGTTGATTTGAGTTTATCGGTTTCAACAGTTAATAGGCTCCAGTGCCTGCTGCTAACATTCAAGGGGCCTTATTTTTGTAAATGTCAGTGTTTGGATTCTTTCCATGGTGAGTGGCACATAAAGTTAATTGATACATTGATGTAATTTTTTGGCACTCCAAAGAAGAAAGCCCCCAAATCAGCCTTATGCCACATTTTCTGAATATACAAAAGAGATGGACAGAGGAAATGTCAGGAGTATATTGTTGTTTTAAATGACATTTAAACTCCATTTCAAACAGAGTAATATTAAGAATATTTAAACACCCAAAAATATAAGAAAACTGAAATGTCAGAAGAATACTATAAAGAAAGAAAAGCACGTAAGTGCCAGAAAACAAATACATAAAACCAAATCTGCATTTCTAAAATAAATTTTAGCATATGATTCTCAAACTTGATGATGTATGGGAACAAAGAGCATTATTTATTTAAAATGGAGATTGCAGGCATTACTATGAGAGATTCTGATTCAGCAGGCCTGAGGAGGGACCTAGAAATAGGCATGTTTAATTACCTCTCCAAGATGCTCTGATGCAATTGATCCTTAGTACACTTTGGAAAATGCAATTTTAACATGTGAATATTTATAGAGCCAAATAAGAGAGAATATAAATTACTGTCCCTGAATTTTAAATTGTTTTAAGAAAATATATTTAATAAAAAAGAAGAGTATTTATTATATGACACAAAGGATCAAATCATAGAAGGTAATTTTACAGACAAAGATATTCAACTGAAAATGCATAGATTTAAGACCCTATACACATATATCTACATCCCATAAGAATATTTTATTCCAATTCTAGTCTTACTTATAGGTTCTCCAAATTCAGAGGAGAACCCTGATTGAACTAAAATGCCTATTAACCTACAAAGCATTGACATTTCCTAAAACAGCATGGATTGCTAGAAAACTTACAAAACTTTAAAAAAGTAGACAAAGGAATAAGCCTCTTTCAAATATAGTCAGTGCAGAAAATACTCAGGCTGGTGACTGAGTGCAAGTGGAAACCAGCAAAGTAACTGAAACATTAAGTTATGATTTTGCTTTGTGGAGCATGTGTCTAGATTGTGATCTTGACATTTGTGTTCTCCTATCTTCTAGAAGTAGAGGGGTTCAAAGCCCATGGCTCATACCATGTGTGTATTCTAATAGGAGAACCTTTCCTGTCCATGAACCTGCACCTAAGGGGGTAAATAATTAGCATCAAGGGAAATGAAAAATAACCCCCTGCCCAGAAGACTGCAAGAAAAATACTCTATATCATATGTTGGAATTAAACAGGAATAAGGTTGGAAACGTACCCTAGTAATTCATAGTTATAAGCCAGACCTCACCAACAGTTGCAGCCTACTGTCCGTAATTCATAATTTTGAGGCTTACTCAAAAACCTCAAAATAGTATTTAGTTTAGAGTAGACTCAGACTGGTAGTGCTTCAAAAACAAATACACTCACTCCTGAGAAATCTGGTTTATATAAACAAACAAATCACAAAACACACAAGGTAAACAAGATGTCATAAGCAAAAGCCAGTAGAAGTTCCAAACAGCAGATTTAGACCCATAAAATGTTCGCTTATTAAAATTATCAGCCACAGAATGTTAAATAAGTATACTAAAATGTCTCAAAAAGTCAAAAAGAAAAAATCAAGGGAAGAACTTTCAATATAAATGTGTAATAAAGAAAATGAAAAATTTAGCTGATAAGTTGAACTGTAGTTTAGACACACCTAAGGAAAAAACAGGTGACTTAGAAAACAGTAAAATATTTATGTATATAAAAATTTGATTCCTGAGACAAAAGGCAATAAAAACATGCAAGAGAAGTTTAGAGACTTTGAAGATAAGGTGGAAAAGTATAACATACTTCTTGCTAAAGTTTCAGAAGAAGAGGAAGAGACAGAAAATGACTGAAGCAACATTTAAAGAGATAATGGCTAAACTTTTTCAGACTTATTGAAAAGACGTCAATCAATTTATTCCAGAAATCTAGTGAAATACAAGAAAGATTCATAAGAAGAAATGTAAACCTAGGCATATTTTAGTGAAACTGCAAGATACTAAAGACAAAGAGAAGATCATGAATGTAGTCAGAGAGAAAAGACAGATTAACTTCATACAAGCAAGAGTTAGGATATCCCCTGAATTGTCATCAGAAACAACAGACCAAAGAAGATGATAATATATAATAATATATTCATTATGCATAGTGAAAAAGCACCCCCAAACTTCTCGATCTAAAATTCGATTTTTTTAAAGTATTGAGATGAAATAAAGAATTCCAAACAAAAACTGAGAAAGTGTAAGTTTACTACCTGCACACCCTCAACAAGGCTAATTTTAAAGGCACATATGAGCATGTGTGTGTATATAATAGTATATATCATATGTATTATATATTATATAAAATGTATTTTGTATATATATATAGATATATATATCAATGCACACAAAATATATGTATATGTATATAGGCATACATGTATATATATATGTATATAGGTGTATATATATATATATATATATATATATATATATATATATACCCTCAATACATATATGCACATAGACACCCATACAGACAGAGAGAAGATATAAAAGCTAACAACTATAAGTCTGGGAAGGGTAAGTGGGAGTTCTTTATATTATTCTTCTTTTCTATAGATTTAAAATTATCTTAAAATATTAAAAACAAAATAATAAAAATGATAGTAGAACTTTCCCATATGTTTAGAAATTAAGAAATCTATTTCTAAATTACTCATAGTCAAAAAAGAAATTATAATGGGATTTAGAAAAAATGAGAAATGAACAAAAACGAAATAGCCAAATTTCATTACCGATTTACCCAAACTTGTAGAATGCAGTTGAAAAATACTTAGAGGAAAATTTAAAGTCATAAATGCTTATATTAGAAAAGAAGACTAAGAATTAATAAATAAAACATGCATTTTTAAGAAGTTACAAAAATAACAACAAAATAAGAGAGAAACACAGACAATAAAGAGCAGAAGTAAAATAAAAATGAAAACAAAAGGAGAGAATCAATAAAGCCAACAATTTTTTCACTGAAAAGCCTAATGAAATTGCCAAACTCCTAGCAATTTTTCAGGATAAAAAGAAAAAGAAAGAGAAAAGAAATAACATTAAAATTTTAAAAATAAGAATGCTATAAATATTAGATTCACACGAATACATTTTTGTCAATAAATTTGAAAACTCATGAAATGAACAAATTCCTAAAGTATAACTTATCAAACTAACTTGAGAAAGAATAGAAACTCTTAATATTGTCAAGCTTCTAAAAAATTTCATCTGTTCCTGTCAATAAAACTCCAGGCCTAGTCTTTTTTACAAGTTTGGTCTACCATACATTTAAATAACAAATAGCTCCTATTCTATACTAGCTATTCCAGAATGTAAAAAAGAAGAGAAAGTCTCAAACCCATTTTATGAAGTCAGCAAATTCCAGATGCCCAAACTCGACAAAAAAGTATATTAACACATCAATTCTTTTGAAGTGAGCAAATTCTAGATGCCAAAACATGGCAAAAAAGCGTATTACCAGATCAATTTCATTCATGAATGTAGGCGAGAAGATCCTAAATCAAATATTGGTGCAGGAGATCCAGTAACATATAGAAATGTAATTCTTACAACAAAGTGCAGTTGTTTTAGAAATGCAAATCTGCTAGAGGCTTCTAAGGTTTTCTTTCTCTTTTCTTTCTTTCTTTCTTTCTTTTTTTTTTTTTGAGATGGAGTCTTGCTCTGTTGCCCAGGCTGCAGTTGCAGTGGCGCGATCTCTGCTCATTGCAAGCTCCGCCTCCTGGGTTCAAGTGATTCTCCTGCCTCAGACTTCTGAGTCACTGGGATTACAGGCGTGCACCACAACGCCCAGGTAATTTTTGTATTTTTAGTAGAGACAGGGTTTCACCATGTTGGTCAGGCTGGTCTCAAACTCTTGACCTCGTGATCTGCCTGCCTCGGACTCCCAAAATCCTGGGATTATAGGCGTGAGCCACCATGCTTGTCCCTAAGGTTTTCTTATACTGGTTTCCCCACTCCTGGCCACATGGTAGACTTTCATTTTCCCCACTTCCATATAAGGAGTTCTGGCAAAACAGCTGTGGGCAGAAGTGTTATGAGCCACTTTTGGGCTAGAACACTCAATTGCCACAGAAAGATCTTTCTTTTGATCATCTGCTCCTATGCGATGATGAACGTGGAGGCATGTGTATCAAGGTGGTTTGTCCATCAGCTCAGATCCTGGAATGACTAAAATAAGCATAGGTCCCTTGCTGAAACCTGTTGGACATGCAGCAATGATTGCTTTAATTGAAATGGTGATGATCAAATGCAGCACAGTCTAGCAATTAATGACAGTTCCACATGGTTGATTTAACATTGGAAAATCGAATGTAATTCAACACATCCATAGTTAAAGAGAAAAAAATAAACTTAATAAATGTGAAAAAAGCCTGTGATAAAATGTAATATTCATTCATAATGAAAAAAACTCTTATAAACTAGGAATAGAAGTATTTTGAAAAAGGACAATATGATGCAAAACAGTAAAACATTTAAAATATTCTGAGATCACTCTAAGAGTGGCTCTCAATACCACTTCCATTCAATATTATGTTAGAGACCATAGACAGTCTGCTAAGACAAGAAAGAAAAACTAGTTTAAAAATTGGGGAGGAAAAAATAAACTTTCTATTTAAAAAAAATGATATGATAGTCTACATGTCTTCAAATATGAAGATAAACCATTAGTATTAATAAGAAATGTAAGTACATTTGCAAGAAAGTGATTATTTAAAACTATTTGCATTTTCTGTTCTTCTGAACAGAAGATAAATTTAAAATACACTATTCACAATAGCATCAACAATTTAGTTCTTAAGAATAATAAAATGTGAGCAAGACTGTTACAGAAAAATCATAAAACTTTATTAACAGATATTAAAATAAATAAAAAAGATGAACCATATTCATGGATTAGTAAACTCAGTATTTTAAAGGTATCAATTTTCCTTCAGATTGAACTATGGATTTAGTGTAACCTACCCTCCCCCAAAGAAGAACGTTTATTAAATTTTATAACTTGACACATTAATTCTGAAATACATACGGAAGTGCAAAATCCCAGGAATATCCAAGAAATTGTTCAGAAGAACAGTATGGGAGGGCACTGGCTTTATCAGTGAGGCTAAAGTTATTAAGGCACGGTGATATTGGCATAAGCTGACTAATGAAATAGAGTAGTATCCAAGAAACTGAGTTACGCATGTGTAGCTGAACAAGCGATAAATGTCAAGGTGGTATTGGAAATCAATGAGGAAAGGATGAACTTTTAATAAATGATACCATGATCAGTCATTCATATGAAAAAAGAAATTGAACCCATCCCTCATACACAACATGCAAAATCCAATTCCAGGTTAATGAAAGACCCAAATGTATTATTTAAAAAATATATTATTTAAGAAGTTTAAATGCTGTGATGCATTACACAAGGCCATGAACTGGAGGTAGGGGTGGAGAGTGGTGTCTGTATATGAAATTAGAAATGGCTATAATTTCATTTTAAAAACAGACTAGTATCTCAAATAATTCAGTAAGAATATGAGTATTTTGACTAGAATTCCTATTACCCAGAGAATTTATAAAGGGGAAGTTGTGTGTGTGTGTGTGTGTGTGTGTGCATGTGTGTATGAAAACAGTGTATAGCAAACATGATCAGAATGGTATTGGAAAAGATTCTGGGGAGAGAATGATTGATGAGAGTCACTTTTGTCCTCAAGGAGCTCGCAGTCCATCAGGTAGTACCCATAGGACTTAGGCTGCAATGAGCAGAGATGTCCACCACTCATATCCTCCCCACTGTCAAAAACTGTACAGAATAGGGAGACAGGCAAACGTAGTTACCAAGGTCAAAATGACCAAGGGTTTGGGATCACCTAGAATAGATTCCTGAAAGTAGAACCTCTTTGGAAGAAAAAAAAATGTTCCCACTGTTGCATTCTTAATCAGACAATTAACCAAATGTAATTACTGGCTACTGAATAAGATAACTTGTAGTATTTATGTCAATTACATGCACATCTTTTTAATTCTTTTAATTATGTACCTTAATGGTCTTACTGCCGATAACTAAAAAACACCAAGGTTTGGTAAACATGCAAGCCTCATCACGTTCTTCATTAAATAACTGGAGTATTAGATCATTAGACCTGTCAGATTTTAGCTGAATATGCAATAGATTCTCCTGAATCACAGGAAAACGTCTTTGACTCATACCAAGCAACCTGGAAATGATTACATTGGTCGCCAAGAGTGGTTGACTTTGCTCATCACTTGCGGTAAGTTGTCTTTTTGTGATCACTCAAGCCTCATTATTCATGTAATTACTGTGATCATTATGACACTAATGACTGTTGAAGTCTAAATGTGTGAAATTAACTCACTAACAAGTGTAAATATGTGTCCATGAAGGGCCAATATATAAACTGGAAAATGAAACTTTGGTATTCTGCTCAAAATGAGAAATTAGCACCAACATTAGAATATCAATAGGGTATATGAATGTTTTGTGAATGTAACCATAGGTTGACCATGGTTAGATAAATTTAGTTATTAATAAAATTAATCCATATGGGAGTGAATACTCAGAGTACATATAACCCTTCTCTAACAGACCGAATTTGAAAATCTAGTTCAGTTTCTTGAGGCCAAAATAAATTAATTCATAAAGGTGACCTAATGGTGGACACATTTTAGAATTTGAGGGTGACCTGGCTTTGACAAGCCACCCCACGGATCACTAGTGTTTTTTCAACTGATCTTACTGGCTTGTTGGGTGCCCCCTTCCCCTCCACACTTCTGTGTCTGTCCTTCCTGAGGCAGAATGCTCAGTCAAAAAGGACATTTAAAAAAATATATTACAGAACTCCTCATGTTGATTTCTGTTTAGATAATGATCAAATTACTAGTTTTTCTGAACCTACTAGGATGGAAAAAAATGGCACTTGAAAATTAACAACAGGAATAAGACATCCTTTTCTTTAGAGCTCCTATTTTTAGTAATCTACTCCTAGACCAACCCCCAAATCTGTCCCCAACAGGTTGGCTGTAGAATAGTGTGAGGCCGTTGTTCTCCAATCAAAAGGATAAACACGTGCCTGACTTTCCATCTCTTGAAGAGCGGTTGGTGTACGAACGCATGACAGGATCACTCTCAGGTTGGCTAGGAGGCCAACGCTTCCTTCCCCGCTTCCCCCGCCCCATGCCCAGGCTGAGGGCAGGAACTTGAGTTTGTCCTGGTGAGGTGGGATCCCAGGTGCAGGTGCATACCAGCTGGAGGCTGCTCGTATGCCAGTTGGCGCCTATGAGCCCAGACACACACTTGCTGTGATTCTGAGCCTTCCTGCAGCCCAGCTCCCTTATGCGGTAAGCCCCCTGGAATACTGGTGATTAAGCCCATATTTTAAAATGGTTTGTGACTGACAGGACAGGAAAACAATGCATTTGAAATAGCAGCATAAGACTTCCTTACAGATTTAGTTGAATAAGTTGGGCATCTCTCTTTAGTGTAAAACAAACAAACATGACACAAAATGTGTTGTTGAAAATGCCATATGTCTGAGTTGGAGAATAAAAGGTTTCATTCAATAAGAAGTTGTCAAGCAACCACCAAGAGTGAGGCAATAGGGACAAATGCTATGGGCCAAAAAAATCCCCTTCCATTCTTTCTTCATTTCTTTTTTTTTTTTTAGCAAATTTATTTTTTCTCGTAAGTCTCATTTTCCTCCTGCTGCATGTATGAATCTAAAATGCACGTCAATGGAGAATACAATTGGTCTTTTCCTTAAAACATCCAAAACTGACTTAAAATAAAAAGCCACACTTTAACATTCTCCAAGTTGGAGTTGCCTTAATTAATGAGTCAAATTTTGAAAGCAAGATTTAATAAGTTCTCAACTAAGTGCCAGGTGCTGTGTTAGGAACCAGGTAGACAGAAATGATAGCAGGACACCCCTTGTCCTTGAGAAGCCAACAGGCTACAGAGAAAAGAGACATATTACCGAGTAATTCCAATCTCATTTAATACACGGGTCAGTGCAAGTTGTTAAGAACGTGACTAATTATGTCAAGGAGAACAAAAAA
The DNA here is from genome assembly GCF_000001405.40 of Homo sapiens. Taxonomy (NCBI): domain Eukaryota; kingdom Metazoa; phylum Chordata; class Mammalia; order Primates; family Hominidae; genus Homo; species Homo sapiens. The sequence continues at coordinate 181,833,721 of NC_000004.12, read as the reverse complement.
AAAAAGTTTCCAGAGAAGAAGTAGATAGGCATAGAGGAACAGCAGAGAGCAGAATGAAATGCAGGAAGGTCTAAAAGCAGGGTCTTCTCCCCCTCAGTTAAAGGTGTGAATTTGTCATGACTGAATGTCAAAGAAGTGGAGTAGGAGAGGTGGGGCCATATTTGAATGGCCTGAGTAGCCTTGGAAATGAGTTTGGATTTTATCCTGAAGACAGCTAGAAACTAATCAGAGGTTTTAAGCATGGCAGCGACATGCTCCCCTGCCCCCCTGTTTTAGTTAGATAACTCAGCATTTTCCAGATAACATGGAGAGGTTGGAGGCAGAGTACAGTAAGGAAGCTACTGTGATAGCCCCGTGGACAGTAAGTGGTAGCCTGAGTTAAAGCTGTGACTGTATGGATGAAGAGGATGAGAGGATGAGGAGGGTAGAGATTTGACAGCTGGAATGAACCGGGCTAGTGATAACTCACTTGAGATTTGAGGATCAGGAGAGGGAAGGAGATGCCAGCGCCAGTGATCTCTGATAGCCTCTCCTGGAATTATCACCTCTGTTGTCGGGAAGTTTATTCTTATACCAATATAAGAATATTGGTATAAGATTTCCCTTCTCTAGATTACGCATTCTCAGTTCTTTCAGACCTCCTCTAGATTACACAATCTCAGTTCTTTCAGACCTAGAATATGTTACTGAGTTTGTTTTGTTCTGTGTTTCTCAATTATTTTTTGCTTGCTCACATCTGTTTTTCCAATGTCCAGGTCACACTCAGGGTGATTGTGTCCACCACTAGTTTGGTAAAGATTCCTCATCTTCTGGAGCACGGTCCTTCCATGCTTGAGTGAATGTTGTTGGTTATCCACGGGGTTCATTTCACTCTCTTCAGGCACTGGGCTGCCCCCCACACAACCCGCTCATCTCAAGGAATGCCACCCCGTTCCTGCTAATCCTCGACCAGCCCCAAGGCGGTTCAATTGATTTAAAAGTAATTCCATCCCAATAGCGAGTGACTCGTCAGGATCCAAGAATGTGAGGAAAGGTTTCCTAGGAGAATCTTGGAAAGTTTATCTTTCCTTTCTCCTCTGCAAGAAATAGCTGAAGCAAGTCTCTTAGCGTATCTATAGACGGTAGATACTTCCTAGCCATAGAAGCAGATGTGTCATAGATATTTAGCCTGGAAATAGCCAGCTGCTGGTTTATGGAGGTGGAGAGAGCTAAGAGGATTGCAGAAAAATGGATCCAGTTACTAGGCTAATAGAACACTGAAACCCCGTCCTTCCTCCCGTGTTGCCATTTTGGCGAGCCCGTTTTCTTATGCTTTAAGCTAGTTAGAATTAGGTTCTGTAGCAGGGAAACAAAAGAAACCCAGCTGTTGCATATTGTAATCTTATTAACACACGCTGAAGTCAGATTTGCTTTTAAAAAAATTGGCCACATTGCAAGTCTCCTATTTCATTGTTTCAGGTCTTTTTCCGATATATTTTAATCTGCCTTGTACGCAGCTCTTGGGGACCCACTGTGGAGAACATAAACACATTGGAAAACCGTGGTCTCCACTCTGAGTTCATAATGTGGTATGGCAGACACGAAACACATTGTGCACTTCAGTAATTTCCTCCCATATAATTACCTATGGCTTCCTATTGTTCCTCCGAATTTCTCCATACCGTGAATGACCTGAGGGCAGGAGCTGGGTCTTTTACATTTTATACACACACACACACACACACACACACACACACACACACACACACACACAATGTAATATATATATATTACTGTATAGATGTATATTCCCTGATGCTTCATGCAGGGTTGACACAGAGTGTGCTGAATTAACTCTGGGATCTTTTTGGACTCTTAGTGTATTGCTCCTAGTAAATTCCTTTTCACCCATGGTAATATCATCTTAATAGTCCATATTTTGTCTGTTGTGTAACTGATTACATATTAGCTGGTTTCAACACAAGCAATACTGCTTGATTGGTTCAATCACTCCTGCAGAATCTGTTCTCTACAAAGCTTTGTTCTTTGTTAGCTAGTGTCCTGTGATTGATGTTTCTGAAATCAGATTTTTGTAACATTCCTAGTTTTTTTCAAAATGTGAAAATTAAGGTCAGTGATCTTTTAAAAAGACTAGATAGCTTATTTTAATTTTTTACAGTACACATAAAATTCCCTTATGTCCAGTCTTTTATAACTCTAAAAAATCAGGTTTTTTTTTTTTTGGCACATAGGCAATGTTAATTAAAATGATAGGTTAATGCTTTCAGGGTTAAACATCTGATAGCAACAATATTAAATAATAAACCATTTGGCTTTTCTAACTTCTGTAGCCGAAATAAAACTGGAGAAATAAGAACTCCATGACTCTCAAAGGTGGACTTATTAGAATAATACATGCAGATGACAAACTCACCTCAAAAGAGACACTGCTAATCAAGAGATTACCAAAAACAAAATTTTTTGCAATCTTTAAATGTAAGCCCAAAAAGTACAAAATTTGATCATAAAATCTTAATATTTGTGGGAAGTGAAGGATAAGAATTAAAGAATTATCTGTAAGTCATAGTAAATCTATTTTTAAACAATATACAAAATGAAAAATTGATTATTTGTCTGTGTCAATTATATTAAATTAGACAAACATTGTCATGAATTATGAAAAACCAGTTTTTTGGGGGTTGGAAAGAGAGAAAGATTTTTAAGATGATAAGATTATTTTTACTTTGATGAGGCCGGTGTCTAATTGAAATGCTACCTATGTGTATGAGAAGTTGTAGGAAAAAGTCCCCCAGAATTTAGGCACACAGTTAGGGAAGAGTCATTCTGAAACTGAAAATAGTAAAAACTTCAGTCAGCGTAGATAAGCTTAACATTACAGGAGCGACCTACACTCAGGAAACTTGGTGACGGGATCAAGCTGGACAGGAGACTCTCCAGGACTATCAAGTGGTTAAAGATTTCAGTCCATCTGGGAAGGGCAAACTAATTAAACAGTGTTAGGTGTTACTGTGTGGCAGGCACACAGCAAGGCAATTTATATAACATAATATAACCCAATCTTTGTCTCTTTACTCTGAGGGATGTTATTTCCCCTAGTTTACAGGTGAGAAAACTGAGGCTAGAGAGACCGAGCAGAAGAAGCAAGCTGGGGCAGGGCACAGTGGCTTATGCCTGTACTCTCAGCACCTTGGGAGGCTGAAGTGGGTGGATCGCCTGAGGTCAGGAATTTGAGACCAGCCTGACCAACATGGTGAAACCCCATCTCTACTAAAAATACTAAAAAAATTAGCTGGGCATGATGGCACATACCTGTAATCCCAAGCTACTTGGGAGGCTGAGGCAGGAGAATCACTTGAACCCGGGATGGGGAGGTGGCAGTGAGCAGAGATTGTGCCATTGCACTCCAGCCTGGGTGACAGAGCAAGACTCTGCTCAAAAACAAACAAACAAACAAAAAAACAAAAAAAGCAGCAGCAGCAAGCAGGATGCAACAATTCTTGTAGAAAATATCTACAGTGAAAATTCCCTCCACCTAAACGTAGCACTCTTGAAAAGCTCACACAGAAAGCTTTCTATGAAGACTCAGGTGCTCTTCCACATTTTTCCATCACATCCTCTGCTTCCACTGGGTGGAGAACTTGTCACCCAGTGTCTGAATTACTAGTGTGCTTTTCTCTCTCCTGCTAGATCCTTGAAGGACAGCACTGTGCCTTGGTCTCCAGGGACCCCAGAAGCACACCTCGAGACCATGACTCAAGAGCAAGTACTTAATTTGGAAGGTGAAGGAACTGCTGGTAGGTAAGTGGGGACGTGAGCTAAAGGAGAGAACGTAACCATGAGCAGGCAAATAACCAAACCAGCTCCCACCATGGGGACTGAGCTTCCTCACTCTGGGGAAACTCAGGGGCTGGTGCAGAACCTGAGAGTTAGTCATCTCCCACTCCCATCAGCACTGCTGGAGGCTTGCTCCTGTGGGGTGGGCAATGTAGGGGCTGGCACTGGGACATGGGAGGACTGAATGGGAAGGGGATGGGATAGAGCGGTTCAGCAGCATCTGCTACACTTTCCTCCCTACCTCGCCTGGAGCCTATTGGGCAGCATCTAGGCAAGAATCATTTGTTGAGTGAGACTGTCCTTTTCATTTACCAATCAATATTATGAGCATCTGTGTAGAGTGAGTTCGTTCTCCTAAACCTGATCAACTTTAGGCCGATTGACTACATTGAGTTTCTACACATATGAAGTTCAGGACCAAACCCCAAACTATTGCAATTTTACCAATGAACTGTCTGAAGTCAACAGCAGGTCATCCCCTTTAACACATATTTAGCCCCATCAATATATCTCTTTATTCCTATCCAGGTATCAGCACCTAGCAAATACAACATTTTAGACAGAAACATCATTATAGTTGCTGCACTTCCTGAAACACTGTAAAATCTAGAAAACAGGAACATTTCAGAAGTTCTGAATATAACTGAGAAGCATCCAGTGTGGCTGTTTGTTAACAGTGATAGTGTCAGATGTAAAGACAGAAATAATTCACTCTTTCGTGATCTAATTTTAGTGAACAATTTAAGGTGAAGCAAAAAGTCACCACATGAATTCAAAGACCCTGTTTAAGAGAAGGCCTGTGTGCGTGTGATTTAAAGTACTGTCTCCCCTATGTCTGTGAGATGAATGAGAGCAGTGCAACGGGTCCATGTCACCTTGGCTGGGGTGGTGACGGCACCTCAATGCACACAGGGTAGCAAGTGTGTCACCAGAGGGGGTCCCTGACAGACAGGGTGGTATCATGGGAGGACAATGGAACTTAGAATTAGAAATCCTGGGGATGGGTGCAGTGGCTCACTCCTGTAATCCCAGCACTTTGGGAGGCCGAGATGAGTGGAACACTTGAGGTCAGGAGTTCAAGACCAGCCTGGCCAACATGGTGAAACCCCATCTCTATTAAAAATACAAAAAATTAGCCGGGTGTGGTGGCACACACCTGTAATCCCAGCTACTCAGGAGGCTGAGGCAGGAGAATCACTTGAACCTGCAAGGTGGAGGTTGCAGTGAGCTGAGATGGTGCCACTGCACTTTCTCAGTGCCTGGGCAACAGAGTGAGACCCCATCTTATAAAAAAAGAAAAAAAAGAAGAAAAAAAGAAATCCTGGGTTCAAGTGTTGTTTTGTCATTTACAGTGTGTAATCCTGGGCAAGAAACATGAACTCTTTGAGCCTTAATCTCAGCATTGATCGAATAGAATCATAATGGCTACTTCATTGGGATATTTTGAAGATTTATGCAAATAGTGGGCTTTGTAAACAGTAAAGCACTGTACAAATGCCACTAGTATTGAAAGAAAGAAGAAGGAATATTATTTGGCATCCTCCAAACCCCAGAGAAAAGCAAAGGGGCTTTTTGGTGTGGAAGCCTTTGGCCTGGGCCATCAGAGAGTCCATTCACCAGGATGGTGCCGCAGTCAGGGGCGGCAGAGGAGACGGCAACCTTGGCAGTAAGGGAAGGAGCACCTCAAAGCCCACACGTGGCAGGGGCAGCTTGGCTTCAGCTTCCCCTCCTGGAGCCAGGGCATTCATCAGGATACTATGGAAGTTTGGTTTAGTCAGAGAAAACAGCTCTGCCTTTTCTCCTCGCTCAAAAAGGGTCAAGGAAGAAACCTCAGTTCCTAGAAACCAGTTTCCAAGCAGGCAGAACTCTCTTTCTGGAAGCCAGGCTGGGGACATGAATACGGAAGATGATATCCCTTACTGAGAAGGAAGAGGAAGAGATCATTTTTTTTAATGAATTGGTTCCCACTACTGTTCCAGTCACAAGCCCTGTCTTGGCCTCTCTTGTTTTGTTTTCATACTTGAAAATGATCAACATGAAAACAGCCTGTCAGTACTTTGCAACAATGACTCTCACAGCTGCTCTGTCTATAAAAGACTGTTGCTTGGTAGGCATCGTCCTGCTCTCCTTACCTGGTTCCGACTGCCTCATACCTGGGGTGAAGCATCTGCCACAGGGTTCCTCCCTCAGCCGTGGAACCTGGTGAGCTGTGGGTCACCCACTCAGTCTCACCGAAGAACCAATGATTGAAATGATAGTCTGTTTGCAAATCGTGACTGTCAGGGAGGCAAGAGCTTCAGAAGACATTGCTTGAACTGGATTATTCTTTGTAGAGGAGGGCACATCAACAAAGAATTTGTTGCATGTGCTAAGTGGGCATTTTAGCAGAAAAGCGCTGTGCTGGTGTATGCAAATCTTTTGTGTGAGCTACTTTTAGGCTCCTCCGGTGGTACACGGAGCCACGCTGGCTTCTGGCTCTGCCGACTGCTCACGACTGTTTGCAGATAAGAACAGAGGTGAACCTGAACTCTACATAGTTTGTTTCTTCTTTGCAAATAGATGTGCCTTGAATTAACAGGGAGAGGGAAAAATCTTACAAAGTATATTATATTTCACGAATCACCAATACGGATCTTAAAGAGTTACCCCTGTCTCCCACCATCTGTTAGCACTAATCGATAGGTGTTACCAATTAGCGCTAACAGACACAATCAGTTGGGAGACTAACAACAGCTTTCCCATTTCAGGGCTTTCCTGTACATGACCTTGTTTGTTTTGTTGAATTCTGCCCCTTGGAAGGTAGGGAAAAGAGGAATTATTGCGACTCCTGCTTTATAGGACTCCCTGTCTGGTGTCACCCAGCTAGGAAATGACAGAGATGAAATCAGAGCATAGCCTCCTGGTTCTGAATTCTTGCCATTTCTGCAACACCACACTTCTTTCCTGGGAAAGAAGAGGAATATCTAAGAAAGGCTAAAATTTTCCACTTTCAGTGGGGACGAACAACAGAATTTGCAAATTTTATCTTCCCTTTAGAGCAGTGGCTCTTAACCCTGGTTGCACATTAAAATCGTCTGGGGAGCTTTTAAAGAATACCTTTGCCGGGATCTCACCCCATACCAATTAAATCCAAACCTCTGGGGGTGGCCTAGGCAGCTGTATTTTTCAAAAACTCCCTGGGTGATTCTAATGTGTAGCTAGGGTTAAGATTCGCTGCTTTACAGTAATAATCAACAAAACGCTGGTTGCCTTTTTTCCTCTTTTAAACCCCTCTGGGAATGTAGTAATGAGAAATCCTAATAGCCACTTTGCTGATGGCCTCAGAAGATAGGCCCTGGCCCTGGTGCTTAGTAGGGATTCAAATTTATCTAGAGATTGACTGACATGAGATGGGAAAGAAATGCTTTCACGCCTGGATCTGTAACAAGTGGAGCTGTCAATCCAGAAACTTTGTGAGACAAATAAATTACATCCTGATCCCGTCACACCTTTTAATTATGTTACCTTAATAGTTTTACTACTGATGACCAGAAAATTAACACTTATCATTGATAGTGCTACCAACATCTAACAATTGTTTTTCTTTGTTAAATAACTAGTGGCCACTTTTTCTCCGGCTTATTTTTTTTTAGTTATCAAATAATTACAGATAACTATTCATTTCAAGGTTAACTTAGTAATCCACTGTGAATACACATCATTCTTATGGAAATTTTATTACAAGTTATGGCTTCATAGGAATAAATATATGTAACTGGAATGCTTTTATAGTTATTTACAAAATAAACCCACTACTAACAAATTTGTGCTGGATGTTTACATAAAAAAAAGATTCACGTTCTATTAAGTTCATTGTTTTTCTTGCATGGGTCTCTTTAAAACATGCACGAGTTGGCAAGTGTTGGTCCTGCGCTAGGTTTTGGGGTCACTATTAGAATATACTCTGGAGAGTCCCCCATAAGAAATGTGACGATGCAGATATCAAAAAGCGGGAGTGAAGAAGACAGAAGGACTTTAAGGAGGAATTGGTTTTTTCATTGAGTCTGTTTAAGCCATTTCTAAATAAACAGTTTTGGTCTTGAATCTCCAAATCACCATATTCATCCAGTTCTAAGGCATATGTTCACCACATTTTATGTAAAAAATAGGAATATTTACAAATTGAATCTTTTTGTTCTTTTGAGTACACTTATGTTAACTGTGTTTTGTGATTGAGGGTATTTTACTGTCAATAGAATCTGGCATTACATTTGTGAAATTAATTTCCTTTCTGAAGTTTACCAAATATCCAAATTCCAAATTAATAATGCCTTTCCTAATCTCCTTCAGTGGGACTACAATTTGGAATACCTTCCAAATCCCTGTACTTCTATTTCTATACCAATAAAATGGTGGGAAAGACCTGATTTAGTTTTCTCTTACTAGTTTTAGAGAAAAAATATTAATGTCAACTATTCTCTGTTTTTTTTTTTTTTTTTTTTTTTTTTGAGATGGAGTCTCACTCTATCACCCAGGCTGAAGTGCAATGGTGTGATCTCGGCTCACTGCAACCTCCACCTCCCGGGTTCAAGTGATTCTCCTGCCTCAGCCTCTGGAGTAGCTGGGAGTACAGGCTCACGCCAACACAACCAGCCAATTTTTGTATTTTTAGTAGAGATGGGGTTTCACCATGTTGTCCAGGATGGTCTTGGTCTCTTGACCTCATGATCCATCTGCCTTGGCCTCCCAAAGTGCTGGGATTATCGGCGTGAGCCACCGCGTCCAGCCTGAATCTTTTAAAAATAGTTTTTAGTGCCAGTAGGACTACTGTAGTTGCTTATGCTAATGACACCTGGGAACACTTTCTAGTAGGGCCACTGCTATCATTTCTGAGAACTGAATTAAAAATGCGACAGGTAGCCCATAACTTCACACAACTATCAATGACATGGACTTGATGTGCGCAGTGACTGAGTCTGTCCTCAAATGTCAGTGAGTGCCCGGTGGTCTTAACGCATTGTAACCTGGTGGCCGGAAATACTTAATGTGCTTCCCTAAGCAATCTACTTTCCACCAGGACATGGCTAGGACACCGAGTAGAATATAGAGTCTGGTGAATTAGAAGATCATTTTTCCTTAATTTTGATTTTTTTTCCATTGTTGTAGGTGCTTTGAATATTGAGTCTGGTGAATTAGAAGATCATTTTTCCTTAATTTTGATTTTTTTCCATTGTTGTAGGTGCTTTGAATATTAAGTCTTGCCTGATCAGCAACTCATGTTGTTATGATTTAGCCATTTTTCACCTTTCCCCTTCATGTCATATAAAATGGGAAGAATATGACATTTAAGTATATATACTTTTCTGGTTTTAGACGTGGACAGTTGAGATTGTGAAATTGTTATTCTACATAGTGCTATATCACTACCAAAAAATGTTTGCTGAGAGAACTGTCTTACAATATGCATATTGGACCAGCATACTTCTAGCACTCTTAATAGATTATGTTGGTCGGGTGCAGTGACTCAAGCCTATAATCCCAACAATTTGGGAGGCCGAGGCAGGTGGATTGCTTGAGGCCAGGAGTTGGAGGCCAGCCTGGGTGACATAGAAAAACCCATCTCTTAAAAAAAAAAAAAAATTAGCCAGGTGTGGTGGTGCACACCTGTAGTTTCAGCTACCTGGGAGGCTGAGGTGGGAGGACCATTTGAACCCAAGAGGTGGAGGCTGCAGTGAGTTGTGACTGCACCACTGCACTCCAGCCTGAGTGGCAGAGTGAGACTCCATCTCAAAAAATATATAGATTATATTATTAGAAAAATATGAAAAATTCCCAGTTGCAAGTCCTTTGTAAGACTGAGCAGCATGTTCAGCAGGAACTGTAAGTGTCTTCATATATCTGTATCTTTTTAGGATGCACCAATTTTTAAAATGATGTTGTTTTCCCTGTACACAAAAGCCATCACTTCAAAAGCCTTTGATTAATTTGTGCACAATCAAGGGCATATGAGATAGCTGCCATTTAGTGAGCCAAAGCAATCCAATGCCAACTGCAGTAAACCTATCAAGCTGTCATCGAGTCAAGCTGTGAGAAAGGCAGCGACGATTACAAGCAATAGTTTCCTTCAGTGGTTTCATAATTTCAATTTGTTGTTACATTTCCAGATTTTCAATACTTATAGTAAGAATGCTTTAGTAGAGAAATATTTTCCCCAGGGGTTACTATCAACAACTTAGTGTATTGGTTTTTACCCCCATCATTGCTTCAAGTATAGAAGCTCATCAGGCAAGAAATATTGTGATTACAGTCATATATAAATTATTTAAAGGGGTTCAGCCAATCAAAACAGAGATCTAAGTGACTATTTTCCTTATTTTCCTCTTGATGCCTTTGTAACTCCTACTCAAAAAGCAAATTTCTGATTGATAGAATAGTTTTGAAGTTACTTCAAAAAGACCATTCTTTTGGATGGGAGGAGGATCTCAATATGAATGGTTCACATACTTCCACAGTAGCTCTTTCATGACAACTCTTTACAGAGGAGGAGGAGAGAGACCAAAATAACAACAAGCAGGGGAATAGGAAGTGGAGGGACACAGTGTTAGAAGGCAACGCAGGTAATTAAGGTCTATCCTGGAAAAAAAGAAGACTCATGTATTCAGAGGTTCCTCACATATCCCAGTTCTGGCTAAAGAAAGTAATCACTGTTGAATAATCTGTTACCAAAAAGTCTCATTCAATAACCAGCTTTCACTCATGCCTTCCAATGGAAGCATTTAGCACTCTGCAGATAGCCGCTATCATGCTTGACTTCGTACTCTGAATATCACCTGCAAGAAACAAAATGCTAATCGCTTCTCATCTGTCTCAATTAATCCATTCCCTGCATTTTGAGATCTTTCTTTTTCTCCCTCCGCCTTTTTTTTAGATCGTATTCTCATTGCCACATACGATTGTATGTCCACTCTTAATTAAAGCTAATAATCATAGGATAACTCATTTTAGATAGGATCTGGGGTAATATTTTTTCTACAATTTTGTAGGAGAATTAGTACAGCTCCCCTTTTATTTGCCCAAAATTAAACCTGGAAAACCTAGAACTTCCTAAGAGCTAGCAAAGATATCCTCCAAAATTGCCAATAGTGGATGCCTTATATTTGGAAATTCATTTTAAAACATTATTACCTTGTCCTCAAAGGACATTCTGCAAGTGTCATACATACTTGTCATACGTTAAGCAGTGGAGTTAAGACAGAAAGCTGAATCTCCTAACTTACAGCATTAGTGGAAAAGTGAAAAAATATACTAAATAACCATTCTGAACAATATGGAGAATGAATAGACTAGTTTGATAGATAAAGCTTTTATTTATATTTTAGTTTTTGTAAAGGGCTAGTTCAACAGATATGAGCTTTGAAATTACAAAAATGTAGGGATTACACAAATAACACTCTCTCCTTAAATAAGTCTGTTTCCTTTAAAAGCTTATAATACAGCATCCCCCACTTTTGTGACTCTTACGGCAAATACTTCACCAAAAACTCCAATCAATTATGCAGTCTCCATTACAAAGTTTGAGGATTTTAAAGTATCAAAAAGAAACAAGAGGTAATAAACTCACTATTAAAGCATTTAGCTTGGCAAGTGATTTATCTCTGTTCATTTATCTGCTTAGGGTTTTTATCTCACTGTGTGAGCAAATTTCTACTGACAAGCAATTTCTGGAGAGCAGCCAGAAGTGGGGGGGTGTGAGGGAGGGAGAAAGATCTCCTAAGATATCAAAGACCTGAAAAAAGAAACCTGATGAAGTGACATTTGTGGTTTCAAAAATAATACACCTCCTCTAGTCTCCTGTTCATTTACCAAAGAAAAGCTCTCTTGTTCTTTAGCTCCCATTATATAATGCAATGTATAGAATAATTGTGAACAAAATAATTTTCTGTATGAGATATATAAAATCATTTCGACCCAAAACAACCGAGTTAAATGATAGAAACGTGATCTATTGTTGCCTTGTACTTCCAAACATTCTCCTGTTGATACTAATCCTGTCTAACTGAGTATGAATAGAACCAAAGAATTTGCATGGCAGAGTAGCCTAAACAGAAACTAAAATGCTAGCCATGTGTGAGTCACTATTATTATTCATTCATTTGGGGTTCAAATCTTCTGAGTAATTTACACATAGTAGACCCTCAAGAGATGCATTTCATTAAAGTGACTTCTCATTGCCGTTTTCTATAAATTATTTTTAATCTTAACATGCTACCTCATTTAAGCTCTCTGTACAGCAGCTGTATAAATACCGCTCAGGCAGACTTCTTGGCAAATACAGCAAGGCTGCTACAAACAGGTAAGTTCATATATTCCACAAATGCATGTATTCATTCGACTTATAAATATTTACTCTGTGTTCACTAGCACTAAGCCCTCTGCTAGGAGCTGTGGAATTTTAAAGAATAATTAAGATGGAGTTGTGTCTTCAAGGAGTCTCATTATTGACAAAGGATTATATCGCAGGATATAAGATGAGAACTGTGACAAAACACCAAAGGGGATTCAAAGGGGGAAGAGATTGTTTCCTTCCAGTGGAATCTGGGAGGGCTTTTTTGGAGCAAGCGGCACTTCAGCTATGCCTGGACGAGAGGGCCAGGAGCGGGGAATCTGGGGATCCTAGCAGACTGAGATGCGGTGAGGAAAGCCACCAAAGCAAGAAAGCACAGAATGTGTGCAAAGACCAGAGGGAAGTCAGTTAGTCCAGCATGCAAAATGAGAAGGTGGCTATCAGGGACTTTGGTGCACTGGGGCTCTAGGCACTGCCATCCATAGTGGGCAGGAGTGGCTCTCTCTGGAATTCCTCAGAGAATATTCCACTTGAGTAACAGGCAGAACTGCCCAACCTGGAAATTGAAATAAAGATAACACCATGGCAGTCTATATTCCACTTTTCTTTAAAGTGTCAACATAGACACTTACATCTGAGCACCTTTAAAATTTAGATTGTGTCGAAGGAGGTCTAAAACTCTACAGAAGGAAGAATTTTTTAAAAGGCGATGATATAAAATACATAAGGGAAAAACATGAGCCTCTGAACCACATGTGCTGCCACTGGCATTCAAGAAAAAGCTAAACCAGTGTGGGGGAGGGTAAAGGTCCCAACCCCCTGTTCTCTATCTCTAGCACATAAGAAAGGGATATTGTTTCCTAGAACAACACCCCAAGGCCCCCATTAGAACATGAAAATATTTACAGCGGTGGTGCTTTCGCTATGGGATTGCATGTTTTCCTTGCAAATATTTAACCTATGCTTTTGTGAGCCACGGCACATGGTGTAAAGAAAACAGTACAATCAAAGCTGATGCTGAGGGGTGAAGGCTTTTTATCCCAAACTACTGTGTGTGTGTGTGTGTGTGTGTGTGTGTTTAAAGAAAATTTCTAGTTAAACGTGCCCATTATCACTAATCATTGCAACTAAGAAAATATGAAAAAGTTTCTTGTACTTAATCTACTGTGAAAATAGACACTGAAATAAAAATAGCCCAAATTATTGGAGTCTTTTGTTTCATAATTTAAGAAAAATAAAATTTCTTTTTCATCTGTTTTACCCTGTCAGCCAAAAACAAAGCGGAATTGTTCTAGGAAATAAATTACTTGAACAGCGGAGGAGACTTTGCCCTATTTGATATGGAAAGCACAGCCATGGGTATGGATATCAGAGCCTCAGAGTTAGGAGCTGCTCCAAGCCTTCTTCCCTAGATGCCTCACACCCCTCCTGGACAACTTCCAAGTATCACAGCTCTGGATGGCCACTCATCTTCTGTGTACAGACTCCAACCCAGCTGAAACCCATTTCATGAAATGTACTTTATATAAACCTAATTTATTAAAGAGTTGCATTCATTAATGGATTTTTTTTTTTTTTAGTATTACTACTCATAGAAGCTGGGAAACTGAAAAGGCAATATTGTTCCAGTTACTGTTTTTGTTGATAAAAATTTTGAGAACCACAGTTACTTCTAGATCAGGGGTCCCCAACCCCTGGGCCAGGAAATGGTACTGGTCTCCAGCCTGCTACCTACTGGGCTGCATATCAGGAGGGGAGCTGAGAGCAAGTGAGCATTAGGGCCTGAGCTCCGCCTCCTGTCAGATTAGCCGTGGCATTAGATTCTCACAGGAGTGTGAACCTTATCGTGAACTCCACATGGGAGGGATCTAAGGTCAAGTGCTCCTTATGAGAATCTAATGCCTGATGATCGGAGGTGCAACAGTTTCGTCCTGCAATCATCCCCCTGCCACCCTCCATCTGTGGAAAATTGTCTTCCATGAAACCAGTCCCTGGTGCCAAAAAGGTTGAGCACTGCTGTTCTAGGTGGCACAGGTGATTCTTTATGGAAAATTACGAACAATCCCGATGGCATGTCAATGAGATTATAGCATATCTGTTCTCCATGGTTGTGGGAATACATTAGCAAAAAACTGTCACCTCTTTGCCTGTGTTCTTTCTCCCTTTCCAGGGGTGAAATATATTGAATGACCTATTATTTTTATTACTTTTATTCTTTCTATGGAACTTCTAATTAACTTGTTTTATTTATTCATGTGGCATTGGTAATTGGATCTCGTTTTGGGTGGGACTAGGCCGATTGGGGGGGCAAAAAAACTTGAGAATGGACAGACCTGTCATTTAGAGGAGGTAGCTTGGGCAGATTCAGAGTGTAGGCACCAGAAGGCAATCCCACAGGTGTGCAGACATCAGAAGGAATCTCATGGTAGATGACAAGAGGCATAGCCAGGAAGGGAGGTAATTGGTGTCAGAGAGGTCCTTCGGGGCTCACCTTCATGGGCAAGTGAAGAGCCAGAGGCAGGTGGATGGCAATGAAGGGGAGTTCTAAATACAAATAGCTGGGACCTAACCATGGTCATGGTCTTCATGGGCAAGACTCACACATTAGTCAGGTTCAACCAGAGAAACAAGCCAGTAGGAGATATGTATTAAGAGATTTACTGGCCAGGCACAGTGGCTCATGCCTGTAATCCCAGCACTTTGGGAGGCCAAGGCGAGTGGATCACCCGAGGTCAGGAGTTTGAGACTAGCCTGGCCAAAGTGGTGAAACTCCATCTCTACTAAAAAATTTGCTGGGCATGGTGGCAGGCACCTGTAATCCTGGCTACTCAGGAGGCTGAGGCACGAGAATCACTTGAACCTGGGAGGCAGAGGTTGCAGTGAGTTGAGATCACACCACTGCACTCCAGCCTGGGTGACAATAGCTAAACTCCAAATCAAAAAAAAAAAAAAAGAGATTTACTGCACCATGCACTATGGCACACATTTACCCACGTAACAAACCTGTACATCCTGCACATGTACCGCAGAACTTAAAATAAATATAAAAATAAAAAAGAGATTTACTGCAAGGAGCTGGTGTATGTGGCAATGTAGATTGGTGAAGCAAGACCACAATCTATAGGGCGGGCCGTCAGGAAGAGAAGTTTTGAAGTTGGAATGTCTACAAGCTGAACCTGCAGTACCCAGGCAGAATTTATTCTCCAGGGAAGCCTCAATTCTGTTTTCACCGCCTTCCAACTGATTGAATCAGGCCCACTCAGATTATCAAAAATAATCTCCCGTACTTCAAGTTAACAAGTATGGACTTAATTAACATCTACAAAATACCTTCATGGTAACACCTAGAATAGAATTTGAGTGAATAACTGGGGACTATACTCAGCCAAAACTGACCATCGCAACTCATGTCTGAAGGATGAGAAAAGCAAGATGAAATATTTCAATCCCAGAAGAGTAGTACAACTAAGCTAAACTATAAAACAATGTGGGTCCCCTAGTAAGTCTTTGAGTCAAGGACAAAATGATTTGAACTAATGAATGAGGAAGAGAATTTGCTAGAAGGAAAGTCCAAAGCAGATATCAGGACCAAAGAGACCAGCAACAAACCACTACAAACACTGGACTTTGTAAAACCCCTGCCTACAGGGAGTTTTGGCCCTTGTCTAAGCCTGTTTGTGCTGCTATAACAGGATACAGCAGACTGAGTAATTTACAAAGAATCAAAATTTATTTCTTACAGTTCTAGAGGCTGGGAGGGCCAAGGCCAAGATGCTAGCAGGTTGGCGTCTGGTGAAGGTTTGGTCTCTGCTTCCAAGATGGCACCTTGAAGGTTGCATCCTCATATGGAAGAAGGCAGAAAGGCAAAAAAAGGATGAGCTCCCTCCATCAGACCCTTTTATAAGCGCGTCTAATACCATTCATGAGGGTGAGCCTTTGTAACCCGATCACTTTCCTAAGGGCACACCTCCCAATACTGTTACATTGAGGATTAAGTTTCCAAGGCATAAATTTTGGGGAACACACATTCTGACTATAGCAGCCCTTGAGTCTTCATCTCTAGGTGTGGGTTAAAAAGCACAGTCTACAAGGACCAGGAGACCTTAGGAGTAGGGCAGTAGTTCTAAACCAGAGGCAGTTTTGGTTCATCTCCCCAAGGGACATTTATCAATGTCTACAGATATTTCTGGCTATCACAAAGGTAGGGAGGTTGCTATTGGCATTCAATGGATAGCTACCAGTGATACTGAGGAAACTTCCTATAATGACCCCTGTGGCACCCACAATAAAGAATTATCCAGCTCCAAATGTTAATAGTGCTAAGGTTGAGAAGCCCTGGAGTAGAGTAATCATCATAGGTAGAAGGTGCTCAATATTCAATTTAAAGTAATCCTAAACTTTTATATAACTACTGAATATCTACAGAGCTCATGAGGAGGCAGCAGCCACAGCCCTGTGTACTCTCTGGATGCAGCATGGCATAGCGAAAGGAGCATGAATTTAGAGTGGAGTCCTGAGTTCAAAGCCAACTGTGACATACACTTTGCACGTGCAACTTGGGCAAGATGCTTAACCTTTTGCAGCCCCAGTTTACTTATCTATAAAATGAGAAACTATCTCTCATAGGATGATTAAGAGCATTAGTGATATTACCAGATATATGTTAGTTACTTTCACTTTTGTCCCCCAAAAAGTATTCGGCAAGTTATGACAATAATCTAGCCAAGAGAGGATAAGACTATAACTTAAGCAATGACATTATCGATGCATAAAAGTGATTCAAGTTTCAAAATATTTCTTAGAATCTACAAGACTTCTTGGCCTAGTGGATGGGGAAGATAGGAGGGAGAAGAGGAGCCAAGGATGAATAGAGTAGATGGGTGGCATTATCAACTGAGACAGGAAATCAGCAAAGGACCCAGTTGATGGGGGAAGATAATGACTTCATTTTTAGACATGTAATGTTGTGGGTGCCTTCAAGAAAGCCAGATGGAGGTACAGTGGTCATATTTACAGTCTGCAAACCAGTTTCATATATGTTGTTCCTTTTAAACTTTGATCCTTATAATAACCTGACGAAAGGAAGGCTTTATTATTTATAATTTTATAGATGTGAAAACTGGGCTCAGGGAGCCTAAGTAAATTACTGAAGACTGTCAAGACAGCAGGGGATAGAGTTTTCCTTTGACTCCAGTTCTTAATAATAAGATTTTAAAAAGCAAAATGTCAGGTGTGATAAGTGGCAAATGGAAAATGAGTAGAGGAATGAGGATTGATTTTTGTTGGTTTGTCTGTGAGGGGTTTACCTGCTCCTCAAAGACTGGAAGGTTGGGCAGAATGGAGCACTCAGATGGGGTCTCTGAAGATGGTACCAATCAGCCACATTGAGAAGACAGGACACAGGTTGCTGAGGCCACTATGAGTGGAAACGTCTTATAGTTTATTAACTACATGAACACAGGGGCTGAGAGAAATTTGAAACAAAAATGTTAGCAGGCATTGCCAACTCAAAAGAAAAAGTTGCAGTGATCATGCAAATCAATGGAAAGATATGAATGAACAAATTTTGATTTACCCGTAAGTTTTTAGAAACACATTTACTGAGACACATTTTAATCTCTGAACATTGATGCTCTTTCATTCCAATAGCAATATAAAGCATGCTATTCTGAGAAAGAGCTCTGAAAAGGCTGGGTTTTCACAGGTTTGTTTTTCACAGTTTTAATGTTTCTGAAGACTTACTTTTGGCCATGAGACATATATTCAAAAATGCTCTAATGAGACCAATTTGATTTTTAATTTAGATTTTCTAAATCTGAGTTCCTGAAAATCTCATCTAAGCAACCCCCACCCTCTGCTTATTTCTTGGAAAATGACAGCCTTCGGTCTCCCAGCTGTGTGATCAGTGGAGGGTCTCTTCCTACTGGTTACAGCAGCACCATCAAGACTTTCAAAGGAGATGTGGACTGTATTTTAATTAACCTCTATATTTTTCTAATATCTTCTATATTCAAGTTTCCCACATTTCGGGGGACCTATTAGACCATTTTCACTTTGTTAATGTATCATTCGTTTCCTCTACACCTTTTTTTTTTTTTTTTTGATAGGGAGTCTCACTCTGTCGCCCAGGCTGGAGTGCACTGGCATGATCTCGGCTTACTGCAACCTCTGCCTCCCAGGTTTCAAGCAATTCTTCTGCCTCAGCCTCCCAAGTAGCTGGGATTACAGGCACATGCCATCATGCCCAGATAGATTTTTTTTTTTTTTTGTATTTTTGTAGAGACGGGGTTTCACCATGTTGGCCAGGCTGGTCTCGAACTCCTGACCTCAGGTGATCCGCCCCCCTTGGCCTCCCAAAGTGCTGGGATTACAGGTGTGAGCCACCATGCCTGGCTTCCTCTACACTTTCACAGACTGCCATAGCTGCATGTTGTATTTCTTTAACATGATTTTAAACCAATCTCTTTTGCATCTCTTGTTACACTTCCTTTATTCCTAACCTTGAATAGATGTATTCTCCTTTTTCTCTTTTCCTAAATCAGGCTCTTGAGGGGTTTATCTATTTTATAGGCCTTTTTCAGATTTAATTATACTTTCTACTCTTTTTGTTTTTCATTTCATTAGCACCAATTTTTATCTTTATCCAGTCTCTCTTAGGTTCGTATTATTTGAACTTTTGTTCTTTCTAAATGTTTGAACTTTGGTTCTTTATATATTAAGTTCCTCCTCCCTCCCTCTCTTCTGCTTCTGCTCTGATTATGGATGTTGCTAGTCCCAAATGTTTGCTATGGGAATAGGGCCTAGATGTTTTGGGAAGGTCACCTCTTTGCAAATTATTTCATAATTTTCATTTGATTATGATCAGGAAAAGTTGCCTGTCAAATCTCTACTTTAAAAAATGTGTTAAGGCTTTTCTCTCCCAAATAAACTATGGATTTTTGTAATTGTTGCATGCACACACACACACACACACACACGCATTTAAAAATATATGTGTTGTAAAATTTGTCTATTTCCTATGAGGGGCTCTGCAGGTATCCATTCAGTGAAGTTTATTAACTGTATTTTCCAGCTCTTCTATGTCCTTACTTATTTTTCATCTACCCAATCTGTCCAATCTTGAAAGAGGTTTATTGAAAATGCTCACAAAGTTTGTGTTTTTGTTAAGTTCTCCTTGCATTTTTAATTGTTTAAAATTTGCTAAGGATTTTGGTCCATACTGGTTTATGGCTACTATTTTTTGTTTGTAAACTTTGTATAATAATATAATATATTGTATCTTTTTATAATGCTCTTCATCTTAAAGTCCACTAGTCATACCCATATACCATTAGTATCGCCCTTGTTGATTTGTTTTACATGTGTCTAGTACACATTGCCTTTTCCTTATTTTCAAATTTATTGCTGTTTTATATACTTGTTCTGTAAGCAGCATAAGGCCCCATTTTGTTTCTTAACCTTCTCTAAAGCCTTTAATGGGATGAGTTCTTTTATGCGTAGATAGTGTAATCATTGAAATACTTGACTTTGTTCCCTTTGTTTTCCTTTATGGTAGTATATATTTCACTACATATTTCTTCTTCATTAGTTTTTCATGTTTCATTAAGCTACTATTTTCTTCTCCCATTTTTTCTTATTAATTGAAAGTTCTGTAATTTTCTATTCCTTTGCAGTTTGCTTTCCCTTTCCCAACACTTATTCAGACACATATTTACCCACTATTATTTGAAAACAAGATGCTGACTACTTCCCTTTTCTCCTTCTACCTCCGTAAGATGAGACTCAGAGGAATACTTTGTCTTTTCCCCCGAATTTTCTTCTTTGCACTCCCCTCCCTCAGAGGCGACACTGAAACTCATTGTCCCCATTCTCAAATTACAGATTTCATTGAAAATGTGGTTAATATTTCTTTCTTACATTGAAATCCATCTCATTTCTGGACTATCCCTTACTGGTATTTTAGTCTTTTGGATCTTACTTCCTGGTCTCTTAACTTTTTCTTCATGTTTTCATTTGTGTATGCTGGATCTGGGTTTAAGATACAAACCACCTTTATTTAAGTCCACTAATTTAGATTTCAACACTGCCTTTCTCTTCCTCAAACAACCTATTGGAGATGTTTAAGGCCTACAATGCTTGTGTGCTTGACGCTTTGTTTGTTGTTGCTTTGGGCAACGTGCTTGATTGTTAACTGCCCAGATTATTCCTAAGTGCTCAGAGTTGTGGTCTAGCTCTTCCAAGGGCTCTGCTTTCCTGAACAGTTTGTGTTTGATCATTTTCTTTGGCTTCCCACTCTCTTCCCCACTCCTCTGTGCCACCCCTCCCCACAACATGAATGGGATTGCTACCCTTACAAGAGAGAACTCAAAGAGATCCCTTGCCTTTTCCATTGTGTGAGGTGACAGTGAGATGTCAATGAGGAAGCAGGGCCTCACCAGTTGCAGAATCTGCCAGTGCCTTGATCTTGGACTTGCCAGCATCCAGAACTGTGAAAAATACATTTCTGTTGTTTGTAAGCCACCCAGTCTATTTTGTAAAGGTATGTTGAAGGAGACACTAAGAGGTTATCTTCAAGAGATGGAAGGTAGACCATTCTCTTCCATAGTGGGTTGGCTGGGTGCCTCAGGAGGCAGCTATTCCCCCCAACTCAGGTATATTCAGTTTCTCCTTTCCCCGGGAGACAGGGGTTTTAGCCCTAGTAGAGGACTTCTCCTTGGGTTGTTGGGGCCAGGAAGACTATTTTTCAGTCATTTGTATACTGTGACTCTGATCATGGGTGAACCAAATTCCTCTGGATCCCTGAAATTCTGAGCCATGCTCAGTGAATGCCCAGGGTGGTATCCAACCTCTCATGTGACCACTCTGGACAAAGACCCCAGCTCAGCTGTCCTCCGAGCCAAAAATATTAATGATACTCATGTGTCTGCAAGCGCAGCATTTACTGGACGTAGGAAAGGCAGAGAAATTGGCACTCAGAGTGCACAGAAAGTGAAATATTTAAGTCCAGTCACTGTCTCCTAGAATCCTCTCAGTCTGATGCTTTTAAAAACATACACAAAAGTTGTCTTTTAAAAAGACCCTTTGGGTCGAACTCTCTATAAATAATCAGCATAACTAATTTTTCCTTTATAAGCATTGAAGTAGTATCAGAAAGTCATAAATTATCAGCCAATTTTTTTCTAAAGTTAAAAGCAGCAACTGAAAAACTAATATTTCATTCATGTTAGTTTTCTCATCCTTAGAACAATGACCTGATATTCTCAACAAATGCTCTAAGGTATTAGGAGGAAAAAAGTTTAGTTAGTGTTACTCGAGGATATTGGAAAAGAAAACAAAGTTTAGTTAGCGTTGTTACAGTTATTATGATATCTCAAAGCTTAATGAAAGCCACCAGCTCTAAAAAATTTCAGGACACTTTAAGTGAGCCAAAATATTTGGCCAGATTTGTGTCATTTTGACCTAGGCCTCTTAGTTCCTAGTGGCAAGAATGAAGAGGAAAAGAGAAACAAATTAAAAAAATGTGTTAACTCCAGCCAGATACGGTTTTTAAGAAAAGAGAAATTAACCATCATCAAAAGGCAATATTTGCCCTAAACATTAAATATTTGCGTTTAATCACACTCAATCTAGTTTTCGAAGAATGTACAAGTAATTCACAGTCTAAGTATTCACGGCAATGAAGTCCAGGGTATTCTGCAGGCCTAGTGTTGTGGTTTGGCTCTGTGTCCCCACCGAAATCTCACCTTGAATTGTAATAATCCCCAAGTGTCAAGGACAGGGCCAGGTGGAGGTAATTGAATCACGTGGGTGATTTCCCCCATTCTGTTTGTGGTAGTGAATGAGTCTCATGAGATCTGATGGTTTTATAAGTAGGAGTTCCCCTGCACAAGCTCTCTTGGCTGCCACCATGTAAGACGCCCTTTTGCTCATGCTTTGTCTTCCACCATGATTGTGAGGCCTCCCCAGCCATGTGGAACTGTGAGTCCATTAAACCTCTTTCCTTCATAAATTACCCAGTCTCAGGCATGACTTTATTAGCAGCATGAGAATAGACTAATACACCTAGTTAACTCAAAATGCATTTTCTTTACTTTGAAAGTGCTTTCAGAACTCTTGTATAAGTTTATGCCAAAATAACTTTTTGGCCAAAGTGTTGGAACCAGTGTTGGAAAGATACAGGCTTAATTACCACTTCTGTGGGCCATAATTGAGAAGAGATACATGATGGATTTTTGGATGCTGTCTGAACCAGGTATATATAACAAAAGTAACAGTAAATATATGTGAGATGTTCACAAGATACATAAATAAGAATAACTGGGAAGAGAGGTATTCAATTCTTAGGGTAGAAAAATAGCCTGTCAAGTGATCCTTTCAATTTTCAAGGCTGCTGCCTCTAAAATATTCTGTAGTGCATATTCATATGCTTATAGGAAGGACACTTGGCTTGGCAGACATATCTCTTGAATCAAAATAATTCAACCTACTCCAAATTTCTCGCTGCTTACTGCATCTCTCCATATGCTGCTTCTGCCAGCCTCCCAAAATCAACTCATCCAAATTTGGACACATTTTCTTCTATCCCCTCTTTCCTCATAACTCATCTTTCCTCTAGCAGCCTCTCTCTATATTGATATTTCCATGTAGTCACCCAGGCCAGGGAAGCTGGGATGCTACATCATCTTCCCACACTCCTTAGATCCAACCACACTGGAACGCTTGCCGCTCCCTGAACAGCCTCTGTCCCTGGCTTTGCATATACCGTTCATTTAGTCCAAGACTTCCTCAAGCAAATCTGACTTGAGGAAGTAACGTCCCTTCTTCAAGGCCCACTTCAAATGCCACTGGCATAATTCTGTCCTGTGGATCCGTGTTTACATCACTTCTTTTCTGTCTACATTTTGTTCATTGCACATGTATATATCTCTCATCAGACCATACTCTGTAGTGTTTAGGGACAGGGTTCCAAGGACAGTTTTATCTTTCAAAGTCTAAGTGCAGGGTCTTGTATGAATAACATAGTCAACAAAAACATTTGTTGATTCTAAACCTATTACAGCAGAAACATACTGCACTCACTACCCCCCAAGCAGAAATTCAGGAGCTACGAATGAGAAATCTAATAATTTTAGATTTTTTAAAACAGAGAGGAAAGGGGACTCAGATTCGTTCATTATTTACTGGGTGCCAGATGTTTCAGATAATTTGCTGGTTCCAGAAACCTGCTTGCCTGTTTCTTTTGCAGAGGATCGTACACAGCTGTCGTTGTTCTTCCCACTTCATGGCTGCAGACACTGAGGTTCAGAGGTTAAGTAACTTGCTAAAGGTCAAATAACTGGTAAGTACAAAAAGGAATTTTGAAGTCCCTTGTGTTTGGCTTTAGAGAGTGCTGCTTTTCTCCCACAGTGCACAGTCCTGGATCCCGTGCTTGTTACTTTTCATATGAATTGTCATTGCTTTTTTTTTCCCTGAGAGAAGATGATTTATTTACCTCGAGCCACCTTTGCATTAGTTTTTTATTGCTGCTATAACACATTATCACAAGCTTAGTGACTTAAAACAACACAAATGTACGCTCTTATAGTTCTGGAGGTGAGAAGTCCAAAATGAGCTTTAAGGGGCAAAAAAGAAGGTGCCAGTGAGGCTAGTGGCTTCTGGGGGCTCCGGGGAGAGTGTGTTCCCTGCCTCTTCTCCATTCCAGAGGCTGCTTGCGTTCCTGGGATCAGGGCCACATCGTCTCTGCTTCTCACATAACCTGAGCTGCCTTGGGCGTTCTTGCTTCCTGCTTATAAGGACCCTTGTGATTACAGTGGGCCGCCCAGATAATCCAGGAGACTCTTCCCTTCTCAGGATCCTTAATTTAAATACCTTTTGCCGTGCAAGGTAACATTTGTAGATTCTGGGGATTAGGACGCAGACAACTTTGCAGGTCATCATTCGGCCTTCCACACCTTCATAAGTGAAATGTGTATTGGTAAAATAAGATCTTTTCTTCAGCATAGTAGCACAGGAAGCTAATTGGTGGATAATGAAGTTGAATCAGGGATGTCCAACTCCGTAAGTAGGTCAGGGCAATACACGATCGAACCAACGAGCCACAAACAGAGACACCTGTTTATACAAACACCCGAACCGTGGATAATTGTGATAATTATATGTAAGCACTTATTGGCTCTAAAAAATTCAAAATATACTTGACGTTACTCATGGCCTATGGTCAAAAAGCCCCAGAGCCATTATATTTTAAAAACGAAATTTATGTTCTTCACTCCACTCTGCTGTGCAGTGGTCCTTTTTGAATTTGAATAAATACCCTGTGGTCAAAATTCCCCACAGAAATGCTCACTTTCCTTATAAGTATATGTTTGTTTCCAGCCCATCTGAATGGGAAGTGGCTCTCTTTAACTTCTTTCTTTGTGAGCTTCTTCAAGTGAACTAATCATTGAAGCCACTCCTGTGATCAACTGGCAGTTAAAAGACTCAAATGTCAAGATGTTTTTATCAGCCACATCAACAGTAACTTCCAGATTGAGTATTTTTCTCTCCGGTGTATGTCAAATATTTGGCGTGGCTTTTGTACCCCCGCTTGCAAAACAGAAATTGCTTACATGCTAATAGGAACTTCCTTGTCCAATTGTTAACACATCTCATCTAGAATACCCTTCACCTGTTAGTGAAAAAGATGATGGGACGTATTGTCCTGTAGCTGTTGAATGCCCTTTAGCCCTGAGAAGCAAGTATACCTCCTTGTGTGTACCCAGTATGTGATCGTAATAGAATTCCATTTTGTGGTTTGTGGAAAAAAAGTGTTTTAGAGCCAACCCACGTGTGTTTTCAAATTTCATACCAATATACATTCAACTTCCGAGCTGCTCACTTGCTCGCTGGCTTGTATCCCATTTTCACATGCAATTTCTTTATGAATTGAAGGGAATATGTAGGCAGGCATCTAGCTGTTTAAGAAAATAAATTTCTGTATTTCGAGCATGTGCCTTGCTGTAGATGCAAGACAAAATAGATAGGTAGACATCTCGGATTGCCAGTGAGGTTTTATTTTTAAAGATAGATTACAGAAAGTATCCTTCTCCAGGCTGCCCAACCTGAATGCTTCTACTAGAATTTTTTTCCTATTTAAATATTGCTCTGCTCCTCAATCAGTAATATAATGACCTATCTGAAAATGCCATATGTCATCAAACTATTTGGCAGCAAAAACCTATTTGAGACCCATTATTTAGTGACAGCAGTGTCTACTCGAATAAATAAACTTCATTATCTATATGCTCCAATCCATGAACATCTGTGAATGAAGAGATATAGCATATTGATTTTGCTATGGTACCTCGCTGCAATGTAGGTGGCATGACATCCGCTTACAATTTCAATGACCAGCCGCAGTTTAGAAATAAAAAATGGTTATCTGGAAACCTCTCAAACCAACAGAAGTGTAATCAATTTTTTATCTGTGGTTAGGCACTGGAAGGCAGTGGTGGATTTTCTATCCTCAGTGTTCTCATCCTTTTGTTAAAATATTTAGGGAGCTCCCATGGGAAATGCTACACCTAGATTGAAACTGTTTACATCAGGAAGTGAAAAATCTGCCCTTTGTATCTTGTTAGCCACAAATACATCCTTGTCTCATGGAGTCACTTCCCCTAGAGGATTATGGGATATAGTTCTCCTCTAGTTTCTGAATATCCTTCTACTGAATGGCTGAAGCCACAGGGACTCACTACAACCTTGATTATTATTTAAATTCAGCATACAATTTCACATCATGTAACTTTAACTCCCATTTAGGTGGGAACATACTAATTTGACATCTAGAAGTATTCCCAATAATGTTCTTTTGATGATTATGAAAGAAAAATAATCCTATACTGGAAGATATGATAGAAATGTTCCTAGGATTGGCCAGGTGCGGTGGCTCACACCTGCAATTCCAGCACTTTGGGAGGCCGAGGCAGGCGGATCACCTGAGGTCGGGAGTTCAAGACCAGACTGACCAACATGCAGAAACCCTGTCTCTACTAAAAATACAAAATTATCTGGGCATGGTGGTGCATGCCTATAATCCCAGCTACTCGGGAGGCTGAGGCAGGAGAATCACTTGAACCCGGGAGGCGGAGGTTGCGGTGAGCGGAGATTGTGCCATTGCACTCCAGCCTGGGCGACAAGAGTGAAACTCTGTCTCAAAAAGAAAAAAAGTGTTCGAAGGATTGGTAACATGTCTTAGGTAAGTAATCGTTACATTTAATACGTTATTTCTTTTTAATTTTTGTTTACTTATCCATATTTATGGAAGATACGCTATTGTTCAAACATAGTCAAAGTGATGGAAAGGTGAAGAAGTTGTGCTCTCTCCTGTTGAGGAATTTGCGATTTGTCTAGTAAGAGGAAAGATACATGCTTTCAAATAACTACAACGCAGGGTAGAAAAGAACAGATGCCATGGTAGAATTATAAATGAAAAAATATCAGGTATCTGAGACGGGAAACTTCCTAGAAAGAACAGCAACAGGAGAAGGCCTGGTGAAGGAGGAGCATTTGTGGTGAATGAAAGTTAAGAGTGACTAATTGATGGAGTATCTACACTGTGTGCCTGACAGTGATGGGCGAGACAGATACAGTTCAACCATGGAGAAAGACCTGAAATAAGACTTTACACAAAAATGAATCAGTTACAAATATGATCCATCCCTGAGGAAGGATAGGGTTTGAGGAGCCCATGGAAGCAAAGGCCCTAGTTGAAGGATTCTCCTATTACGTGGTATCTTAGTCTGTTTTGTGCTGCTATAACAGAACACGTGAAACTGGGTAATTTGTTAAGGACAGACATTTATTTCTTACAGTTCTAGAGGCCAGGGACTCCAAGATCAAGGCACGGGCAGGTCTGATGCCTGGTGAGGGCCTAGTCTCCTCTTCCGAGATGCCATCTTGAAGGCTGTGTGCCCCGAAGGGGAGGAATGCTGTTCCTCACAGGGCAGGAGGGTGGAAGAGCCAAGAAGCCCTTTTTAAAAGGCATGAAACCACCCAGGAAGGTGGCGCATTCATGGCCCAATCACCTCTTAAAGCTCTCACATCTTAATACTGTCACAACGGCAATTAAATTTCAACATGAGATTTGAAGGGAACAAACATTTGAATGTTCAACCACAGCAGGTAGTATTTAGGCCGGGGGTGGGGACAGCCAGAAGTACAAGAGACAGGTAGCACAGTCGAGGAGGAAATAAAGGGCAGAATTAAGATCCAGTCTGTCTCAAGACACAGGCGTGGGGATGACAGATGTAACTACAGTAAACGCAGCTCCTTGGGGCTTCAATGACATATGGGATTCATGAGCAGGTATAGGAATTTCTGGGCTCAGAAAGCTGAACTGAAAAGGGAAAAAGCAAACTGCGAATTATTGATTAAGTACTACGGACCACGTATTTTATCAAGTTCTTTATACATACATATTACATTTAATTTATAATGTTCTTATTTTATGGATGAGGGAAATAAAGATTTAAAAGGCTGAATGATTTCCCTAAAATGATACTGCAGGTTTGTAATGTTCACTGTTACCTGAAAATATCGGAGGATGGCTTAGGGGAGGGACTCTGAATCCGGGTGGAATACCCTTATTTTACGGGGAAAGAGATGAGAAGATACTAGGCTATTCTTCCACAGATGGAGAGCTGGACAGGCAGAGAGTCAGGATTAGAAAGTTTATGTCAATATACGTGTCATCAATACAAATTAGAGAAAGGAAATAAGGTGAGAAAAAGTTTAAATATGGAAATTTCTAACTCTTTATTGCTTCAGAATTAAGCCCCCATATTCCATCAAATTCCATAGCAGAGCTTTGCTAAGGTTCCGCTGCAAATGGGTGACACGTGCACTGAGGTATTTATCCTCTCAGCCCTCATGGTGGAGGGAACAGATTTGTTGGGAGATACACACACACACCACACACACACACACAAAAGTGCACACACGGCGTTTGTTTTTAAGGATCAGTTGAACGTTGAGAACATAGAAACTCTGAACAGAACCTCAGAACAGGAGCTAGTCTGCGGATTCTGCAAGGAAATTCTTCCCTGAGGACATGACCTTTCCGTGGGCACTTGAATGAAGGCAAAAGAATGGGGGCTCTGCGAGAAGGCTAGAGAGACTGGGAACTACAAGTAGAGTGAAGCCTGAGGCAAGGGGCTTCCACCGCAGGGAGGTAGAGGTGGCCAATGTGGTCTGCACTTTAAGAGGAGAGTCCCAAGCAGCACGTGGACGGGTCACAGGGGAGACTGGAGCGGGTGGAGTGGTGGTAACGGTTTTGCGTGAAGGTTAAAGGATTTGGGTTTTCATCCTAATAGGAATGGAAAGTCGTTGAGTCAATGAAGGTAGGTAGGTTGTTGAAGCTTTTTCTTGGGGAAGGATGTTCATATGATCAGGTTTTCATTTGCAAATAACTCTGTGGAGCAAGTGTGAGCACAGCAGAACTCTTAGGAGGCTGCTGCAGGTGCAGCTTTAGGCTGTATGACGGCAGCAGGGGCAGAGAGAAGCAGATGCTTATGAAGACCCATAGGAGGCTGGATGGAGGAGAATCAGGGGACGGGTGAGAGACAAAAATCCAGCAGAGTGAGGCAGGGAATTGGGGAGGGGTGAGAAAAGGCACCGGGAGTTTTCTCACAGGCTGCCCCGGATATAGGCATATGGTCTGACCTCCTTTTTTTCCTCCAGAAAGACAGGTTTCTGGCAATGTTGTCCAGGATGGAATCAAACTCCTGGGCTCAAGAGATGCTCCTGCCTCAGGCTCCTGAGTAGCTGGGACTACAGGTGCCTGCCACCACACCAGGCATCCACTTCTGACTTCTTTTGCCCCAAAGTTTTAGTTAAAGTGGTCTTTTTAATTCATTGTGACTACACCCAACACTCTCCACATCTCTATCCTAAATTTACTTCAACCACCTGGAATTGCCTTTCCCTCTGTATCTGCATTTCAACATCTTGTTTATTCTTAAAGTCTCAGATCAAATACCCTGCTTTTCATGAGATCATTCCTAATTTGAAGTAATTTCTCCTTCTGTGTATACCTTAACTTTAATGATCTGTGTATCTCGACACATATATTTATCACATTTTTTCTTGTGTTTATTATTTGTGTGTCTGTCTGCTTCCCCTTTAGGGCTGGATAGAGCAGATTTTATATTTTATCTGCAAACATCCACTAAAGTTATTTGCAAAAATCTACCAAAGTTTGCAAACCAGTTAGAATTGGACTGACAGTATTTTATTTTTACAATACAAATTTTGTATTATTTGTCAATTAATTCCACATAAAATCCAGATTTCTAGTTTCTCTGGGGAAACAAAGGCTTGGCCATCTTTTATTTCCCTCCCTCCCTTCTTTCCTTCCTTCTTTCCTTCCTTCCTTGGTTCCTCCCTCCCTCCCTCCCTCCCTTTCCCTCCCTCCTTCTCCTTCCTTCCTCCCTCCCTTCCTTTCTTTCTTTCTTTCCTTTCTCTTTCTCTCCTTCCTCCCTTCCTCCTTCCCTTACCCTCCCTCCCTATTTCTCCTTCCTTCCTTATCTTTCTCTTTCTTTCTTTCTTTCCTTTCTTTTTCTTTCTTTCTTTCTTTTTTTTTTTTTTGTTGAGATAATAAGTCTCAGTCAGTTGTGCAGGCTAGAATGCGGTGGCACAATAATAGCTCACTGCAGCGCTGACCTCCTGGCTCAAGCAATCCTCCCATCTCAGCCTCCCAAGTAGCTGGGACCACAGGCTCATGCCACCACACCTGGCTAATTTTTTTCATTTTTAATTTAAGGGACAAGGATCTCACTATGTTGCCCAGGCTGGTCTCAAACTCCTGGCCTCATGATTAAAGGCATGAGCCATGGTACCTAGACTCAAGCCATCTTCTGGAGTAGGTGCCTGCCCTCTGACCTCCATGCTCACTACTCCTTATTGTCTATTAATTCCCCTTACTGGCCTGGACCATGGAGGCATCTGAGTTTAAGGCACTGGTCTAGAAAGTCTTATTGAGTTTAACAAAATCTCATCAACAATAGTATGTTGAGCTCCTTAATTCAGGACTGATTGGTGAGGTCACCTCAGGTAAAATGCGTTCAATATCATTTCAAGGCCATTTCAGATTATTTGTGATGCCTTTAACTAGAATGAGGGAGGTGGGTAGATATGCATCTAATACAACAGCTCTGTCCTTAGTCTAAACTTCAATTTCCAGTATAAAGACATATAAATGTATGTGAGGAAGGAACAGAAAGCTGGATACATTCTTGATTGAATTAGCATTGCTTGCTTTGTTTGTAATTGTTTGGATATTTAGCAAGCATGGGAGGGGGAGTTGGGTTGTCACTGATGGAGATTGTGGCTGTAGACAATTGGGTCTAATTGAGTTAGTGTGGCTTACACAGTGGATATTGCTTCCTGGTTGGAATCTGGTGCAAGTGCATAAATAATCAATTTTAGTAATAGAAATGTGATGGTTAGAAATTCTAACACATACATGTAATGATGAAAAAAGGATATACCATTCTTAATCCCTTGTGCTCTAATGTTATAAAATAGCCTCTATTCTAATGATATGCTCATCCAGATGACTGAAATGTAGCATCGTTTGTTGGTAGATGAGAAAAGTAAAAATAAAACCCCCCAAATGGAGTAAAATATCAGGAGTAATCAAAGTAATTTATTTGATATTAGTGTGTATTAAGCACTTTTTCCTCCCTGCATAAAACGGAATTTAAGGTTTATAAATCACTTTTTGAATCATTGGGAATCTTGATGTTTTCTGAAAATGGAACTATAAAGAGTTGAAATGATAAAAATAGAGAGCTAAAGCACTTGACTGCTCACAAAGGTATAAACAGATAATTAAATTTGAAAGACGAAAAAAATCAACAAAATGTGAGTGCCTCACTGACAATACAGAGACCAGAGGAAAAGTGCATCAAGATAGTCTCAAAACTATATCAAAGGTTAATATATTTTTGAGTTTTTGATCACAGAAAATTTGAAATTTGCTTTCAAACTACAAACTAGTTATTTAAAAATAAATCATTCTGATTTCTGATCTAAAAGACCTATTTTTTTCTCTTCTCAGAATCCATTTCTTGGCTCTGAAAACAATGATCATGATAAGAAGTATTCTGTTACAAAGTCTTCTATGAACACAACACGTTTTATGGGCTACAGCGGATTCCATTGAGTGAAAAGTTATGGCAAAATCTTTATATCCTGTGAGGTTACATAATTCTTTCTGTAATGTCCTTGGCTGAAGACATTTATATAACTTGTCCTGCTCCAGCACCATCTCTGAGTTCATCTCCCAGGAACACAATAGCCATAATAGTACCCATTATAGCTGCTATTCTTCTCAATTGTAAAGGCACAGTGAAATCGTGGGATGAAGCTGTGCCTTGATTGGCTGTTAAACTGCGATCAATGAAAAGTATTTGTGCCATAATTTTACAACCAAGCAAGAACCGGCCATCCTGGTGGTAAATCAGCATGTACATACCATCAAAACTAAAGTGTCTCACTTGGATAACTGAACTGAATCTTCTTTAAGACAACAGGGTACAATAGAAGGTACATTTTAAAAAAAATCTGCTTGGGCATTTTTCTGTCACCTGGTTAAAAAGAAATAACATATGAACAAGGACAAAGTTCAAAAAAGAATGGTGACTTGCCTCTAAATTATAGCTTAGTTGCATCAAGTTATAAGGGAAAACCAATGCTCCTTTTAATCTAATAGGAAGTGAAAATGACAAACCTGCAGAAACCATTCTCAAGGGTCAGCAAACTTTTCCTCTAAAGGGCCAGGTAGTAAGTATTTTAGGCTTTGTGAGCCATATATGGTCATTGTTGCATATATATATATATATATATATATATATATATATATATATATATATTTTACAATTCTTTAAAAATGTAAAAACCAGGCTTACAAAAGCAAGCCATGAGCCAGCCTTAGGGCTGCAGTTTGCAGACCCCAGATTTATACGAATGCTTATAGATATGAATTTTAATAAAAGTATAACACACATCTCTTTTGATCTCCTCTACATGGCCCCCTCCACCCTCCTCGGGTTCACCACCTGGAGAAATGAGCTGGAGAGTATTCTTAGTTTTTAGACCGGTGCTTGAAAACAGTAGCCAGGGCTATGTCTGTGAAGTATGGCTGGAAAATAAATGCAGGCAATACAATAGTACTTTTCCTATTGCACACATCTATAGACTTCCTTGGTTTTGCAGAACCTGTCACTGTTCATCTCCGTCTCTCAGACGTGTAAAGAGTCTTAGAGAAAACAAGCAAACAAACAAAAAACAGAAAAAATGAGCTTCCCAAAAGTCCACAAAAAAAGCCAAGAATCCTCAGTCCCAGACACACACATACACATGACCAGATAGTGCCTAATGCCTGCTTGCCAAGCCAGCCTGTCTACCATGATAATTGCTTCCTTGTCCAAAGGAGGGCTGTTTGAAGCTGTGCTTCACTGTAACTTTGAACTATTCCTTCTACCCTCTCAGGTGCTTCCCAACTCGCCATAACACAATTACTTGGCTATCTTGCTGTTATTTTTTCTTTGCCAGCAGTTATACTGCAACAGGTATTTTTCATGTTGTTCCACTGAGTTGCCCCGTTCTGGAAATGCCATCTTGCCTTTGACATTCAAGAAATACACCGGCATTTTATTCATAGTAAGAGTAATAACAGGTTACAGTTAGTAAGTACCTGTTCTAGCCTAGGTACTGTTCTCAGTGCTTAATATAAATAACTCATTTAGTCCTCACAATGACCCTAAG
Source organism: Homo sapiens (assembly GCF_000001405.40). Lineage (NCBI taxonomy): Eukaryota > Metazoa > Chordata > Mammalia > Primates > Hominidae > Homo > Homo sapiens. Next base: position 181,800,756 of record NC_000004.12, on the reverse strand, counting down.
AGGTGGGTACTACCATTATTTCCATTTTACAGAAAAAGGAAGTGAGGGACAAGAGTCAAGCACCTGAACAACCAGGAGCAAGTCACCTGAACTGTTCCCTCTATAGGTAAGGAATTCTTTTTTTGAGATGGAGTCTTGCTCTGTTGCCCAGGCTGGAGTGCAGTGGTGCAATCTCGGCTCACTGCAACCTCCACCTCCCGGGTTCAAGCAGTTCTTCCACCTCAGCCTCCTGAGTAGCTGGGATTCCACGTGTCTGCCACCATGCCCAGCTAATTTTTTGCACTTTAAGTAGAGACAGGGTTTCACCATATTGGTCAGGCTGGTCTTGAACTCCTGGCCTCAGGTGATCCGCCTGCCTCGGCCTCCCAAAGTGCTGGGATTACAGGTGTGAGCCACCTTTCCCGGCCTAGGAATTCTTATTTCTTATTCCCATATGTCCAGTGTGTACTCTGGTTGGGTGGCTGTTCTTAGTATAATTGTTTTCGGAATAGTTTTGGCCATTTGTTCATCTGGTGACCATGGTTCAGTCTACGTAGAATACACAGATATCCTGGTTAGGTCATTACACGGTTAGGAGTTTGCAAACACGTGGCTCCCATCTTGAATCTAGTCCTCATTACCATTATTGTTTTTAATAACAGTTGCAACACTGACAGTTATGTGTACTTCACAGGAAAATCTTAATTTCTGGCTCTTTTTTGAAGAACCAGAAGCTCTGGCAATCCTGGGTCTGCATTCTGGCACAGCGATAATTGGCTCCATCAGCCACCTTATTCTGGGCAACCGCTTTCCAGTTCGCCTGTCTCCACAGACCACTCTACTCATCCGCATTATCTGCCTAGCTCCCGAGGGCTTTTGAATTCCCACTTCCTAATAGACAGGCTGCTTCCGACTTGTTCACCCAAACAGAGCACATTGTATTGTGATTCTTCTGGAAAATGTATAGACCTAGTCAAAGATGCCGCACTAGAGCTTTAGATCCTTACAGTATAATTTAATAACCTCCCCATACTTTCCTTTGTACTCATCTATTATTATCCCAGGCATTTACCTGCTAAGAAAGTGTTTGGCGGTGTCTTAATGCGCTAGCCTCTTTCTGTTCCTTTGCAGTTTTGAATAGCTGTGTCAGCGTTCTCAGTGCTTATATGACTTAGGTAATACATGTCTGCTGCTATTTTCTGGTATATTTTATAAAAGTTTATAACAGTAATTGTAAGAAATGATCATGCTTTGATTAAATAAATATGCTATTGAGGAGTTAGGTACACAATTTAAATGTGGCTTGAATAATTTGTTGGCATATCCGCCAACTTATTTCAGTAGCTTTAAATTATAGATACGTTTGTGGAAGCACCATCCTATTTTGCAAATTTGACAGCAATAGCTGTTTCCTGAATGCATTTGACATTATATTCTACATTGTTTTATGCCAATCACATTTACTGCAAACTGCTTATTACTTCATTGCTGAAAATGGCAACATGTATTTATTTAGCTTTTTATTTTAGAATCAGCAGGCTATCACTCGCTTTATTAATCAGATCCAACCTTGAGGATTACAGCCACTCGTTTCAGGTTTATCTAATTGCTGCTGCTCAAAAACTGAGAAATCAGTAATGCAGTTATGTCATCTCCCTTGAGGAATTATTGTTTCTAAGGATATTACATTTGTTAGTGGGAAAAGGGAGCCTTCCAATGTATACATTATTTTTCCATAGAGAACAGTGCATAAGCGGCCGTCTACATTTTGCTTTAAGGAGGTTACCCTTGTTAAAAGTCAGGCTGACATTTCTTTATGCATCACTTCTTTTTCTGGTTCTTACAATTTAGAAAGGTTTCCTTTTCTGGTATTTTCAGCCATCTCCCTGGCTCACACTGTTACATTTGTTATAAAATTAAAACTACATTTGTTAACTCACATACCATCGTTTTTATTAGCCCAGCAGAAAAGTCAATATTTCTAATTTGTTGCCTCTGGATTTATGCCAGTTTTGATGTATAATAACAGCCCAACAAGGCAACATAATATATACTAACCCAAATCTATAAAGAAGGGAAATGAAAGTCAAAGTAATAAAAAAACATTACTTGGGAACCAGAGATACGTGAAGCAATCTGAAACAACAGTTACACCAGCCTGCATTGGTTTTTGACTGTTGAAAAGGAATCTACCTTAAGACATTTAGAATTTTAGAAGAGAAGGTATTGAGTCTTCTTTTCCTGTGGAACTCACAGGGGCCTTTTCCTAAGCACCATGATGCTATCCCAGATGTACTAGCGGAAGCCCAATATAAAGTCAAGAAAGCTGGGCTCCCAGCCACTAGGGAGTCTGAGGGTGGATAATCACTTGAACACAGCAGGCAGAGGTTGCAGTGAGCTGAGATTGTAGCACCGCAGTTCAGCCTGGGTGACAGAGCAAGACTCCATCTCAAAAAATAAATAAATAAATAAATAAAAAATAAAGAAAAGGAAGAAAGCAAGAAAGCTGGGTTCCAACTTGTATGACCCAAGATGCGTCTCTTAGCTATGCCTCAGTTCCCTCGTTTGTAAAATAAGAGGTTGGTTGAGACTCAGTTCTTGTACTTATCAGTGTGTAAATTCTATGAGTTTGATTCTTAAGAGTAAAAAAGACAAAACTATACACACACACACACACACACACACACTTATTTTGAAATATGCGTTAACATGTCCTTTTCAAGAGAAGAAGAAAAATAGGCAAGAAAGAGAATAAATAATGATAAAAGATAGAACAGTGAGAACTGCTGAAAAATGCAGATTCTATCATCCATTCCCCCCACTTCATTCCTGAACCATAAATGTCACCAGAGAAAATAGAGACAGCTGGTTCCAAATTTATTATCATAGTCAGAAAACACAGGTAGGGTTATCGCCTCATAGGTTCCTTCCTCTTTTCCTGTCACATTATTGTCAAGGCGACGTTAAGGTTGTGCCAGGCAGAAGCCCCCACATTAGAAAGCCATGCATGGCAATAACAGAACGTATTTTCATCCAGTTTTTAGTAGTCTCATTCACTGAAAATAAATAATCACTGCGAAGCCTATGGGGATGAGTCGAAACACATATTCAGACACTTCAGCTATGAAGTGTCCTCTTTCTTGGGCTCAAGTCCTTCTGCCAGTTTTACTTGTTAATGCCTATGAATCAAATACAAAGTCACGGCTTATAGACAACATAGTGAGGAAAGATGGGGCAGCGTTAGAGTTAAATATATACACATTCATGTATATGTTTTGCTGAAGGACTGAATTCGTTATACCGATAGAGCCTACCATACTAAATCAAAAACAACCAGAGGAAAAAGGAGAGGAAGGAGAAGGTGTGTCAGCTTGGATCAGAGAGCAAGGAGACAATGGTCTCGGGAGCCCTACCTGGAGTCCAAGGCCCCTTCTCTGTTCTCCTGAGGTGTCCCTTTCACCATTATGTATTGGCCCTTTTTTGTTGCCTGCAGTTCAATACCGAAAGCCATGTTGATCATGGTGAGCAGTAAGAGGTCACGTTATCAGTAGCAAGGTAAGCTTCATAGACTTCTTTTAGGATTGAGAGGAAGGGAACAGTTAAAAAAAAAAGGAAAAAAGATTAAAAAAAAAACCCTCCCTTTTACAAAGAAAAATCCCCATGTACAAAGAAAAGGGGAGGGAGCATATTTTGAGATAGTAAAACGTTGTGGACTGGGCACCACATGGGCCCTGGACTGGGGAGGGGCTCACACTCTGGCCTGTGGGCCTCCCTCTTTGCCGTCTGAAATAAACTCACCCACAACATGGAAACAGCACAACGTCCAAAAATCATTCCCCGAGAATACAAAAGGCAGTTTCTAGACTTGCTCTGACATGACGTAAGAATTTTCTGAGATGTAAAAGTGGATGCATATATCTGGGTAGGATGAAATGAACGTGGTGATGCAACACCACCCTTTGGAAGGAAGGATACATTTCTTAGTTGAGGTTGTCCGCCTTATGCAACGTCAGTGTTCTGGACGGGTTCCAAACTGCTCATAGTCTTGTTTCATGAACTCGCTCCTGCTGAGTGTCTAGGCTGTGTCAGAGGTGATCATCTCTCTCACCCCCATGGTCAGGTAATGATGTCATCCTGCTGATTAATTCTACTTCGCCTCTCATGTGTGGGCCCCACCCCTCCCCTTCCTGGGGCTCATCCTCTAGTGCACATGCTCATGTCCCTGCCTCTGGCATAACCCTGGCCATCTGTGCTGCGCCCTCTGCCTTGAAGATCTTCAGGCCACTCTCCACATGCCTAAATGCTATCCCACTTTCAAGGGCAGAATCCTCAAAGACCATCTCATTGGTTATTCCTGCTGAACTCCCAGCTGAAAGTAACCATTCCCCCACTGAACATCACAAACTTTTCTTTGAGCTTTTCCAGCAGTATGTGTCCCTTTCTTCTTGTATAATTCATGAATGTGCCCTCTAGTGAGGACAGGGCACTTGTCGGATTTGCTGTGATTGGGTCCGAGACCTAGTGGCTGTCTAATACACTTTTGATGAATGAATGAAGGAATCGATGACTATAAGGAACATAGGTGACAATAAGAAGTTTGAACTGTTATATTTAATACTATTACGCTCCTCCTCCTTGATTCTGTACCTTGGTTGCTGGCAGCTGCAGCCCATTACAACAACCATAAAACATTTGTGACATTTCTGATGCCACTGTTTATTCTGTAGCCCATATCCAATCAATTGCCAAATACTCAGATATATTCCATCCCCTTTCCTTCCCATACTCAGGCCTCTAGCCTTTCTTGTCTGGATACTACAGTGACTCCCTACTGAGTCTCTCTGCTTCTGTGCTTTGCCCATTGGAGTCATTTTCTGCCTAGGTACCAGAGACATCTATCTAAAACACAAATCTAACCCAGGTCATATCCAGGTTATACTTCCCCATGGATTCCCATCATGTAAAGGTATTTTTACATGGCATATAATATCCTCTTTGGCACCTTGGCTACCTCTCCAGGTTTAGCTCCAACTTCTCTTCCTTTCCCATGTGCCATGCTATTTATTACCTTGATATTTTTCTCAATTATTGTCTTTTGAGTTATCAGTTGGGAAAATATTTGTTTTTACCATTGGCACAACCAAATTACATCAGCCACTTGGTGATAGCTCAGTAGTTCAGCAACTGGTATTGATCATACCTTGAAAGAGTTGACTGAATGCAACATATCACATCAGTCTTCATTTAGGCCAAAGTTGCTATGGACTGCATGTTTACATCCCCTGAAATTCATATATTGAAGCCCAAATAACCAATAAGATTGTATTAGGAGGTGGGGCCTTTGGGGAGTAATTAGGTCATAAGGGTGGGGCCCTTGTGAACAGGATTAGTGCCTTTATAAGAAGAGACACAGGGGAGATGATCTCTGTCTCTGTCATGTTAGTATACACCAATAAGGTGTCTGTCTGTACACCAGGAAAGGGATCCTCACAGAGAACCATGTCAGCCAGCACCTTGATGCTGGGCTTCCCAGCCTGGAGAACTGTGAGACATAAATTTCTGTTATTTAAACCACTCAGTGTAGGCAACTTTTGTGATAGCAGCCTGAACTGACCAAGACAAAAGACATCCATCGAAAACACAAATCTGAATATTCAGAGACATAGAAATAACCTACAGCAAGCATGCAAGAGTAGAAATGACTCTGCCTAAATAAACTATCAGAACAGCCAACTATACAAGGGATTGTAGGCTATTGTTAGTGTAGGTGTTAACTATAGAACAGTTTCCCAATCCGAATTACCTTGCAAACTGGTAGGTGAATTTCTTCTGTGAATTTCTGGACTGATGCAGCTGGGATTTGGAGTGGAGTGGAGAAGCACAGCCTGTGAAAAAGGTGCTCTGAAGTAACCTGAGACCACTTGCAAATTACTGGAGATTATTTAAGGTTTTAGTTCCTGAAATGAATCCTAAGTGTGATTTTCTTACATCCACTAAATTTCTTGGATCCAACCCGACCTAGACAGAACTAAAATGTTCTTCAAAATACTACATAATAAAAGTAATAAAAAGTGCTGTACACACACACACACACACACACACACACACACAGGGATATTATTCAGCCTTAAAAAAGAAGGAAATGCCTTAAAAAAGAAGGAAATGCCATTATTTGAGACATGAATGAACCTGGAGGACAGTATGTTAAGTGAAATAAGCCAGGCAAAGAAAAACAAATACTGCAGGATCTCACTTGTATGTGGAATCTAAAAAAGTCAAATTCATAGAATAGAGAGTAGAAGGGCGGTTGCCAGGGGCTGGGATGTGGGACATGTAGGAAGATGTTGGTCAAATTGTGCAAAGTTTCAGTTGCACAGAATGAATAAATTTCTGGAGATCTAATGCACAGCGTGGTGACTACAGTTAATAATAGTCTATTGCACACTTGAAATTTGCCAAGAGAGCAGATCTTAACTGTTCTCACCACACACATACACACACACACAATCACAAGGATAACTATGTGACGTGATGGAGATGTTAATTAGTTTTACTGTGGTAGTGACTTTGCAGTGTGTATATATATATATTGTACACCATAAAAATATGTAATTTTTATCTGTCAAATATACTTCAGTAAAGCTGGGGGAAAAATAAAAACAGTGACTTAAGATATGTAAACTATAATAACAGAGAAAGGGAGTGGAGTGATAAAGATGTTGCGAAGCTTGTTTTTGATGCTTGTTTTGTACTTATCTTAAATCAAAATGTTTTTGGATGTTGCCAGGTGTTATTAATGTGGAAACACTAAAACAACAGGAGGTATATAAAGTAATAAAAAAGGACTATAGGACCAGCCCTAATCATAATCTAAATAATGGGAAATACAATAAAACAAATGAACTGAAAACACTGAAAAATACTCAACAGCATTCCAATTGAAAGAGGCAAGTATTACATTTGCTAAAACGATGTGAGCTTTTCTTGATTCAGACACTCATGCAAGCACAGCATTTTCTTCTTTGTATGTATGGGAAAGCCAGCCCTTTTGAGAGTTAGAATAGCTTTCAAGACTCCTGATTTAAATTTCAAACTCTTGATCATAGCTGGGGAGCAAAGGTTTTCATCTTGGAATTGGAAATTGAGTTCTTTAGCTCTATACCAAGTGATAATATTAAGCATTTTGTTGTATCCACCATGCAAGCCAAGTTCCCTACTGTGCCTTCAAAGCCACAGTGAATGAACCATATTTGGATTTGCTTATCAGGAAGAGACATTTAGAAAGACAATGCACTTGTCCTGCGAGACTGAGACTCCTGATGCTTTTAGATAGGCCTGTGGAGAGCTGCAAAATGGGCCCTAAAATCAGGCTGACATGGTCGCTTAACAAGCCTCAGCATGCTCTGTGGGCTCAGCGAGTTTGTGGTGTCACCCACAGGGCTGCTGATGGCAGCCATCATAATTAGAACACATGAATCAAAAACACCAGGTGAAGATTTTGCCTTAGAAGAAAGAAAAGGCAGATGGAGGGAATTACCATGGCCTTTGACTATTAAGCTCTTTCATGCAGCTGGATCGCCGGCCAGCCCTGGATGCATGAATGAGTCTAGCGCAGTTTACAGAAGTCTCACCCTTCCTGCTACCAAGCTTCAAAGGGGCAAGGAGAGCAGAACATCTCTTCCTTGTCAATTCATTGGAAGAAGTAAAATCTTAGCGTCTCTCTCAACATTTGGTAAAACAGGTAACAGTGTTTGTCTTAATTTATTTTTTTAATGTGGAAAATGACTTGGCAGTCTTTTCCAGGAAAAAAAAAACCGTCTATAACTTCAAGGGCTATGACCTTGAAAGAGATTTGCTGAACTTTAATATGACTGGATTTTTTCCAACCTTTATGGGCTCTTGATTTGAAAATCTCCCTAACAAAAGCTCAGCCAGGAAAGCTGTTATTACAGAGATGCTGCTCAATAGGGAGAAGTGGGTTAATTGCAAGCTCTCCAGTAAAATAAAGGAGGGTTTTGAAAACAAGTGCAAATTTGACAAAATGTATTGCATTGCTGCTGTGGAAAAAAACTGTGAGGGAGAAACATTAGAAATGGCAAAATGTCTAAAATAAATAGATGTTACAAAACCTGTTGGAAGAGGCTATTTGAGATTTCAGATTACTCATAAATAATTGCCCATCTGACCTTGATATGAATACAGAAATCCATTAGCAATTAAATTTTCAAACGTAATTGTATACTAAAAAATACGTATTTTTTTCCCTATCAATCTATGTTGACAGGACCTAGTTTAATACCACAATGTAGACTTATTTACGTTTTTATCTTCTTTTCCGGTATATTGCTTTTGAGTTAAGCGTAATTCATGATGAAGAGCTTAACAGTAAATTGTGAATTTGTTCAGAGAATTTCCTTATAACATTCTATGACTTTCATGAAAATTTAACTTCCATTTTTGAGCCAAAATAAAAGCTTCAAAATACACAAGAATGTTTATGTTTTCCTATTTACAAGCAGTCGAGATATTTTTCTTCTAAGAAAGTTAATCTTAAGGATATTCTCCTGAGCTTAACAATTTTAAGAGAAAAATCACGCTGTATTGTTACATTGTGACTTCACTTACAACAATATCATTTAATATAATGTCAATGGATTTGGATTATTTTGAAAGGAAGACTTGATACTATTTGAATGGGTTTATTATAGGTAAGCCAAAATGCAGTCGGAAACTCAGAAACACTTATCATGTAGACTAATAGGAATCTACTGAATCCATCAAAGAAATTAGAGAGAAAATTGCATTTCTGTTCACATGTCCTAAGAGTGGCTGTCCCTGGAGGACACATGCCTTAATTTTGCCTATTAAATAAATGAATATTCTTGAGAATCCACAGAGTCAGGCAAAAACAACACAGTGTCCGTTGCCTACTTATGTTTTGGTACTAGTCAAAGTAGACATTTCTCTGTCTGATTTGAGCTTCATTTGGAAGCAATTAACTATTTTATATGAGATATAATAAGGGTCTCCAGTGCAGGGACCACAGTTACCTGCATCAGTTGTTTAGGACTTAATTAGTAAAATCACGTTCACATTCAACATAGCTCTGATGGTAACCAGTTCCTTACTGCCGAATGCTGTTTCGTCTCTCATTTCTTAAAATGTGCTGGACTGGTGAAAAGAATCTGGGGTTAAGAGTAGGCTAAAATTACCAATTACTTTTATTCTTATATTACTTTCCTGAGATTTATATTTGATCCTCAAAATGTCCAGAAAGCACAATAAATAAAATTCTTCACACTTTGTTTACAAACACTACCCCGGATGTTCAACTTTATCTTCATGTTTCATTTTATAAAATTATGATTTGTATTTTTGTGTAAAATTTAATTTTTGTTGTTATGATTAAAGCAAAGCAGGCTAGAGACTTCAAACATGATTTAAAGTCTATTATTTCATTGTAGGAAAAATAAGAGGCATTTAAAGAAGTCATAAAATGTATCATATAAATGTGGCAATCGAAACAATAAATACCCCCCACAAAAGAGACCAGAACTTGAGTAGCTGCACGGCCCGTGTTTCTCCGGACCACTATCGTGAAGACATCGCCTGGTCCGGGGCAATTTGCCCACCAAGCAAATTATCTAGCCCCTGAGCTTTAAAAACAGCTCATTCCAGTTTGACTCCGTTCTCAGGGAAACTGGTTCACTCCTTTCTGAGGGTTTCCAGTGTATTCTGTACATGCCCCATGAAAGCATTCATCATATGGCCCGTAATCATCTTTTACACAGTTTTGCCCACAACTAGACTCTCAGTTGCTGGAGTATGGGGGCCAGGTTTCTTTGTACTTGAACCCTAGGACTAAGTAGGGGATCTGGCACAAAGTAAGCAGGCAAAGGTAAGCAGAGGTAACTTGCCTCTAAATATCACCAGAAATTTCCATTGAGGAAGATTCTCAGTGAGGGCCAAAGATGGCCTCCATTTCCTCTCTCCGTAAGCAGATATTAAGAAGAATACAGTCCAGTTTAGAGCCATTTCTTGGTACTGAACGCCTCTGAATGTTTACTTGTCTTTGCCTAAAAAATGTTGAGAATTAACTAAGAAAGGCTTATTCTTCTGGGTCTAGATTGAAATGTCTGTGATGGGATGGATAGGTTTCCTTCCATTATCTTCACTTTATTTTTTGTTTTTTTCCACTCATAAGCAGTAACTTTTCTATTTCTATTCTCTTTTCTATTCTTAAAGACAGAAGTTACACTTTGCAGCTTGGACTTCTTGACTCTAACCATGCAAGAAACTTAACAAATAATGATAACTGATAATATACACAGTGCAATTAATTGTTGTTAGAGTTCGCTTTTAAAAAGCAGCACATTGCAGACACAATCTTGAAAAAGTTTTCAGGAACAATGTTCTATTTAGTGTTCAGCAAATCAAATTGTTTTTGTGTGATTGGAGAAAAGTGAGCCACTTCTTATACCATCTCTAAAAGAAAAAACAATTTTTTTCTCTCTCTACTGCCACACTCAGTGCAGAACCCACGTGTGGCCAGATGTGTGGGGGTCTTTCCACACACACCAAGCAATCCTCCGGGGGCCACCAGCAGGCTATGCCATACTTCAATTCAATTCTGACACTATCTACCTGAGGTAGAGTCAGAGTGCTCAGGTGGGGCTCAGTCCCACAAGACTGCACTCTACTTCTGATGCCAACTTTCAGAAGTAGATTGTCACATACACTTCTGACCCACCCACTGTAAATTGCACTCCATGACCCCATTCTTAGGTTCCATTAATTTGCTGGGCTGGCTCACAGAACTCAGGGAAAGACTTAAATTGACTGGTTTGGCATAATGAAGAATACTACAAAGGATATGGATGATGTGCCAGGTGAAGGGATGTGTAGGGCATAGGACATGGTACCGGGGAGGGGGTGGCATGCCATCCTCCCAGCACTTCCATGTTTTCAGCAATCTGGAAGCTTAGCAAACACACCTCCTCCTCCTGTTCAGCAACTGAAAAGCACATCTCCTTGTCTAAGACTTTGTATAGAGCTTGATCTCCAGCCCTGACCCTGCATCTCCTGGAGGTTGGTAGGCGGGGCTGAAAATCCCAACCCTGAAATCCTATAACTGCTTGGTCTTTCTGGTCACCAGCTCCATCTGAGTCTAGCTGGGGTGCCCAGTCTAAGTCCTTCATGAGCATAAACTTAGGTGTTACAAAGGGGGCTCTAGTGGCTCACGCCTGTAATCACAGCACTTTGGGAGGCTGAAGTGGGTGGATAACGTGAGGTCAGGAGTTCAAGACCAGCCTGGCCAACATGGCAAAACCCCATCTCTACTAAAAATACAAAAATTAGCTGGGCATGGTGGTGCATGCCTGTAATCCCAGCTACTCAGGAGGCTGAGGCAGGAGAATTGCTTGAACCCTGGGAGGTGGAGGTTGCAGTGAGCCGAGATCATGCCATTGCACTCTAGCCTGGGTGACAGAGTAAGACTCCATCTCAAAAAAATAAAATAAATAAAATAAAATAAAATAAAATAAAATAAAATAAAATAAATAAAGGGGGCTCTTTATAAATAACAGAAGACACTCCTATCACTCAGAAAATTCTAAGGACTTTAGAAGCTCTGTGACAAGAACTGGGGCAAAGACCAAATGTATATCATATTAATCGCCGTCTTAGTGCAGTGGCTAGCATGTCAGTTTCATATTTCACATTATACCATACCACCTAGCCAGTATCCCAACAGCGTTCAGGCCTTACCTCTACACCTAAACACCAAAATTAGCAATGGTTGGAGTTTGCCAGAAATGGAGCTGGTGGCTTTAATTGTGCTACATGCTATGCAGGTATGGGATAGTCAAAATTAAAAGATAGGGCTAGGCGCAGTGGCTCATGCCTGTAATCTTAACACTTTGGAAAGCTGAGACGGAGGGATTGCTTGAGGCCAACAGCTTGAGACCAGCCTGGGCAACATAGTGAAACCTCCTTTCTACAAAAAGTTAAAAAATTAGCTAAGCATGGTGCTGTGTGCCTGTAGTATAGTCCTAACAACTTTGGCAGCTGAGGCAGGAAGATCGCTCGAGCGATTCCAGGCTTCAGAGAGCTCTGATTATACTACTGCACTCCAGCCTGGGCCACAGAGCGAGACCCTGTCTCTAAAAAAACAAAAAGAAAAATGAGAAGATGGGAGACACTTTCCGCACTGTACCTAGAAAGCACAGCGGTGGGCTACATTGTGTGGGTTTCCATCCTGGCTCCTCTGCTGACTGACTGTGTTTCCTCGGGCAAATTTCCCATTCAGAAAATTGGAGTATTAATGGGAACCTATCTCATCAGGTTGTTGTGAAGATTTAATAAGGAGCAGATGTAAAGTGCTTGGCATCTAGCAAGAGCTATTTAAGTGGTTACCTTGATCATGAGGAAGAAAATAAAAGATCTACCATTCATGACGTTCTGTTCTTAGTCCCCCAGCACAGTGCTAGGTACTTAACATATATTACTAATTATAATCATCCAAGATCAGAGGCAAATAAGGGATGATGATAATCATCATCAGAGGGTGATAAAGATTCAGATTTAGATCTAAGCAGCTCCCCAGTTAGTGCTTTCTTTAATTTAAGGGTGTTAACAGTGAAACCAAACTCCATAAAATATTTTACAGAGGTTTATTCTGAACCAATATGATGAGTGACCATGGCCCAGAAAAAACACAAACCCAAGAAGCCGTGGGTAAGTGATCTCGAAGTGGCTGGATTACAGTTTGGCTTTGTATATTATTATGATTTTTGACACAAGGTCTCACTCTGTGGAGTATAGTGGTGCAATCTCAGCTTACTGCAGCCTTGACCTCCGGGGCTCAAGTTCCGCCTCAGTCTCCTGAGTTGTGCGGACTACAGTTGCCCACTACCACGCTTGGCTAGGTTTTACACATTTTAAGAAGGCAGGAGTTACAAGCAAAGACAAATCAACACATGGAAGGTATACGTTGGTTCGGCCCAAAAAGGCAGGACATCTTGAAACAGGGTTTATAGGTAATAGGTGGATTCAGAGAGTCTTTAATTTGCAATTGGTTAAAATAGTGAGGCTCGGTCTAAAATTTGGAATCAGCAGAAAGGAATGTTAAGGATGGATGGGCCAGGTGCAGTGGCTCACGCTTGTAATCTCAGCACTTTGGGAGGCAGAGGTGGGCAGATCACTTGAGGTCAGGAGTTTGAGACCAGTCTGGCCAACATGGTGAAACCTCATCTCTACTAAAAATATGAAAAAATTAGCTGGGCGTGGTGGCGTGCACCTGTAATTCCAGCTACTCAGTAGGCTGAGCAGGGGAATTGCTTGAACCAAGGAGGTGGAGGTTGCAGTAAGCTGAGATGGCGCCATTGCCCTCCAGCCTGGGCGACAGAGTGAGACTCCGTCTCAAAAAAAAAAAAAAAAGATGGATGTAGCAAGATGATGATGGCCTGCAGGTGAAACTCAGCCCTTGCCTGGCATGGCCTTAGGTCTTGTTTATCATTTGGTATCTTAATTGCCACAAAGAGTCTGTTCTGTCAGTCTTATGATCTCTATTTTAAGATTGATGCTCGTCTTATTGTGCCGAAAATTCAAACCAGAGGGGGTGGAACAAGGCGTGTCCGGCCTCCTTTCCAGTCATGGCTGGGAATTCAGTTATTAAGGTTTTTCTTAAAACCTTGATGAAGAAGGCATCTGCCAGGCAGTGAGGTGCTTAGGGTTTTATTTTTAGTTTACAAAGGGGACATGAGAGAGTGCCACAGGGCAAAGATCATTCTTACTTGTTCCAACATTCCTTAATACCTAGAGAGCCCTTTCTGGTCAGATGAAAGGAGAGTTATCCCCGTGTGCTTTTGTTATGTCTTACGGTTGTCACAAGGTTCTGTTGGGGCTCAGCAAGCTCTACCCCCAAACACTGACACTTTGACATGCTGAGAGGCCGCAGAACCTTCTTCAGGATCAAGATCCCTGACCATTGCCTTGTCCCCCACCAAGTGCTGGGAGCGACTCCCTATGGAATTTTCCTATCTGATCATGAAAGCTACTTTCCAGGAAAAAAAAAAAAAAAGTGATTGTCTTAAACACTCTCCCTAGTTCCCTAGAGATCTCATCAAATAACCAGGAAAGATCAACCACCAGAGAACAGACTGGCAGTCCTCACCTCGCCCACACAGACTTTGCCTCTGTTCTTCTGAGGGCAACTCCAAGAGATTGCCTGGGGGACTTCATCTGCATCTTGGTTTCTGTGCGGCTCCACCCCTCACCCCTCAACCCTCATCCCTCACCTTCTTTAGTGTCCACCTCCCACCTCGTGGGTCCACCCATTTCTCCACTATGAAGAGAGTATTTACGTATCAACCATCTGGCCCCCCTCTGAGCTCATATTTTGTATGACTCCCGTGCACATGTGTGTGCATGAATACATTTTGTGTGTCTTATCTCCTATGAATCTGCCTTTTGCTAGATTTTCAGTGAACCTTCAGAGGGTGAAGGAGATGTTTTCCTTCGGCCTTTACAGGACAATGCCTTTTTGGTACCACATAACGGTACAAAGAGTGTCACATTTGCGTAGGTAACTGTTTGAAGTCTGTAAGTCCCAAAGTTAATAATTACTATCAGATTGTTTTTTCTCTTAGACGGGATTTTTCTGAGAATTCAACTGGTGTAGCATTTTCCTCCTTATGCTTCTGATGGTTTGGCTTGCGTATGGAATCACAGAAATGATGTGATAAGATCAGATATAATGTTTTCCTTACAGCCCAGCGTCACTTCATATCTTTCATGGCATTAGCTTATATTCAGGCATTGTTTCATTTATATGCGGTGATATTTAAGTCACGCTTGTTAAGGCAAATTGTTGCTCCACTCCCACATTAAGACACTGTGAGACTATTCCGCTTTACTTAGAAACAAAAAGTGTGTGTGTTTGTGTGTGTGTGTGTGTGTGTGTATGTGTGTGTGACAAGACAGAAAAAGAGAAAGATACAGGATGAGTATCCCTTATCTGAAATACTTGGGAACTACAGGTGTGTCGGATTTCATTTTTCAGTGGCGGGGGTTGGGGGGAGGCAGATTTTGGAATATTTGCATTATACTCACTAGCTAAGCATCTCAAATCTGAAAATTAGGAATTTGAAATGCTCCAGTGACCACTTCCTTTAAGCTTTATATTGGTGCTCAGAAAGTTTCAGATTTTGAAGCATTTTGGATTTTGGATTTTCGGAATAGGGATACTTAATGTGTATATGCGCATACATATTAATTATGGTAATACGCGTCAATTCAAGGCCAAATCTGAACCACACTTTTTAGGGATGTCACAGTTGGCTTGCCTCTTTTGGGTCCTGAGCCAATGGGAGGCAAGCTCAGAAGAGCACAAGGAGACAGTCTGAAAGTAGCTGTGGCTTTCTGGGGCAGGCAGGGCTTCGCTCCGACCACAGGCCTGAACACAGGATTACCATTCCACCCTTTCTGATTTCATTTATTAAGCTTTCTAAGATGCCTCCTGTAGCCTCAGATAAACAAATCTGTATGTTATCATCTATCTATGCATCTACTTATTCTTGTTCTCCTGCCTGGTCGCCTACCATTCAAAGTATCATCTCACTGCTCCAACTTCACACATGTGCCTTCATTCACTATTCAGCTCAGAACTCACTCTCCCCTTAAGCCTTTTCTAAATCCTCTTAGCTCTTGTCACTCAGCACTTAGGCACACCCTTCCTGCATTCCCATACTCATTTTATGCTTTGTCATGAAGAGTTAGGAATACTCTTAGTTGTATTTTTCTTAAATCATTTCAGAAGTGTATGTCATTTCTCCAGCCACATTTTACGTTTCTAAAAGCCAGGTGATAGATTTTAAGTCTGTCTTAAAATAACTTATCTCTCACTCCTTAGGTCCCATTATGTTACTCCCTTTACACTCAACAGTAAGTGTTCGTTGAATAAACTTAAAAATGGTGAGGGGGCAATAGGGTAGAGAGTATATATATTTTCTGAATCATGAATTATCACATTGGGATGACTGTCCCTTGGTTTGAAATAATATAGTCCTCATGAGAAATGGGCAGAAAGCGTTTATCTGAAATGAGAAAAAGGAAATTCTCCCGTGAAAACACTTTTTTTGAGAGATTAAAAATTCAAATGAATTTGATGCTTGGGAATTCACAGGGGAGAATAATTTGAAAGGACAAAACACAGTTGGAAAGGCTAGAATAACTATAAATAAAAACACAACAGAGAGAAAATCAAACCTGAAAACTATTCACCAGTCTCACTTGTGAATATAAAATGGAGAAACTATAAATAAAATTCTAGGAAATTAAATCCAATAATATATTTTTAAAAATTATTATTAAGTATGTTTTATTGTAGGAATACAGACAATGTAAATTAAGATATTTTATTAATATAGCATATCGAGGAGAGTAGAGATAAAATCACATGTTCATTTTCATAGATACTGAAAAACTCTTTGGTAGAACTTGTCACTCATATGTGATTCAAATAAAAACAAAAATTCGACAAACATAAAGAAGAAATATTGCTTAAATAACAAAGGGCATGTGTCAGAAAACAATTCACTTAGCGGTTAAAAAAAAAAACAGATGACTCGTTTCCATTTAGAGTAAAGAATAAGACAAGAATGTCATTATTGCAGCTATTTTTCTTTGTTGTTTTGGATGTCCTAGCCAGAGCAATAGAATAAGAAAAGTAAATTTGAAGTGCAAATGTTGAAACATAGTACGTAAAATCACCCTTCAGAAAATGCTACAAGTTTACACTTAAAGAGTCATGTGGCTTTGGGAGGCCAAGGCTGGAGGACTGCTTGAAGCCAGGAGTTCAAGACCTGCCTGGGCAACATAGTGAGACCTGCGTCTCTTCAAAAAGTAAAAAATTTAGCTGAGAATAGTGGTGCGCACTTATAATCCTAGCGACTCTGGAGGCTTAGGCTTGAGGGGCATCACTTGAGCTCAGGAGGTCAAGGCTGTAGCAGTGAGCTATGACTGTGCCACTGCACTCTCGCCTGGACAACAGAGGGAGGCCCTGTCTCTAAAAAATTCCAAACCAAACCAAACAACAACAAAACAGGCAAGATAAAGCTACATATTTTTGGTTCAGAAAATTCAATATTTCTTTCCAATTAATATAAAAATTAAATGCAATTCTGATAAAATTTTCATGGAACTTTTAGGATGGGAATAAAGAGAAAATGATTCTGAAACACATCTAGAAGAGGAGCTATGTGCTAATAGCCTTGAAAAGAAAAAATAATGTGAACATTTGGGGAGAAATTTTTCAAGCAGATTTGACAATGAATTTTACATACACAAAGCAAATAGAATGGTGAGGTATTGTCACCAGAATTGGCAGAGTACAGAAGAAAACAAAGCAGTCAGAGGAGAAAGATAGAGACAGGCACCTGGCCTAGGGTTAAGAATATATATACACCCAATACAGGAGCACCCAGATTCATAAAGCAAGTCCTCAGAGACCTACAAAGAGACTTAGACTCCCACACAATAATAATGGGAGACTTTAACACCCCACTGTCAACATTAGACAGATCAACGAGACAGAAACTTAACAAGGATATCCAGGAATTGAATTCAGCTCTGCACCAAGCAGACCTAATAGACATCTACAGAACTCTCCACCCCAAATCAACAGAATATACATTCTTCTCAGCACCACATCGCACTTATTCCAAAATTGACCACATAGGTGGAAGTAAAGCACTCCTCAGCAAATGTAAAAGAACAGAAATTATGACAAACTGTCTCTCAGACCACAGTGCAATCAAACTAGAACTCAGGATTAAGAAACTCACTCAAAACCGCTCAACTACATGGAAACTGAACAACCTGCTCCTGAATGACTACTGGGTACATAAAGAAATGAAGGCAGAAATAAAGATGTTCTTTGAAACCAATGAGAACAAAGACACAACACACCAGAATCTCTGAGACACATTTAAAGCAGTGTGTTGAGGGAAATTTATAGCACTAAACACCCGCAAGAAAAAGCAGGAAAGATCTAAAATTGACACCCTAAAGTCACAATTAAAAGAACTAGAGAAGCAAGAGCAAACACATTCAAAAGCTAGCAGAAGGCAAGAAATAACTAAGATCAGAGAAGAACTGAAGGAGATACAGACACAAAAAAACCTTCAAAAAAATCAATGTATCCAGGAGCTGGTTTTTTGAAAAGATCAACACAATTGATAGACTGCTAGCAAGACTGATAAAGAAGAAAAGAGAGAAGAATCAAATAAACACAATAAAAATGATAAAGGGGATATCACCACCGATCCCACAGAAATACGAACTACCATCAGAGAATACGATAAACAACTCTATGCAAATAAACTAGAAAATCTAGAAGAAATGGATAAATTCCTGGACACATACACCCTCCCAAGACTAAACCAGGAAGAAGTTGAATCCCTGAATAGACCAATAACAGGCTCTGAAATGGAGGCAATCGTTAATAGCCTACCAACCAAAAAAAGTCCAGGGCCAGACGGATTCACAGCCAAATTCTACCAGAGGTACGAGGAGGAACTGCTACCATTCCTTCTGAAACTATTCCAATCAATAGAAAAAGAGGGAATCCTCCCTAACTCATTTTATGAGGCCAGCATCATCCTGATACCAAAGCCTGGCAGAGATACAACAAAAAAAAAAGAATTTTAGACCAATATCCCTGATGAACATCGATGCAAAAATCCTCAATAAAATACTGGCAAACCGAATCCAGCAGCACATCAAAAAGCTTATCCACCATGATCAAGTGGGCTTCATCCCTAGGATGCAAGGCTGGTTCAATATACGCAAATCAGTAAATGTAATCCAGCATATAAACAGAACCAAAGACAAAAACCACATGGTTATCTCAATAGACGCAGAAAAGGCCTTAGACAAAATTCAACAGCCCTTCATGCTAAAAATTCTCAATAAATTAGGTATTGATGGGATGTATCTCAAAATAATAAGAGCTATCTATGACAAAGCCACAGCCAATGTCATACAGAATAGGCAAAAACTGGAAGCAGTCCCTTTGAAAACTGGCACAAGACAGGGATGCCCTCTCTCACCACTCCTATTCAACATAGCGTTGGAAGTTCTGGCCAGGGCAATCAGACACGAGAAAGAAATAAAGGGTACTCAATTAGGAAAAGAGGAAGTCAAATTGTCCCTGTTTGCAGATGACATGACTGTATATTTAGAAAACCCCATCATCTCAGCCCCAAATCTCTTTAAGCTGATAAGCAACTTCAGCAAAGTCTCAGGATACATAATCAATGTGCCAAAATCACAAGCATTCTTATACACCAATAACAGACAGAGAGCCAAATAATGAGTGAATTCCCATTCACAATTGTTTCAAAGAGAATAAAACACCTAGGAATCCAACTTACAAGGGATGTGAAGGAACTCTTCAAGGAGAACTACAAACCACTGCTCAACGAAATGAAAGAGGACACAAACAAATGGAAGAACATTCCATGCTCACGGATAGGAAGAATCAATGTTGTGAAAATGGCCATACTGCCCAAGGTAATTTATAGATTCAATGCCATCCTCATTAAGCTACCAATGACTTTCTTTACGGAATTGGAAAAAACTACTTTAAAGTTCATATGGAACCAAAAAAGAGCCCGCATTGCCAAGTCAATCCTAAGCCAAAAGTACAAAGCTGGAGGCATCATGCTACCTGACTTCAAACTACACTACAAGGCTACAGTAACCAAAACAGCATGGTACTGGTACCAAAACAGAGATATAGACCAATGGAACAGAACAGAGCCCTCAGAAATAATACCACACACCTATGACCATCTGATCTTTGACAAACCTGAGAAAAACAAGCAATGGGGAAAGGATTCCCTATTTAATAAATGGTGCTGGGAAAACTGGCTAGCCATATGGAGAAAGCTGCAACTGGATCCCTTCCTTACACCTTATACAGAAATTAATTCAAAAAGACTTAAATGTTAGACCTAAAAAACCCTAGAAGAAAACCTAAGCAATACCATTCAGGACATAGGCATGTGCAAGGACTTCATGTCTAAAACAGCAAAAGCAACAGCAACAAAAGCCAAAATTGACAAATGGGATCTAATTAAACTAAAGAACTTCTGCACAGCAAAAGAAACTACCATCAGAGCGAACAGGCAACCTACAGAATGGGAGAAAATTTTTGCGATCTACTCATCTGACAAAGTGCTAATATCCAGAATCTACAAATAACTCAAACAAATTTACAAGAAAAAAACAAACAACCCCATCAAAAAGTGGGTGAAGGATATTAACAGACACTTCTAAAAGAAGACATTTATGCAGCCAAGAGACACATGAAAAAATGCTCATCATCACTGGCCATCAGAGAAATGCAAATCAAAACCACAATGAGATACCATCTCACACCAGTTAGAATGGCAATCATTAAAAAGTCAGGAAACAACAGGTGCTGGAGAGGATGTGGAGAAATAGGAACACTTTTACACTGTTGGTGGGACTGTAAACTAGTTCAACCATTGTGGAAGACAGTGTGACAATTTCTCAAGGATCTAGAACTAGAAATACCATTTGACCCAGCCATCCCATTACTGGGGATATACCCAAAGGATTATAAATCATGCTGCTATAAAGACACATGCAAATGTATGTTCATTGCAGCACTATTCCCAATAGCAAAGACTTGGAACCAACCCAAATGTCCATCAATGATAGACTGGATTAAGAAAATGTGGCACATATACACCATGGAATACTATGCAGCCATAAAAAGGATGAGTTCATGTCCTTTGTAGGGACATGGATGAAGCTGGAAATCATCATTCTCAGCAAACTGTTGCAAGGACAAGAAACCAAACACTGCATGTTCTCACTCATAGGTGGGAATTGAACAATGAGAACACTTGGACACAGGAAGGGGAACATCACACACTGGGGCCTGTCGTGGGGTGCGGGGAGTGGGAAGGAATAGCATTAGGAGATATACCTAATGTAAATGACGAGTTAATGGGTGCAGCACACCAACATGGCACACGTATACATATGTAACAAACCTGCACATTGTGTACATGTACCCTAGAACTTAAACTATAATAAAAAAAGAATATATTTTAAGTTAGACAGGCAGAACTCTTCCTCTCATGGTTTACCAAATTATATAAATAAGTATTGAAGATTTAAATGTATAATAAAATCAAAAATTATAATATAAAATTGAAAATATATGCTAAGAACCAGAATTGATAGAAAAGAAAGGATAGAACTTTTTATTTAGAAGATACATCCCAGGGTGGTTTTGGACTGTGTCAGCTTGGTTAGGTTGGAAAATGAAACTATGTTTCCCAGAATTCCCCTCCTTATGTAGTTCTTGTTTAGAACTGGCTAACAGGAAACATTGATCAAGATTTGGAAGATGTCTGGGTTTATTCTTGGCCCACGTAGCAAAAGGAAAAATAAATAAATAAATAAATAAATAAATAAATAACTTAAAGTAAAAGAAAGAAGAAAGAAAGCTTTGGAAGATGAAAATGGAGCAGTAGCCTTTACCCACTAAAGGACATCATGGCTAGAGGCAGTGAAAACAGATGCCAAGGTGCTGGTAGATCAAGCGTGTCCTTCCTCTCCCCAGATGGCCCATCACCAGGTACATAAACAAGGCCTCCACAGACCTGTTCACTACTCTCCTTTGTAGACTCACTCCAGTAGCTGGATATGCCTCACTTCAGGAGTGCTGGTTAATGACTTTTTTCAAATCCTCCAACTCCTCCTTTCAGACTCTTATTCCTTCTGCTTCTTCTGCAATGATATAAGACCTAATTCCTATTATAAATCCTCATTTCATAATATTCACAGTAGTTCCTCATCTCTATTTGAACCGATACACCCAATAAGGACATTCATCAACCTGAGGGCGAAATTCCAGTAAGGAACTCTTGGACAAACAAGAAAAGGTTCCAGCAGCAAAGGTACTTCTATTCAGAGAAATGGATGCTGCTGACATGAACTGCATTTCTTTTAGATATTTCTTTTTAGTGAGAATCCAGCTCAAAGCAAAGATTCTGACTATGCTTTCCTTCCCTTGCTAAGAATGTCTGAGCAGGGGAAGAAAGGATTTATTTCTCAATCAAGGCAAAACTGACTAATAAAGTGGGAGCAATGAAACATTAGGAGAAAGTGGCCATCCCATCATAAAGACACTGAGTCATGCCAGGGAAACACGGCGGGATCTGCTGCATGGCCTAAACACCAGAAAACCTTTTCATTTTTAATTAGATAAAAGGCTGGTAAGTTTTCCCGTTCTTCATCTCTGAAAGTTTATATAGATCAAAGAAGCGGATGCTTCTATAAATTGAATTCTTACAATAAAGTTACCAACATTGTACATTTCTTACAATAAAAATACTAATACTAATACAAGTGCCTATGCATTAGTGAATCTTGATATAAACTAAGAATAAGAAAATATTTTTAAGTAGGAGTTGTGAAGAACACAGATAAAAGGCCATCCTTTTTTTGCTGCGGAGGTACTATGATTTTTAGCTATGTTACATCAGGGATATAAATTGTAAGGATGTATTTTTTCATGGGTTTCTTATTAATTAAAATAAAAAAATAAAATTCAATTATCAGAATAGTGCCTGGCATATGAAAGTTTGGTATACATTGTTGAGCAAAATTTTTTTTCTCTCCCTCTGGTATGAATCCTGTGCAGACATGGATTGCTCTAGGAAGAGCTGAGTTACAGCATAAGTAACGGGTAGGTAAAAGCAAATTTAACTGTATTTAATTATAAGCTAAGTCTCCTGTCTCAAACTAGCTGTATTTTAGAGTGTGACAATAATTTGCCAATGAGATTCTGTCTCAGCTACAACTAATCTTTGAGGAACTGTGGTGTAATCAGACAGAACTTGGGTAAGGTGGAATGGGGCAACTGTCGTGAATTTCAAAAGTGGGAAGAAGGAGGGTTTCACATATTATAGACATAAGTGTGACATATTTAAAAATTTCTATGTGATATTCAAGTATAGTCAGCAATTTTTAAGAAGTTGAATACATTAGCAATAGGAATCAGCATATGTTCACCCCAAATAATCATTGACCTACTAAGAGTATAAACTAATCCATTTTTAAAATCAAGAGAGCTGACAAAACCTTGCAAAATAATCTTGTTGACAATAGCAGGAACAAATGGAAAGTCATCCCACGTTCATGGATCAGAAGAATTAGCATTGTTAGAGTGACCATACTACCCAAAGCAATCTAGAGACTCAATGCAATCTCCATCAAATACAAACGACATTTTTCACAGAAATAGAAAAAAAATCCTAAAATTTGTATGGAACAAAAAAAGAGCTGAACAGCCAAAGTAATCCTGAGCAAAAAGAATGAAGCTGGAGGCATCACGCTATCTGACTTCAAAATTTGTTATAATGCTATAGTAACCAAAACAGCATGGTATTGGTATAAAAACAGACACATAGACCAATGGAACAGAATAGAGAATCCAGAGATAAACCCACATACTTCTAGCCAACTCATTGTCGGCATACATGGGGAAATGACACCTTGTTTAATAATGCTAGGAAAACTGGATATCCATATGCAGAAGAATGAAAATAGATACTTAAATCTCACCATATACAAAAATTAACTTAAGATGGATTAAAGACTTAAACATAAGACCCAAAACTATAAAACTACTAGAAGGAAGCATAGGTAAACACTCCTGGATATCGGCCTAGGCAAAGATTTTACGGCTAAGACTTCAAAAGCATAGACAAAAAAAACCAAAAATAGGCAAATGGAACTTAATTAAATTAAAAGACTTCTGCACAGCAAAGGAAATAATCAACAGAGTAAAGAGGCAACCTGTTGAATGGGACAAAATATTCACAAACTATTCATCCAAAAAGGGATTAATATATCCAGGCTGCACAAAAAAACTCAACAGCAGAAAGAAAACAAAACAAAACAAATAATCTCATTAAAAAGTGGGCAAGGGACTTGAATAGACATTTCTCAAAGGAAGATATAAAAATGACCAACAGGTACATGAAAAAATGCTTGATATCATTAATCATCAGAGAAATGCAAATCAAAACCACAATGAGATATCATTTTAATGCAGTAAGAATATCTATTATCAAAAAGACAAAAATAACAGATGCTGGCAAGGATGGATGCAGAGAAAAGGGAACTGTTATACACTGTTGGTGGGAATGTAAATGAGTACAGCCATTATGGAAAACCGTATGGAGATTCTCAAAAATCCAAAAATAGAACTACCACATGACTCAGCAATCACACTGCTAGGTATTTATCTAAAGCAAAGGAAATCAGTATTTCGAAGGGATTCTGGGATCTCTGTATTTATTGCAGAACTATTCACAATAGAAAAGATATGGAATCAACCTAAGTGTCCATCAACGGATGAATAAAGAAAATTTGTGTATATACATAGTAAAATACTATTCAGCCATAAAACAGAAGGAAATCTTGTCATTTACAGCGACGTGGATGGAATTAGAGGTTATAATGTTAAATGAAATAGGCCAGAACCAGAAACAGAAACATTGCCTGTTCTCACTGATATGAAGGACCTAAAAGGATTGATCTCATGGAAGCAGAAAGTTGAATGATAGATATCAGAAGTGGAAAAAGGTGTGTTGGGGAGGTGGATAAGAGAGGTTGGTTAATGGGTACACAAACATACAGTCAGAAAGAGGGACTAAGATGTAATGTTCAATAGCAGAGTAAGTAACTATAGTTAACAACAAAGTATTTTGTATTTCAACATAGTCAGTAGAGAGGACTTAAAATACTCCCAACACGTAAAAATGATAAATACACGAGTGATTGATATCCTAAGTACTCTAATTTGATAATGACAAATCCTATGCATATAACAAAATATTACATGTACCCCCATAAATATGTACAAATATTATGCATCAATAAAAATAATACCTAAATAAATAATGCTGGTGACAACATGGAGGAAATGTAGGCTGGGTGACAAAATGATGAGGGTGAATTTTGTAAGCGTCCAAATGAAGACATTCTAAACCAGGATTTATTGGTGGTTCAGCATCTGCTTATGGAGAAGAATCCACAGCTTATTGTCAGACTGTGTCTTTACTTCTTCCTGTTTGATAATTTAATAACTTAGTAGAAAACATAATTGGTACACTTATTAAATTTCCCAATATTACTAAGTCAAATGAGGCAATTAATTCATCACGTGACTAATTCAGGAACCAACAATCCAAAAAGATATCAACCAGACGAGATTTTGCACTGTAACCAATAAAATGAATTCCAATGGGCATATATATACATAATCCTCTGCGTAGATACAAGAAACTCAGCCCCAAACGAAACCTAGAACCACCATCTCCAAAGCAATTGAAATCAAACACAGAAATAACAACTGTGTCTATTAAGGCAGGGAAAATTCTTACTAAAAAGAATTTAATAAGGACTCTTGTGGAGAAGAGACCAGAGGAGTGAGCTGATATCATACTTGGTATAGTCAGAATGTTGTGCCTGATGGGAGTGTAGTGTCAAGAGAAAGGAGAGTCACGGCCCTGTATGGGGGGAGTCAGGACTCTGCCCCGGCCTCTTTCTGCAGTTGACAATATTTAGTCCAGAGGAAGGATGAACTGATAAAGGGATTATGACTCAGCTGAAGGACTTGCAGATTTTTAGCACACAGTAGATGCCTACAAACACAGCCACCTCTGCACAGCAAAAGAAACTACCATCAGAGTGAACAGGCAACCTACAACATGGGAGAAAATTTTCGCAACCTACTCATCTGACAAAGGGCTAATATCCAGAATCTACAATGAACTCAAACAAATTTACAAGAAAAAAACAAACAACCCCATCAAAAAGTGGGCGAAGGACATGAACAGACACTTCTCAAAAGAAGACATTTATGCAGCCAAAAAACACATGAAGAAATGCTCATCATCACTGGCCATCAGAGAAATGCAAATCAAAACCACTATGAGATATCATCTCACACCAGTTAGAATGGCAATCATTAAAAAGTCAGGAAACAACAGGTGCTGGAGAGGATGCGGAGAAATAGGAACACTTTTACACTGTTGGTGGGACTGTAAACTAGTTCAACCATTGTGGAAGTCAGTGTGGCGATTCCTCAGGGATCTAGAACTAGAAATACCATTTGACCCAGCCATCCCATTACTGGGTATATACCCAAATGACTATAAATCATGCTGCTATAAAGACACATGCACACGTATGTTTATTGCGGCACTATTCACAATAGCAAAGACTTGGAACCAACCCAAATGTCCAACAATGATAGACTGGATTAAGAAAATGTGGCACATATACACCATGGAATACTATGCAGCCATAAAAAATGATGAGTTCATATCCTTTGTAGGGACATGGATGAAATTGGAAACCATCATTCTCAGTAAACTATCGCAAGAACAAAAAACCAAACACCGCATATTCTCACTCATAGGTGGGAATTGAACAATGAGATCACATGGACACAGGAAGGGGAATATCACACTCTGGGGACTGTGGTGGGGTCGGGGGAGGGGGGAGGGATAGCATTGGGAGATATACCTAATGCTAGATGACACATTAGTGGGTGCAGCACACCAGCATGGCACATGTATACATATGTAACTAACCTGCACAATGTGCACATGTACCCTAAAACTTAGAGTATAATAAAAAAAAAAAAAAAAAAAAAAAAACACAGCCACCAGAGGTCCTCTGATAATCAAATTAACAAGTTATAGCTAAGTGGAGGCAGATTTGGGTTTAATTTTGAAAAAGAGGCTCAATGTCTATTTCTTCACGGGGAATACTGCAGAGGGCATTCACTCTCAGAGTTGGACAGGATACATGCCAAAGGCCCCTTAAAATTGGACATTATATTTGTCATTTAGTGTCATGGTTATTCAAAGTACTCTGAAAATTTAAAGAGGTAGGCAGTTATAAACACAACCTAATAGAATAAAAATAAAATCTGCTAGAAAACACACACACAAATTTTAAACACAACAGACCTCACCCTACTGATGTGTAGAAGCATTTGTTTCAGGGTCACAGTGAAGTAGGAATCACTAATTCAGTACTGGTGGTGTGGAGAGACCAGCAATTCAAAGTTAAGAGATAGGAGTTTTCATCTCAATATTCTAAAATCTTGTGACCAAAACACGAAGCAGCTTAAATTTCTGGGGCTTCGCATAGAGCATTTACAGCATAAGTTTGGAGCAGATAGTCTTTAAGGTGCATTTCAACTCTCAGTTTCATAAATGATACACAGATAGGCCTGTCCTAAATGGTAGCTGAACTCCCTGACATCAACCGTAGCAAATACTGATCGGATTCTGCAATGTAGAAATGGGAGCATATTCCACAAAGCAACAACTTTCGTGCTGCTATTGACCGTATCTCAAGAGTTCCATGACTGATTTTGGTCTCTACAAAGTAAAGAGAAAGAGGTAATTTTGAGTCTATCTGATACTGAAGCAAAAAAGGAAAAACTCCCTGGGTGACGGAGTTTTTGAGGGAAGGCTGAGGAGCTGAGACTTAACCTGAAGAAGAAAAATCTGGATGAGTGGTTCGCAGCAATAATCAGTTACAGGAAATCATGTGGGTGCTGGTGAGCAGATGTTTTCTGTGTCAGATGAGAGCCAAACAAGGGAAATGAACTCAGAGACTTAAGAGTAAAGTGGAGGTGTTTATATTTTTTGGGGGGGTGCCCTATGTCTCTAAATGTTTTTGAGAGAATGAACTGTGTTAGCAGGGAAAGTTGACAAATCCCCTTATCTGAAAGTTGTAAGAAAAATTGCAGGGCATTCTCTGCCAGATTAAGTGTAGTTCTAGGTGACCTCATGATATTTTCCACTGTATTACCTATATAATAAGGTGAAAATTCAGATAACATATGAAATTCAAAATATGCCCATCTTGAAAAACAACCAAGGTCTGTAGTATACCAGCTGATGATGACGTGATTTCATTTGGTTGTTCAAATATATTCTTGAAGATACTGTCTAACCTTAGTACCTGAGAAGTGCTTTGCTCTCCTAAAACTCAGGGCTGAGTATATTTTTACTTTGGCTGACAAAACCAGGGATTATAGTGATAAAAGTCCTGTATTCCTTGATGAAGTTGAACTACTTGAAGTTGCTTCTGCATTTTAGTTGTTACAACACATTAACATTTTTTTAAAATCAAAGTATTAGCTCAGTCAGTATCCTTGCATATTTAGGAAAGGAGCTACAGTGCTATCACTTAATTTTTCCTAATAGCTCATATAGTTTAAAAATGATTTCTATTTTTTAAATTATTATTATTATCATTTTTTTTTTGAGAAGGAGTCTCACTCTGTGACCCAGGCTGGAGTGCAGTGGCCTGATCTCAGCTCACTGCAACCTCCATCTCCCGGGTTCAAGCAATTCTCCCGCCTCAGCCTCCCAAGTAGCTGGGATTACAGGCGCATGCCACCACACCCAGCTAATTTTTGTATTTTTAGTAGAGACGGTGTTTCACCATGTTGGCCAAGCTGGTCTTGAACTCCTGACCTCATGATTCACCTGCTTTGGCCTCCCAAACTGCTGGGATTACAGGCGTGAGCCACCACACCTGGCCAAAATTATTATTTAGTACAGTCATATCATAAATTTTCTTTGCATAATACCTGTTATACAGTACGTGTTGTGCTATTTACATAATTAATCTGATCTTTAAAAAAAATCTCAGCACCTAGATGCTTGGCTAGGTTTTCTTTCCTTAAAGAACACAGAGAAATTGTTTCAGAACGTTAGCCAGCCCAGATGTTTTGCACAGGAGCAGGTTTTGACGAAGGTGAGTGTAGCATCTTTAGAATTTAAGAGAAGAGCTTGGTAAGCAATTCTTTCTGCTGTACACCAAAGCCTTGCTTCGCAAAATGTGGTCTGCGGGACTGGCAGCGTCTGCATCACTGGGAACTTGTTAGATAGAAACGCAGAATCTCAAACTACTTAACCAGAATCTGCATTTAAAAAACACAGCCGGTTGATTTGTGTGTACACTGAAGTTTTAGAAGCATTATACTAAATAACTCTTGGGAACAGAGACGAGTTGGTTCCTAATCAAAGACAGGCAGAGATGCAGTTTGTCTGCCGGGCATCTCTGAGGACAAGACAGAATTGTTTCAGTCAATCCAAATGAGAGATTGATACATTCCCATCATTGACATTGACCCCCTATAACAGTGAATCTCGCTTGGAGGCCTCTTGTGTACCTAGGCTACACCTTTACCAAGCTTGCTTTTTTTCTTCAACCCTTGGCAGCCACTGGTCTAGAGGATACAGTCCAAAGTACATGTAGCATAACATAATTGAATATTACATTTCCAGTGCATCACCTATTACATTTGAACTAACATCTCTTCCTGCTGTCCTTATACCCTCCATTTGTACAAGATGACTCAACATACCTTCCATATCTAATCTAGGCTTGCTCATGTCTTTTTCTCATCCTGGAATTCCTCTCTTTCTATTTCTGTAGAAATTCTTCACATATT
This sequence comes from Homo sapiens, assembly GCF_000001405.40. Classification (NCBI taxonomy): domain Eukaryota; kingdom Metazoa; phylum Chordata; class Mammalia; order Primates; family Hominidae; genus Homo; species Homo sapiens. Next base: position 181,771,181 of record NC_000004.12, on the reverse strand, counting down.
TAAAGGCACACATTAAAGCATATTGTGGCCATGAAATCTTTCATAATCAGAATTCATCACATTCTACCAGGTGAATCCATAACATCTTGTTCTCTGCATGTGCAATGGTTAAGAGCTTTGAAGATTCAGGAACCCGGACTGAACACCCATTCCTTACTGGAGCTGCAGTCTTGGCCAAGTTTCTTAGTTGGTTGGATCATTAGTTTTACCATCTGTTAAATAGGGACAACAATAGTATCTTCCTCAAAGGATGATCATGAGGATTAAAAGAGATAATTGTATAAAGAGTTAACGGAGTGTGGGGCACACAGTAAGTTTGCAATAGATATTTGATGTTATTGAAATGAGAATGATCTCAAGCTTTCATGTACTAACATACATATCATAGATAGTGTTTGTGGGCTACATGTGCATGTTTCCATCATACTAGGTGATAGATTTCTTGAGTGCAAAGATAAAATTTTATCTGTGAACTTCCTCACTCTTTTTTTTTTTTTTTTTTTTTTTGAGACAGAGTCTGGCTCTGTTGCCCAGGCTGGAGTGCAGTAGCTCAATCTTGGCTCACTGAAAGCTCCACCTCCCAGGTTCATGCCATTCTCCTACCTCAGCCTCCCAAGTAGCTGGGACTACAGGCACCCGCCACCACGCCCATCTAATTTATTTGCATTTTTAGTAGAGACGGGGTTTCACCCTGTTAGCCAGGATGGTCTTGATCTCCTGACCTCGTGATCCACCCACCTTGGCCTCCCAAAGTGCTGGGATTACAGGCGTGAGCCACCACGCCCGGCCAACTTCCTCACTCTTAAGACAGTGAGGTTAGCACTGGCAAGTGATAGCCTTACCACAATAAATTGCATCTAATCATAATTTTTTCAATCGTAATGTAAGCCAATTTGTTATTTTGGTTTCAAAAATATTATGAATAGTCACATTCTCTGTAAATTATTTATTCATATATATAACCCCTCAACCTTCCCATCTCCATAGTAATTTTTAAAAGCTTTCCTCAAATGCCTTTTCTGCAATACCATAATCACGTTTATGGATCTTCCTTCCAAGATCCTCCACACTAACCCCCCAGCCCCAAACTGCATATTCAACAATTAGATTTTATCGGGTTCTACCGCTTCCCCGTTGTAACTGGGCGCAGCCACAAAGGGTTCCAATGTGTCTCATGACTTTTAAATACAACTGTATTTTATTTTCCAAAAATTGTACCATATTTTTGATGTACAAATTTTTAACTATTAAACATACATGACATGCTTTCCCCTTAGTTTTAGGCTCTATAAATTTAATAGACATTGGTTAACATAAGAATTATAAAGATAATCTCCACAAAAGGGGTGTAGTAAATGATTAAACATGCAATAAGAGAAACATCCAATTCCTCCTACATATTATGGCTGCAAATAATAATACGTTCCAGATGTATTTTATTCTCAAAACAAATGATTAAAAATAGGGCAAAAAAATTCCACAAATCAGTTATTAGAGACTACACCTAATCACTGCAAATGGCTTGAGTCAATTTATTTGTACCTGGATATGAATATATCTCATGTCTTTATGTAGATATTTAATGTTTTAACCCATTGATGAATGATCGGATTTTAAAATCAGAAAATGTTTTAATAATAATTACAAATAAGTTTTATTAAGTGCTAACTGTAGCTTAACCACTCGACAGATTTATATTATTTAACCCAATGAGGAGGAGCCATTATTATATCCACTTGGTAGATGGTGACACTGAGGCTTACCCAGTGAAAGCGCCCAAGGTCAACACCTAGTAAGTGATTTAGCCAGAATAAAACCCAGGCTGTGTCATTCTAAAGTTTACATTTTAAACACAGCAATCTCTCCTTTGCATGCGGAAGCTGAAGCTCAGAGTGTTTAATATCCAAGGTTAATATACCATTTGTTAGTGACAGACCAAGGCTTAAGTCACATGACTGCTATTTCTATGCTTTTTCGAGATTCTTCACAAGAGTTGAGTTAGATTGTCTGCATGAATATCTTTTAAAGATAATGAGTAAAGCTGACTTAAACGACCCCCTTAAAATCGTGGCTACCCTATAAAATCCAATCAAACAATTATCAATTCCATAATGAAATTCACATATCAAAAAGCTCAGATAAGCGCTCCCTGCTAAAAGAGAAAAAAATCTCTTGAAAACGAGAACTAAGTTTCAATGAAGGTCATTATCTTGAAAGCTTTCAAATGTTCACAATGAAACAAAATTTCTAAGTCAAGATTTAAAAAAAGGAAAGGAAATGGAAATAAAGTAAATGAGAAAGATGGCAAGATGGGTTTCATCTTCTCTATACATTTTATGTTTTCATGTGGTTCTTATATTTTAATTGCCTATAAGATTGAGAAAACATTGAGGGCCATAAATATTTTATGTCTCCTGCTATCACATCATAATAAATCATTTGATATTTGTGTCTTTGATAGGAATGTAGCCAATATAATAATAAAAGCATACTTATGAATAACTTCTGGTTTGATAGAAAAAAAAGGCACAGCATTTTGTCATATAAATTGGCACTGGTATCACAACATAATACCGTGCTAATGAGGGAAAAAAACTAAAACTCTGTGATAAAGGAACATTGAATTTATCTAACATTTTAGTTCATTCAGAAAGACTTTATTGTTGAATAATTGCAATTTTGCCTTTAAAACTAAGAACTATTTTTGTATTAAGACTATGAGTAAAGAGTTCTAATGTTTTAGACGGAATTGCTTAAACACACAATAATTAAACCTGTAAAGCAGAGTTTTTCAGCCTTGGCACTACTGACGTTTTGGGCTGCACAATTTGCTGCGAGGAGCTGTCCGGTGAATTTTAGACCAGTTAGCGTCATCCCGGGCCCCTACTCACTAGAATCAGTAGCAGAGCACAAATCCCTCCTCAATTCCTGATAACCAAAAATGTCTCCAGACATTGGGAATATCCCCTGGGGCACAAAATTGCCCCTTATTGAGAACTACTGATTAAAAGTAATAGTCTAAAAGGTCAAATAATTGTACTTCATGTCCTTTATCCAAAACTCTGCTAAATACTTTTCAGATTGACTAGTTCTTGATATTCACATCCGCATGTCTACAGACCAAGGTTTAAATAACATTTTCCACAGTTTTCAGTTGAATAGCCATTTGCCTTCTGCATTTACATTAAAATTATTACTTGTCAATATGCATTAATTTAAATTTTGCAATCAGTTACACATATAGATTTTTCTTAAACCTGAGGATACCTAACCATTTTCATGGATGTCCTCTTATTCACTTAAATTTCTCAATCTTCCTAATTAGATGAATATGATTTTCTCCTTCTCATTTAGATTAATAGACTATATTAAAATATGCCTTGAAGATAAGCAGTTTGGGATTTATCTAAAATCACAATTAGTTGAATAACTAATTCATAGACCAATATTTCCCAAAACTGTGGTCTATGAATCACCTGTCTCAGAATTTCCTGAGATGCTTGTCAGTGTTATAAATGATTGGGTCCCTTCCTAGACCTACTGAGTAAGACTCTCTGGAATAGGATCCAGTGATCCACAGCTTAAGCCTCCCAGGTGATTCTGAAGCCTCCACATTCAAAAGCCATATACATAGACCACAGAGACAAGAAAGGCAACGTACTACTGAAATGATCCATTCAACGGAAATTATAATGTATTTATTCCTTGCAGGACCTCGTTTGATTCCAGCTTACACATCATAGCCACCTTATGTTGATTGATGATAAATTCCTTATTGGATTTTCACTTGAATATATTCTCCCTTTGTTATTACTAAATTATTTCTTATTTCTGAGATGGTTTTGTTTTTTCTTTCAGTATACTTCTTGAATTTATTTGAATTTCATTGACTGTGATTTTGTTTTCTTTCTTTTTTTTTTTTTTTTTTTTGAGACGGAGTCTCGCACTCTCGCCCAGGCTGGAGCGCAGTGGCACCTTCTCGGCTCACTGCAAGCTCCGCCTCCCGGGTTCACGCCATTCTCCTGCCTCAGCCTCCCGAGTAGCTGGGACTACAGGCGCCCGCCACCACGCCCTGCTAATTTTTTGTATTTTTAGTAGAGACGGGATTTCCCCTTGTTAGCCAGAATGGTCTTGATCTCCTGACCTCGTGATCCGCCCGCCTCGGCCTCCCAAAGTGCTGGGATTACAGGCGTGAGCCACTGCGCCCGGCCTCTGGTTTTAAGTTTTGAATTTCTGATTCTATTTTTAAAAATATCTCCAAATTCTTGTTTGATGATTCGACATTCAAATTAGAGTATTGTGTTAACAATTCTCTTCTGCTTTGTGGTGGTGTTTTGGAGAGAATTTTGATAAGCTCATGTTTTGATTTACAGGAACTGTTTTCTCCTTAAAGCGTCTTTGGATGGAATTTTGCTTTTTTTTTTTTTGAACGCCTACATACTTTATGTCAGGGTCCCTAGTTCAAGCACACCCCCTTCTGTTGGTACAGTGTTTGTGTGGTTTTCCTTTTAAAGTATGCTTCTGAGGAATCCTTTTTCTTTGACTTCTTTCCCTTCACTCTCATTTTTGGTGGTACACTACACATATTTCCATTTAACTCCTTTTCTCTCAGAAGAAATAGATCTTGGAGCCTGCCACCTCCACTCTGCTCACCCCAAGCTGCTTTTCTGTACCTGGTGCTGGGAACTACCAAGTTTTAGACCTGTGTTTACTATTTCGGCAACAAGTATTGCACTTTCTCTTTCTGGGGGTAATTTTTTTCACTGCTGCTTGTGTTTCCAACGGAGTTACTTAAGCCCCTACTCCCCGATTCTCTACATCCACTGCTAGCTGGTGGCAACGGTAGGAGCCCGGCTGGAATTTGGAATTTACTTTCTGTCTCCTAGTAATGCAAAAGGCATGAAGTTTTATTTGCTGTCCTTTATGTTTGCTTTTTAGCTTTTGCGCAGAGGATTTATGGAGAGACTTGGATCCCAGTTGCTGGTCTTATCCTCCAGTGGCTCAGTACTTCGTGATGAGGAAGTTGTACCTTCTTGGAGCCAGGCATGGAGGCGCATCTGGGAGTCCAAATGAGGGCTCCCAAACATGCAGAGAAATTTCAGAGCCTCAGTTCACACGCTTTCACCCTTTCCGTCAGAATTATGTTTCCCAAGTTTCTTTCTGATATAAACTAGGTGGATCACTGTTCTCATTTCAGAAGGAAAGCTGCTTTTTGACTTCCTGTCCTCTTCTGCTTCCTGCTGATCCACATAACTTAACACTTTATAAAACTCTAATGCAGATATGTATGGTAAATTACACTAGTGCCTCTTCCACACTGTATTATATCTTTAAATTATGGCAAATAATAACAGGATTGATAACATTTATTTTCCTTTCTAAACCTTTTCCCTCCAAGATTGCAGCTGTACTGCATTTTGGTGGTGATGATGGGGGTTTAATCAGAACATAATTCCACATACTCTGCAATATAAGTGTTTATTGTGCCTCATTATTTATGTATTTTTCAGTTCTCATTGATGACCGAAGGGAAGCTTAGCAGTATATTATGATGATTTGACTTGAAAGTAGCTGTTTTTTCCCCAAAGTCATTGACAACAGTTTGCTTCTTTTTGAATCAACATTTGTGAGGTCATCTTATGTTATGTTTTTCTATATGTAACAACATATTGTGTTGTTCTTTTCCCTTTTTATTTTTCAGTCGTGAAATCAGAGATTCATAGCGGGTTGTTGCAGTAATCATTAATATCAATGTGGTAATTCTATGAATGCTTCATTTCTTTTCAAATGAGCAAGAAAGAAATGATTTTTATGAAGTAAGAAATAATCCCATTTTTTCCATTATCACACTCAAAGGACTTCACATCACAGATCCTGCTTTTTATGGTCATACATACGTCAACTTTACACATAATACATAATAAACATTTCCCAAGAGATCAGACCTCGGAATCAATAAAAAAGATCCATGCAAAGCATTTTGTTAAGAACAAAGTAACAGGACAAAATAGAAATTTGTTGGGAAAAACACAAAGCTCAGGTACATCTTTCTGAATCAAATAGTGTAGGAAAAATGAAAAATAGCTAATTCTGCTTTTCTTTAAAATGAAACGTCCTAAGTAAATTTAAATTGAAAAATCATTCTTAGGGAGCATGATGATTCTGGATTATGTTCAAAGTCACACACTGCTGGACACAGTGGTTCATGCCTGTAATCCCAGCACTTTAGGAGCCTGAGGTGGGAGGATCCCTTGAGCCCAGGAGTTCAAGACCAGCCTGGGCAAGACAGTGAGACCTCTTTCCTACAAAACATAAAAATAAAAATTAGTCGGGCTTGGTGGCATGCCCCTGTAGTCCCAGCTACTCAGGGGGCTGAGGTGGGAGGATCACCTGAGCCTGGGACGTGAAGGTTGCAGTGAGCCGAGACTGTACTGCTGCAGTACAATCTGGCAACAGAGCAAGACCCCATCACAAACAAAAAAAGCAAACAACAAAGTCACATGTGTACATTCATTCTCTAATAATTCATAAAGGTTTTAGGTAAACAAATACGAAAGCACTATCTTCTGGGGGAATAGTTGCTGAAAAATAATTCTTAACAATCATGTGCAGAATGTGAATAAATTACAGTGGATTTACCAACCACAGTAACCATAAGATGGCCAGATAAAGTACCAACTCTGAAATAATTACTCAAAGCTTAGATATTCTAAAATCAACGGTCTTTCGTTGGTTGTTGTTGATGTTAGAAAAGCCCACTGAAAATCACTATTGCTTACAAAATTCCATGATGGGGTGTTCTGTGTCATAAAGTCAGACTTTATGCAGTGGAGTGGAAGCAGGTAAATCAAAGGAAAGTGTGAGAAGGCTTTCTGAGATTACATCCTTTTACCATGTTTGCCAACCATGCAACAACAAATCTCTCTCTTCTCCTGTTTCTCCCTCTTCTTGTATGTCTTATAATTATTAGGACATTTAAAATTTGTGAATATAATATGAAGTTTTTTCTTTTGTTAAAAAGACATAACAAATGAAATCTTAATTTGAATTTTCCCCTTGAAAAATCTTTCTTTTAGAGGAGCAGAATATTGTAATATAGCCCCGAGTCAAGTTTGAATTGTTCCACTACATGTATACTGTTCTATAACCAAGGAAACAGAATAGTAAAAATTACTCATTTATATTTTTCAGTTGGACAAATCAGCTCTAGGCAACAAACACTGGCTGTATAGAAAGTCATAATCAAAATGATCTATAACAGTTCTGCCAATGTGTATGTCAACACACTCTCTGCGTTCATAAAAGTTTTCCATAACTGAATAAGAACATAAGTTAAAGTTCACAAATTAAGTATTCCTGTAATAAACAGTAACCTGATTTTGCCAAATAATTTTGACTTTGTTTTAGAATTAACTTGAGTTAGTGCTAAAAGGGATACTTATCAGCGAGGACAGAGGTTGTCAAGCTTCTTCTGTACAGGGCCAGACTGTAGATATTTTAGGCTTTGCAAGGCATACAGTGTCTGTTGTGATTACTCAACTCTGAAGACGTAGCAGTAAAAGCAGCCATAGATAATTAAGTGATAGGTGTGGTTCTGTTGCAATACAAATTTATTTATGAATGATAGAACTTGAATTTCATATAATTTTCACATTACAAAGTATGTTTCCTTTTAATTTTGTTCAATTATATAAAAATATAAAAATATTTCTTAGCTCATGGGCCATATAAAAACAGATGTAGGACCAGATTTGGTCCAGGGGTTATTGTTTTTTGACACTTTATCTGGAAAATTATGTTAATTGTTTTAGGGGTATTTGATAAATATGATGTTGACGCTAATTGTACTGAAGACAAAGAGGATTAACATGATGATGATGACTAAGAAGATAACTGGAGTGAACACTAGAACCAATCCAATGCATGTACCATTTAGAATACGAAGGTCAAATTTCTTGACCTTATGCAACAATTCCTTTAGTAAAATCTTCTTATTTTGTTGTAATGGTAGTTTAGCTCTCCACAGTAGTCCATCAATTTCTTAGATAAAAAAGAAGATTCCTATTTTTGTTTCAAATATAAATAGTCCTTGTCATTCATAGTCATCAATCATCATCCACTTGCTAAGATGTAACAGAAAGTATTATATATTTGTCATATTTGTTTCACAAGGTTTCAATCATATTTTTCCATTATGTGAATTTTTCCCTTGAAAGTAGAATATATATTGCTAATAAATATGTATTAATCTCGTTTTTTTTTTACTACCACTGTCTGTAATATGTAAATTGTAAAAAGTCTTCCACGTAATAATAGCTTTCCTACTTTAATTCAAATACAACTAGAGAACTAAAATCTAATCAAGAATCTGGCACCATGTCTAGCCATATCATTCTCTACTTGCTGTACTCCAACAGTGATTGGTTCAGGTTGTAAAAGTCACTGGTAAATAAGAAGTTTTGATAATGGGGTAAAAATGTTGATCATTTTGCAGTAATGTCCTGGCCAGTTTTGATGCTGTGGAAAGAAACATGGCTTTTTGTCAGTCCCTGCTTCTCACCCAAGAGTTGAGGAAGCTGGATTTCAGCCAAAGTTAAACTCTTAGCAGTCTCATTAGTTGAGCCAAAAATGAAGTTGACCTGCTTGCCTAAAGCAAAATAATATCCCAAATCAACTGCCACTATGATGGAGTCTTCAAACCATGGCTTACAGTGACCTTTTCTAACTGAGAGCATGATGCATTAAGCATCAAGGACCCCCAAAACAGATTGGAGCATGGACGTGGGCAGGGGGGAAATCCAGGTGGAATGGAAATGAATACACATATGGTGCAGATGTTTTTCGTCACTGATTTATTCATTCAAACTTTTATCCTGTGCTAGTACATGCTTGGCAGTGAGGGAGAGATTGTCCAGGAACTTGGAGTCTCATTCTACTGCTACCCACCTGGACTCCATCTTTGAAAAATTCCACCCATTAGACCAGAAGAAATTTCACCTTTCCCATCACTTCAGAATGACCCAGGAGGCAATTTCAACCTGTCTGTTTCTTTTACTCCCTTCTGAATTCTGTGAGAAAAACTTCCTAATAGCTATGATATTGACGGAGTGGTTGGTGCTGCTCACATCTGGAGGTAAACAAGAATTGCTTGTGAGCACGTATCATCCAGTGAGCCCACATGGACCAACAAAGTGGCCACTACAATTTGACAATAAAAGGGAAGATATTATTATAAAGAATCATTATGTCCTGGAAGTATTTTCTTGAATTGGTATTTAAGATGATGGATAATTTATATTTCAAAAGACACAAACATATTGTACACTTAGATTCATGCCTTAAATGTTAAAACCTATGTGCCAGGCAATGTGCTTGACATTTTAAAATAGATTCTCTCTCATCTTGCCCTAAGTCTGAATATGTAGCATATACGCCCAGTACTTAGGAATACTCGATAGGAAGCAGTAATTGAAAACATTTGGTAAATCACATAAAGATTTCTTCAAACATCTTTGTGAAGAACAAAATAAAATAACTATAATATGGTACATAATAAAATCACTAGTTTTTAGATGTGATGTTAGAATTATAGATCTATTTTTAGATATCTGAATTTAGTGGAATATGGTTGTGGAGAAGTAGGTTGAAATCAGTTTTCAAAATGATTATTTTTTTTTCCAGTAAGCCCATTATTCATGATAAAGGCTTCAGAGAATATGAGTCATTTCTCCATGTTATTTTGATGGTGAACTGTGGTGTGCAAATCACCAGTGCTTATCTTATTGTGCACAAATAAGTGACCTAAGTAGCTGCACAGTTGTTTATGTTGGGCCTCGTTCCTAAATGTCACCACGTTAACTTGCTATTTACTTTATACGGCAGTTATGAGAGATGATTCATCTCTCGTGTATAAGCACGATTTTTATTTTAGCCATCAATAACCGTGACAATGATAATACACTGTAAGACTGATAATGATGAGGTTTTTCCCTACCAGCTTAGTATAGTCGATAGTAAAAATAAAAAGATCAATAAAACCGTGAACTCTTGCCTTGACTAAGCAACTGACAATATAGAGACGTTTAGAGTAATTTGATTAAAATATGAACAACTAAATTAATCATGAATGATAATTTATAGAACAGACTTACCAAAATGATTATTCGGGGTGTGTGTGTGTGTGTGTGTGTGTGTGTGTGTGTGTGTGTGTGTATGTGTGTGGTGGGGGAGATAATGGAAGAAAAAAATCAAAGAAAGCATAAATAATCCTCATGGGTTAAAACCCAGGGTAAGGAAGGTAATAAGATGTCAGAAGAAATAATCATCAACCATATGATTCTCAAGGGAGAAGAGGAGAGGAAGGAGAGGAACCATATGATTCTCAAGGGAGAAGAAGAGGAGAGAATCATCAACCATATGATTCTCAAGGGAGAAGAAGAGGAAGGTAGTGGTCATCAAGGGCAGGCAGATCACAAGGGAATAACAGCTAGTTGGTCAAATTTACCATATCCTACTTATCAAATGTCTCCAAAGTGACTAGGAAGCCCTACCTTCTCCCTTGAAGCTCTAAAATGACTCCTGGATTGGGACTGATTGAAGTTTTTAGGTCATAGATCCCACTATCATAACCATAATGGGCCCAACTTAGGAGAAATTAAACTACAAATAATATATACTTACAAAGGTATAAAATTAATTCTGTGTTAACAGTGGGAAATTACACAATCGTGGTCTATTAAATTCAACTTAGATATACCTAAGTGACTAGATTAGTGCAAATAAAGGGAATTAGGGGAATATTTAGAAATTTTATTAGCAGTTTAAAAACAATAGAGTGGGGAGTGAAAAGTGTCATGTTTAAGGGGAATAATTATGGCAGATTTAACTGCTAAATTATTTTTAATCTTAGTTTGGGGGTCCTGTTTTGATTCAGAAATTAATGATGATATGTTTTAAATCTATATGTGGAGATTTTTTTTTTGGAGGAAGAGGGGGAAATCTTTCCATTGGTGACTTTTAGTTTAACTGGCTTATGGTCAGAGTATATGGTCTGTAAATCTCTATGTTTTGAAATTTGTTAAAGTTTGTTTCATCAAATTCATGAGTAGTTTTTAATATTTTTTCATGGAATAAGAGAAGTGCATATATTCTCTGTAGGCAGCATGGTGGTTGAGTCTTAAGACCATAGGCCCTAGAGCCAGACCTATCGGCTCTGCTGCTCTCTGGCCATGGAGTATTAAGCAAGTTACCTGTTCAGTCAGTGCCTCAGTTTCCTATCTATAAAAGGCTGTTAGGAAGAGTTTATGAGTTAATATGTCAAACCTCAGAAGAAAACCAGCATGTCTTTCTTGATGTAAGTATGATGTAATTGTTTATTAAACATCTATTATTTTTTCTACCTACTGTTTATCCACATGCATACACACACACACACACACACACACACACACACACACATCTGTTGATTGCATTATTTAAATCCTTGCTTTTTTCCTCTTTACTTAATTACAACTCTTAGAATTTTACAAACAAAGTCCTTACTTATCAAATGGTTTTATCCAGTTGTATTTCTGGAAGTTTGCATTATGTATTCTATGGCTATATTGCTTGGTGCAAATACATTTATAGTTTTTCATGCTTATGAACAGAACATTTTCCACTTCCATAATACTCCTTTTGTTCTATGGCTATAATCTTGAGTTCCACTTGAGATGATATTGATAAAGTAACTCCAACTTTTTTTTTGGTTTTTACATTTACCAGGCACTTCTTGTTTATCCTTATACTTTCAAACATGTTTTAAACCTTTATTTTAGATGTGCTTTTTACAAGCAGATGGGTTTTGTCTCTCATCTCAATCTAAAAGTCTTTGTCCCTCTATTGGAACCCTCATTTACACTTATTATCACATGAATTTCATTTCATTCTCACACCTTTAATAAACTATTTAATATTATATACTACTTAATTTTCTCATTTCTTTAATTCTCACTTTTGCTGAGTTCATCAAGTTTCTTTTAACTCATTTTGCAATCTCTATTTCCAACCTCCCCAGCTCCCCGCCCTGCATTAAAGGAAAATTATGTGAGGCAACTGTTATAAGCAGTAGATTTTAAATGGTTAAATTGTATTATGAATAGTTAAGAGCTACTGGTAGAAGATTTTATGTCAAAGAATGAAAATAAAACACTTAAACAATTTTTGTAAAACATGAGTTTGTTTAACAATGGAAAGAGTTGGTATTGATTTTTAAATGTGTTCCCTAAAATAGAAACTTGGTAGAAGACACAGTTGGTTTTTAAAAATTTACTTCTTTAAAAGTGGAATTCCAGAGGGTGTTGAATATTCTTTTCACAAACCACTGAAAACAGGAGGAAACAGAACTACATGTGCTCAAATGTAATATCTTTGTGAGGCCCGATGTAGGTGCTGGCTTTTAGTAATCTTTCCTGTCCAATGACATCAGATGAAAGCAGGCTGGCTGTCAAATATGTACAAGCTTGCACTTAGCTCAAAGTTGGGTATACAAAAATCGCAGTGATTCTTTTATTTATTAATCTATTCTGTTCCGTAAGGTGCAATTATCCTGTAAACATAGCATCTTAACACAGCTTAAAAAGCTAATTAGCGTAAGCCCTTCGGAAAACCTCAAACATTTTGGTCCTTCCAATTCTTCTATGCAAATGCTGCTCTGTGGAAAGTTCCCAGGCTGAGGAAATGGAAATCTTTCCAAAAATTCGTAAAGGCTCTGATCTGCATCCCCTCTTCACATTATCTTTACACTGTGTGATTTCAAAATAAAATATGTTTAAAAAGTTAAGCACATCAGTGGTTAGAGATCTTTGTTGAGCAAGCTAAGAAGCCTCCTTCTCCCTTCCCCTGAAGATGTGCAAAAACTTTTAACTGTCCTCATGCTTCTGCTGGGCCTTCTGTCCTTTATCCCATACATGTCCCCAAAGGAGCTCATTGGGAGGTAAATGAATGCAACAGATTCTCACTAAGCATTTTTATTCAAGTCCATCCATCGTCACATTCTGGAGAGCACTGGGGAAGTGAGGTGGGGAGCAGCAGTAAAAACAGTAGCGAGCTGTCAGTGGTACAGTTTGTCATTGTTCCCCACACAAAAGGCAGACTGTCACAATAAACAGCATTTACTCCTTTCATATTTGTGGCTTAGGGCTGGAGAAGGGGAGATGTCACTGGTCGTAATTGTAGAACACATAAATAATAATAGTAGCTTGCAAATCATAGATCAAAGAAAACAGAGGGAGTTGGCAGTGATGAAGGCAAGAAAACAGATGCTTCCAGCACAAGCTAATTTACTACCCTTTAAAAAATATGTTCTTCTTTCTAATAGTAAAAGTGGAATGATTGTGTTTGCCCTTTCAGCTGCAGGTAAGGGAGATGAAACTTCTAAATCATCGGTCTCATGAATTATTTTGGGCACACAAGTATGGGTAGACTGTTTTTCATTCAAGAGATATTTTATAAATTAATGGGCATTACCTTTACAAACTAGATGTGAGTGGTAATCCTTTTGCTGCCTGTAAACACTACTGTGTCGCGTACACCAGCTTGTTAAAGCCTGTAGGAATGCATGCATGAGGACTTTCAGATGAGCTTTCTTAGAGAGAAAAATTGATTTTGTGATCTGAAAAGAATTCCTGGTTTCTATTACATTTGGAGAGTCTGATCTCGTCAGAGGTAAGACATCCAGCACCCTGACGATTTCAGGCTTGAATTACACCTTCCCTTTTGGACTCTCCAAAACATGAGAAATATGACAGCATGCAATGCTAAAATTGAGTCTGCATATGATACAGACCCTGGGCAACCTTGTCATTCTCTGCAACCTATGGAAACTCAGTGGGAGAATTCCCATGAGATGACAGAGACTGAGAAACTCTCCCCACGCTATTACAATATTGGAAGGTGTGCTGCTGGTGAAGGCATTTACTGCTAGTGAAAAGTGTGTATTGTGGCTTCTAATAAAAACCTGTGAAACCACATGGGTGTAAAGTAATTTTTTTTCAACTTTTCAAGAAACTGTTGACAATGCTAAGTTCACTGTTTTAGCTTTGGGTGTGAAGTATTTCACCCTATTTGTGATGGCGGGTTTACATCTGTGCTGTAACCTATTCTTACAGCAACATAATTGGAACTAGATTTCACACACAGACAGGGTTTCTCTTTGTGGATTGCCTGTGATCGCCACCAACACAAAATATGATAAATTGTGTATGAATCACACATGTATATTAGCACTCTATGTGAGTATAGGAGGATTAGCTAGTACTTTTCCAAAGAAAGAATGCTTTGTCCTAATATGGAAAGTTGACAATCCCCAGGGCACAGAAGGAGCTAGGCAGTCCTGAGCATAATAGTGGAATGCCCTAGACAGGAGAATAACCTGGAGTTTACTTGTGAAGACATTTTGGCCATCAGCATGTCAGTAGTCAGGCTGCAAACTTTGCTGGTTGTTAGCCCTAACATTTGCTTTCGTGCAGCAGTTTTGACAGTTGCACTGCTCACAGCAAACTGCCATCGGAGTTTGTTCTGCTTCAGTGCCACTTGGCTGTCACAGCCTGTCATGAGGCAAGAAAGCTCTAAAAACCTAACCCCATCCGACAGGGTTTAATCATTCCTATTACTCCTGTTGCCTGCACAGGCCATCTTGGAGCACATAGCATTCAATTTTACCCTTCCAGCAGCACCTGTTTCATAGGCTTCCATTGTTTTATTATTATTTTAAACAGAGTGATAAGCTACATTGTTTTGAGGAGACAAAAAATCAGCAAAGAAATTGATTTATTTATCAAAACAATAATACTGAAATTGACCACTGATGAACCAAGCCCAAATGAAATGAAGGCTGTCTAAGTTTAAGTTGCTTTTTTTCCTATTTATGCTACCGGGCAAGAAGGGAGGTAACCCTTCCACTGTTTCACTAGGATAACAAGGCAGAAGGGAATTGGTTATTTCTCCATTAGACAAAGCATATGGGAAAAGACATTAGCAACTTTTGTCCCCGTCACCCTTTGTCTCGGATATCTTTACATGCACTTACTTGCTTTTCTTGATCTGTGAAATTAGGAGAGCCCACTTCTTGGTCAGTGGCCAACTCCTCTAGCACAGAGACACTCACTGAGGATTATTTAGAGATTTGGCACGTCATCGTCACATATTTCCCAAGAAAGTGCCCTCAACTGCTATCAATGACGTGACAGTGCACCAGAGATCACATACTTAGCCTCCTTTTTGCTTGTTAAAATAAGAGACAGCAATCAGGGGCAATATAATATTCCCCACCATAATGAAATGCAGACAGTCTTGTAAACACTACTAGTATTGAATTCATCAAGACCCAACAAACCTTGATTGATATTTACTCTTACAAACACATAGTAGTCTATTCCCACAGCAATCCACAGAGAACGGGAAAGGCAGGAGAGCAGCATTACTAAGGATAAAGTGACAGAAATGCATGTATTGATGTCACTTAGCCACATATGTTATAGTATCTCTTCTGGAGTACATGTTTGAGTTAAAAGTTGCTTAATTTTGGCCAAATATAATGATTTCACAGAATTAATATAAATAATTGGTCTGATTTCCGAATGGTCACTTCAACTTTGTGTTTAGACTCAAGCCATCTAGCACAGTATGTGTACTCAGATTTTTAAATTAATTGGCTCTTATCCTTTTAAGAAGTTTGACAAACTTCTTAGTTTATCCAAGGTATAATAGATTTTTAATTAGAACAATCTGAGTCTTTTCCTAGAATCATGTTATACCAGAAAAATAATCACATTAAGTAAAAAAAAAGTGAGTACAAAAAAGGAAAGAACATTTGCAAAACTAGTACATTGGAAAGTTTTAAATGGAAATAATAAAGAAAAATCGACAATAATGAAAAAACTAACTGAATACTCTGCAAGTAAGTGAATGGTGAACAATTGGATACAAGATTAGGAGGCCTTTTGTTCCCCTCCTTTTAAATATCATTAGAATAAAATGCAATAAACACAGGCTAGTGTCTAGGATATGTGGAGAGACCAAGGACTTCACCACTTTAATTTACTGGCATCTTGGCATAAAATTGCCCAAGCAACTGGTACTGAGCTGACCCTCATGTCTGATACAGGAGAAACTAGCAAGAGTTCACTGGCAACCAGCAAACCCTCATGTTTGCCCTTGAGAGCTGACTTTCCAAAATCTAACAAAACACGTGACCTTGATAATGTCTTTGGAAAGGTAACAATAATCAAGGCTAGAGGAATCCTTTGGCCTGTACAATAACATTTTCGTATTCTGGGGGTTGCATGTTATATTAATTAAGGGTCATGACTAATAATGGAATAGAAATGTCAGACATGGATTGCTATGAGACAATTAGAAACTCTTTAGAATTGTCCAATCCTGAAACGAGAGTCATGACTGTAGTTGCGTTTGCCTGCTATCCAAGGCCCTCCAGAACATGGTTCAGCCTACCTTTCCAGCTTTCTATAATCACCTCCCAATCACAACCCTCACATCCAATCCAGATTGGCTTAGTAATCATTTCTTAAACATATTTAATACATCTCCACTGTCATTCCTTTGTTAACGGCACTTTCTATTGAAATGTTCTTCCCTTCTTTACCATTTGAGATATTACCCATCTTTTGAAGACCCATTTCACAATCTTTCTTATCCATGAAATATTTCCTCATTTCTCCACCCAAATATGTCTCTTTCCTTTACTGAAACATCTAAAGCATAGTGTTTGTATTTTCCTGACAAAAATAGTTTATTTTACATCTGTCTTTTTCTCCCTATTGTTTTATAAGCAATTTAAGAGCAAGGATTATGTGATTGTCTGTGTGTGTGTGTGTGTGTGTGTGTGTGTGTGTGTGTGACTGGGATATAGAACATAGTGCTGGCAAAGGCATTAAATGAAGATGATAAGTTGTTTCTTTGTTATTGTTCTTTCTTTTATTTTGTTAAAACCATCATAGATAACTTCAAGACTCGCTTTTGTCAAATATACTAATGTGATTGCCAGTCTAGTTACTTGATGGAAGACTTGTGATTAGTAAACTGATTTATAGCATAAAAGATAGTTTAAATATCTGCTGACATAACTATATGTATAAAAAGTGTTTTGCAAAAAACATACTTGTCAATCTCATACAGTTGCTTCTTTCCCCACATCATTTTACTTCCTAAATGAATCAAGCCTCATTAAGCTCCCAAATTCTATTAACTCCCCCCAGTGTTGCCTGCCGGCTGAGGAATCCCAGCCCATCATTTTGACGAATACAGACTTACATAGTCCCTCCTCTGTACCTAGTACAATGTGTGGGTATGACATGCAAGGAGATCTCTAAGTCACTCTGCCATCTGCATGTTCAAAGTAAAAAACAACAAAACTACATGCAAATAATAAGCAGTACCTAAAACATTTCTTTTGGGACCTAAAACTGTAATACGTTACTAATGTTACCCATAGTGTCTTTTCAACAGGGTCTGTTTGCTGTTGACTTCAAAGGAAGTCTGTTTGATAATCAGCAAATAATCTAAAATTGAGAAAAATGGCTCATGCCAAAGCACCAACCTGTACAAATATTTTTATATACCGAACTCAAGATAAATCCATCTTTTTTTTTTTTCATTTTTGCAAAAACAACTGTGGGTATTATCCCAAAATAGCTGACTGTTAACTAGACCACTAGCCAGATCTCTGATGCTCCACGCGGACTCTGGCTGTTGCGTCTCCATCTGTACAGCCTGCTGCCTGCCTGTTTTGAGTTATGGGGAGCAAAGAAGGGAATCCAAGAGATAAGGATTCAATGGCATAGGTTGCCTCTGCTCATGCTTTCATGGGGGAGATATTTTTCTCTTTTATGCTTTGACAGTGTCTGATTATATAGGATTCCAACCAACCTCCTCACTTTTAAAGCATTTCTGTGTGAAGAACACCTGACCTAGAGTTTGCTGAATACCAGGTGCAGATCTGATTAGCTTCAGGTGTCCTAATGCTATTTGTACACATGTATTTCAGCTCTTTCTCATCCTTTGAGTCGATTTTTTTTACACTTCCAAACTTGAGGATTCTTATGTCCTTTAAACAAATAGAATGACACTTATTAAGCAGAGGAATGCATTTGTAAGATGAATCAATGAATCATAATCACATACTTCCACATCCAATGTTAGGTTTCAGCTATGAACACTAAATCTCTATGGTGTGAGTGACAGCAGGTAAAGGTTTTAAACTCATTCCAGCACATGGGATAAGTCTCGTCAGTTATTAAATTGCCACTGAGCTATTTTTAGTTTCTTTTTTTTTTCAGTACTCCTTTATTTTTTCTTGATCACATGATATGCCATGATTTTAAAAGATCTATTTTTTTTTCTATTTCGGAAACAAAAATAGAAATTCCTACCAACTGCTGACTTGACTTTTTCATAATTTTACTTTCTGTTCTGTGCTGTCTGCGGCAGGGGTTTGAGAAAATAAAACGGAGGATGTTGTGAATGACTCATACTCCAAAAAAATAAAATGATACCATTGGAGTGTGAGATAATAAATACTACTTTCCTTATTCTGTTTTGATTGATACCTACATTCCATTTTTATTTTTTTTTGAAATGGATTCTCGCTCTGTCGCCCAGGCTGGTGTGCAGTGGTGTGATCTCTGCTTACTGAAACATCCGCCTCCAGGGTTCAAGCAATTTCCCTGTCTCAGCTTCCCTAGTAGCTGGGACTACAGGCACCCGCCACCACGCCCAGCTATTTTTTTTGTATTTTTAGTAGAGATAGGGTTTTACCATAATGGCCAGGCTGGTCTCAAACTCCTAACCTGAGGAGATCTGCCCGCCTCGGCCTCCCAAAGTGCTGGGATTACAGGCGAAAGATACCTACATTCCATTTTAAAATCTAAACGTAGTAACGAGGAATTTCAACAACTTACGTTATGGGTGACCTTGTCAGAAACAAGTCTCATTTCCTTTCTACAGAGCTGGGGTGCTGGAGAGAACCGTAGTTGGGCCACAGCCTGAGAGTGAGAATATCAAAAGCAATGGCCTTTATAAAACAGAAATTAGGAATGTGAGTCCAGGCTGCTGCTTTTAAGCTAACGAGTTTAAAAGCAGCAAATCTGCTAAAGGGAATTGAAATAATATGCAAGAAAGCCAAGTCAGGAAACAGGAGATAAGAATCAAGGTGATGGATTACAAAAAACCTGTGGTATACCTAGTGGAGAGGGGTAGGCTCAGGCTCCTGCAGGCAAGTTGTGACACTGGCTCTGTGCCTTCTTTTCTGTTCTTAATTTACAGGTCAGTCTTCGTCCCCAACAAAAGATCATGACAAAAATTCTCAATCAAAACTCCCACCCCAACACAAACAATGCGTGATACCAACTAATTTACGTGGAAAAAAACTAAACTTGGATGGAGGAAAGTGCCAGCACCTGCTCTATGGCTACAACCGTAGGATTTTTTCTGTAGCAATGACTGTTGGTTCTTGGTGTGATGAGGCTGGTGCTCATGCCCGCTACCCTAGGGCTTCCCTTAGGCTGTTGTACTTTTGAAAATGTGTAATCAGCGAGGTGGGATGGTTAGCACTCTGGACTCCGACAATGTGTAATCGGTTCTGGATCAGAAAGCAGGTGCGTAACAACACTGTGAGGAGAGAGTTCCTAGAATGGGTCATAGAAGAAGTGTAATAGTCTTGGATTGCAGACTGGGAAAACGGCAGTTTCTTGTTTTTTTTTTTTTTTTTTCCTTTGGAAGGCTGTAGTAGTTGCTAAATTCAATTTTAAAAACGATTCTAACTTTAACATCAGCAGAAAACAAGATGGTTTGTTGGAAATAGTTTGGGCTTCCAAATTAATTCTTGAGTTAAAAGACTGGACTCTTCATTTACTGAGGAGCTTTACATGACTCCATTTTCCAGTCCCTAAATTAACCCTAACCCCGCAATGCTATTGTTAACTTTGAGGAAGTAAATGACCCTGAATCTCTAGCATGGAGATTTTAACAAAATAAGTGCTAATAATGTATCCCAGTAAACATAAATATATAAAATACAATTTTGATCATCCTACTGTGTGGTATGAGTAGCTGAAACTTAGTCATGTGGCCAGTTTGAACAAGCAGCCAGCTGGTGAAAGGAATATTTTCACAAATTATTGCATGCTGAAATATTTTAAAGTAGGGGTCTCTCTGTAGAAGCAGATACAGCCTAAGTCAAGGGCATGCTGGTATGAAAATTAAAACAAAGTAATTGATTGTCCTTTTCTAAAAATGCAGAGGTGCTCTTCAATCACTCCTGTCGCGTACTGATCTTGCTGGAAGCCAACAGCATTCTTTTATATCATAGTTCTCTAAAGATAATGCTATGGGTATCTGTTACCGTTTTTAAGAACTACCCAACATGTGGGTGGCCCAAAACCGACCCAACAAATCTCAGATAAGCATAAGAGAAAGTTGCGGCCTCTTTGCTTTATTTGATATCTACCCAATATGTGATATTTGGTGGGGAACAATCTGTGGGGTGTTATACAAGGAAACATTTTGGGCTAATTAATGTCCTGGAATGAACTAGAATGAGTGCTTTCCTAAGGCTGACCTGACACAACAAAAAGTTTGGAATAAAATCCTGTGGAGATGTATTTCTAGAAAAGGAGTAATTGGATCCACTGAGTAGAAAAGTTAACTCTGCCTAGTTCAGCTAAACAGAAACCAGAAGAAAGGGCTAAAAAGGGTTTTATTTTATTGTTGTGATAGACCTAGGGACCTATTATAAGTGATAAAGTTGGTAAAACTGTTAAGCACAGAAGATGAAATTTTCTTTAGCTTTCCCTAACTTTTTCATCATTTAGGACACATACTAGGCACCAAATAAGACATGGTCCACCCTTGCCTGAAGAACTCATAATTCTGCTCTCCTCTCTTGAGGTTCTTCTACCCCCCAACCATGAACAAAGTGAGCTTTCAAGCCACCTTCCAGTAGCTCAGGATCACAGTAACACCTCACCCAAGTTTCGTGGCTGGAAACCTTTACTTTTCACGTCCAATAAAGCATCCCTTTCCCGTGTCCTTTCTTCTCTGCTTTCCGCATGGACCAAAGCAGGTGGACAAACTCATCTCTGTTAAGAGGCTGATCACTCATCAGTGGGTTCTATCTCATTGACTTGGGAGGGATTTCTTTTTAATAAGGGATCACTGAAGACACAGAGATGAATCCAGAGAAATAAATAATTAATGGTACTGTGATAAGACCGTAAGAGACATATTTCGGGCAAGTGGGTGGTTCTTAAAGGAGCCCCTTTAAGAGCACCTTGTTAAGGACTATTTGATTCGCACATTAAGCTAACTCTAGTCTTGCCACTTACAGAAAGAGGTCAAATTTGATAATAACGGGCATTAATTTAAAGAGACAAAATTAATGGTCTGAAGTTGCAATATAACTTTCATCTTGCAATATTCACAAAAGAAGCTGAGCTTGTTAACACACCAACCATCCTAAAAGTATACAATATTGACAATAAAAGCACAAAATATAATAACTTTAAAAAGAAATCTTCTTTTGAAACACTGCTAGCCAGAGTGCTCTGCAGATGAAAAGCAGAGAGAGACTTTCTCTTTATTACAGTCACATACTTGCCCTCAAACATTTTGCTTTTGAATGGGCAGAAATGAGTTTTCTTATTTTTTAAAAAAGCAGCATTTCAAACAATGTGTTTGCTTGTGATAAGAGATCTGTTTTAAGGTCTTTACAAAAGAGGACCTTCAAAACGGTACGTTACAGGGGAAAGCATTAGGATTACAAATCACACTGATTTTAAAGGACCCCAAAATCTGTAAAATTGCCCCACCCTTGCCAAGTTCTTTCTGCAAGATGCATTTTTCTTTTTCCTCAGGAAGATTTATGTTAGAGTTATTTGTTAGTGCTGCTTTGTGAAGAAAAAAAAAGCCAAAAAGGACCTCTTTTAAAATTTCTCAAAACAGTTCCCACCATTTTTTTTCCTAATCACAAGGGATAAAGTCAAATTAATGTATTTTCTTCCTAGAAATCTCCTCTGGAACAATCTTGTTTAGAGAATAACCACTTAGGAAGCCAACTTTACTATTACATTTTTCTTGCTATGTCTTTCCTTGAAAGTAAATGCTTCACTTTAGCATCTTGATCTTATACCATTATAATAAATGTCCTCTAACATAGAATTTAAAAAATATGTTTGACTTATGTGTCTTATTTAGCAAAATTATTTGAAAAATATTTTAGAATTATTCTATAATATTCTAGATTTAAGTTACAGCATAATAATTTATGCATGGTGTATGCAGTGACACCTGGCCCTCGGCCTCCTGTCTAACAATATACTAGACAAGAATTATTACTCCATAATTCACACCCTGTCATGTCTTATTGCTTAATTAAAGCACAGCCTTCCCCTACATGACAAGCAATTGGACTGTTAACGTTATAGATGATTATCCAATCGAACATATTTTATTTTTACAACTTACTTTTTTTATATACACAGGATGCTTATTTCAGGAACATCTACCTCTGAAAACATGAAAAGTCTGTTTCTTTACTCGCCTTCTGGCTACTGTATAAACCGTCACTAGCAAAAACATGGACAAAATATTTTGTGTTAGGAATTAGTAATTTCGATACAGAAACAGTCATCTACCATCTATAAAATAGATTACTATGTGAGTTTGATGGCATTTGAGTGTTTAATATTTTCTTTTCTATGTTCTATTATTGACCAAGTTAACACTAAGGACTATGTATAGGTGTGTGTACTTGTGAAATAAATGTAAATAAATAAAATATTCAGGGTCTGTACAAGAAGACCTTTAAATTCTACCGGAGAATGCAAAAGAGAATAAGTACATGATCAAACCTACCATGCACTTGGATAAGAAGATTATGTAGTGCAAAGATATTATATTTCCTCAAATTTATCTAGGAATTTAATAATAATTCAGTTCAAATTGAAACATCAACAGCAATATTTTTAACCTGACAACGTGATAATAAAGTTTTTGGGTTAAAAAATAAGTATTTAAAAATTACTAGGAGAATCCTTGGGGAGGAGAGGAGAAAGCAGTAAATAAGGAGCACTTACTCCTGTCCTCTACTAAAACAGATTAGAGTGGTACAATAATTAGCATAGCTAGATGCTGGTAGAGACATGCCAAGAGAATGACAGAGATCAAAGTGAGTGTGGAAATAAACCCAAATGCAAATAGAAATTTGGTGATGACATAAGTAATATTTGAAATAAATGGAATATAAAAAACTAGTTAACTATTTGAAGAAAAAAGAAAACCGGATTCTTACCTAATTCTCTACCTCAAAATAAATTTCAAATGGATCAACATTTTAACATGAAAAATAGAATCATAAAAATTCTAGAACATAAATTCATTTATAAAGTTGATAAGACTTTTTCAAGAAGGATGTAAAACTCACAAGTCATAAAGACTGACAAAATTAAGCAGGAATGTAACAAATAAAAGCAAAGGGCAAATGGAAATCTGGGAGAAAATATATATTTGATACATGTAAAATAATAATTTTCTTAATTTTCAAATAAAATATTTAAATCAATCATAAAAAAGATAATTAGCACAATAGAAAAGTGGGCAAAAATTAGGAAAACTACATTCTTGACTATGTCAATATGGCCTTCTTGGATATGATATTGTACTCAAGTTTTGCAGATGTTACCACTAGGGAAGACAGGACAAAGCGTACTTGGGATCTGTCTGTATTATTTCTCCCAACTGTATGTGAATTTACAATGATCTCAAAATAAAAACTTCGATTTCATTTTAAACAGTACAAAAAATTTAAGAAAGGCAATTTATAGAAATAGAAAAATTCTAATGCCCAATAAACAGATGAAAACATATTCATTTTTAGTCAAAATGCAAATAAAAAGGGGATGAAATTTCTCCTTCTATTAACTTGGTAAAAATTTAAAATGCTCAATAAATAATGTTGTTAAGGGCCAGGGTATGAGGAAAGTAGTCTCTCTTTTGCTGTTGGTGGAAGTATAAATTTGCATAATCTTATTAGAAGGCAATTAGGCTATATATATAAACAAATTTTAAACGCACTTGCCCTTGACCCTCTGATAGGAATTGACTTCATGAATACAGAAGCAAAATTTCTCAAATATATACATATGCAGAGATATATAACCACACTGTTTGTAATAGCGAATAATTGGAAATGACCAAAGGGTACATCAATGGGAAAAAATACTGACTAAATACATTTTGGCACACCCGTAAGTAAGCAGCTATTAAAAAGAATGTGTCCAATATCTCTGAGCTAATAATATACATCAAAAGTAAACAGGGAGGAAGCAATGTGTAAAACAATGTAAACATTTTAGTATAAGTAAAAAAAAAAAATAGCTGATTAGTAGGGAAGTGGTTCAAGGGATAGGTATGATAGATGATAAAAAGAGAGGCAAATAGATTTCTGCATAGGGAAAAATAAAGTGGTACCTAAGTAAGCAGAGTCATACTTATACAGGTAGAATAAGATAAGTAGATAATTAAATGGCTGTCAATAGAAAGTATACAGCCAAAGAAAAAAAATTTTTCAATTTTTTTCCTTATTACTACCCACAGACTACTGTACCCACCTCCTTAAATACCCTATCTTTGAATCATCAGGTTCCATCACCATTTATAGCCATTCTTTGTAATCATCTGCAGACCCCCCAGGCCATTCGCCTGCATTCCTTGGAGATTTTCTATCCTGGTTTACTCTCACCCTTTCCAACATTACTCCTGACAAAATCCTGGGTGACTTGAATATCCATACTGGTCCTTTCAATAGCCTGGCCTCTCCCATTTGAATACCAAAGTTCTTGGACTCCAGCCTCCTCCACTCTTCTTTAACCACTCACTAACATGGTTGCAGTCTAGATTTGTTCATTACAAATAACCTCTCCATTATCTCAATGTTTAGCAGCCCATTGTTAATGCTCCCTCCTCCTGCTGTTCAGTTCCAGCTCCTTCCCTAGGGAACTCAGTCAGCCTGCAGCTGCACCTACACTCTTTTGATCCTAACACCATTCCTCTGCCTCTCACCCTCTCCCTTATCTGCTTATCCAGTTTCAATTCCACAATCCTGAACTAGAGTCACCTCCTATCCTACACTATCAACTCACTTGCTCCACTTGAGTTCCTAAATATTCATTTGGTAAAACCCCAACTATTGTTAAATCCAATTCTCTGTCAACTCCTTATCTGCATGTGCACAGCTCAATGTCCTGAAGAAAACTACACAACACACAGACCAAACTGGGGATCACTCACCTCCACAGTCCTTTTGTGCTTCTGGGTGTTCATATTATTTCCCCATTCTGTTTATTCTCCCTCCCCAATCACAATTTCATGCATTTTTCTGTATCCTCAGAGCTTCTCCACAATCCTCAGCCTCAGCTGATGACCTTGTACATAGCATTAACAAATAAAACGGAGAAGTGAGCTAGAAGAGATCTTCCCCAAGCTCTCTCCTTATCTATCTCCCTTTCTGCATTTGTGCTTACTTATGGCAATTACTTTGCAATGGCTCAGCCTGCAGTCTTGCTGTAGGCCTGATCCCCTCTCATGGACCTCAGGGAACCTCAACAGTTCTTCCTTCTTTCTTGCATCATCCACTTTCCCTTATCAATGGAATCATTCCTAACAAATATAACAATTTTAAAACATATTAATACGGTTCTTTAAAAAACGCTTTCTCCCTTCTTCCGTCTACAGCTACCATTTCATTTTTTACATTCTGATTTCATAACAAAATTCCTTCAATGAGCAGTCTCTCCATTTCCCAATTTCTCTCCTCTATTCTCTTGGGCCTATTTCAGTTAGATTTTCTCTCTCACCACCAATGACCTAACATTGCTAATTTAAGCCAATCTTCCCATTCCCTGACATAATGACGGGATTTTACAAACAGCTTCCACTTGGTGTCCAGGAAACCACCCTTTTCTGGTTTCTTTCTACTTTATTGGCTACTCTGCAGAATCCTGAATTCTTAACATTGGGGTGTCCATGTTTAAACCCTCGATCTTCCTTTCTTCTCTACTCACAATCACTCCTTTCACGATTTTACCCAGTCAGATGACCTTAAATACCATCTATATGCTGAGAATTCCTGAATTCCTATTTTCGACCAATATCTAAAGTAGACTCACAGATTACACTGTTCACCTGACATTTGCAATTAGAAATCTAAGAGGCATCTAAAACTGGGCAGGTCCAAACTGCAACCCAACCCACTTGTTCTCCTAGTCTTCTTTACCTTAGTAAATTATAACTCCATCCTTCTAGTTGCTCAGACAAAAAACTCTGGAGTCATCTTTGGCTCTTCTTGATCTCTCATCTCATACCAAAACTATTTGCAAATTTTGGCAGTTGTGCTTTCAAAATACATTTGGAATGTAAAACTGCTTGGGACCAGTTCTTCCTCTACCATTCTGTTCCAAGCTGCCCACATCCTTCACCTGGACTATTTTTTGCAATAGTCTCCAGCTAGCATCTCTGTTCTGCCCTTTCTCTTGTTTAGTCTGTTTTGAGTTTAACAACCAGGGATATCCCTTAAAAATATCCATCAGATACTACATCACATCAGTCAGAATAGCTATTAGTTATTAAAAAGCCAAAAAACAGATGCTGGTGAGGTTGCAGAGAAAAAGGAATGCTTTTACACTGTTGGTGGGAGTGTAAATTAATTCAACCATTGTAGAAGACAGTTTAGTGATTCCTCAAAGACCTAGAGGCAGAGATATAATTTGACCAAGCAATCCCATTACTGGGTATATATATACCCAAAGGAATACAAATCATTCTATTACCAAGATACATGTGTGGGTATGTTCGTTGACGCACCATTCACAATAGCAAAGACATAGAATCAACCTAAATGCCCATCACTAATGGACTGCATAAAGACAATGTGGTACATATACACCATGGAATACTATGCAGCCATAAAAAGGAACAAGATCATGTCCTTTGCAGCGACATGGATGGATTTGGAAGCTGTTATCCTCAGCAAACTAAAACAGGAACAGAAAACCAAACGCCGCATGTTCTCACTTGTAAGTGGGAGCTGAATGATAAGAACACATGGACACATGGCAGGGAACAACAGACATTGGGGCCTGTCGGGGTTGGGTGAGGGGAGGGGAGGGAGAACATCAAGAAGAATCACTAATGGATACTGGGTGTAATACCTAGGTGATGGGGATGATCTGTGCAGCAAACCATCATGGCACACTTTTACCTATATAACAAACCTGCACATCCTGCACATGTACCCCTGAACTTAAAAGTTGAAGAAAACAAATATTCATCAGATTATGGCATCTCTCTCCTCAAAGTCCTCCAAAATTCCACATCCAGGAAAAATGTCCTTTAAAAGCTCCCCATCTTACATAGATGAAAAATTAAAATTTATGTGTGGCCCCCCCTTTTCTGAGTCTGTGGCTGTCCCGCCACTCTTGCCCTGGTGCCCACACTCCTGCCTATTCCACCTCTCTGAGCCCCTCTGCTGCATTCGCCTCACCAGTGTCTTTTCTGAGAGCATTTGCATCAGCTTCTTTCTTCCCGGAATGATTTCCCCAGGTATCTGCAGGCTTCCTTCCCTCACCTCCTTCAAGCCTTTGCTCAAATATCACTTTCTCAGGAAGACTTTCCTTATTTATAAAAGCACTTCCATGCTCACCATCACTGGCGTCAGAGAAATGCAAATCAAAACCACAATGAGATATCATCTCACACCAGTTAGAATGGCAATCATTAAAAAGTCAGGAAACAACAGGTGCTGGAGAGGATGTGGAGAAATAGGAACACTTTTACACTGTTGGTGAGACTGTAAACTAGTTCAACCATTGTGGAAGTCAGTGTGGCGATTCCTCAGGGATCTAGAACTAAAATACCATTTGACCCAGCCATCCCATTACTGGGTATATACCCAAAGGACTATAAATCATGCTGCTATAAAGACACATGCACACGTATGTTTACTGCGGCACTATTCACAATAGCAAAGACTTGGAACCAACCCAAATGTCCAACAATGATAGACTGGATTAAGAAAATGTGGCACATATACACCATGGAATACTATGCAGCCATAAAAAATGATGAGTTCATGTTCTTTGTAGGGACATGGATGAAATTGGAAATCATCATTCTCAGTAAACTATCGTAAGAACAAAAAACCAAACACCGCATATTCTCACTTATAGGTGGGACTTGAACAATGAGAACACATGGACACAGGAAGGGGAACATCACACTCTGGGGACTGTTGTGGGGAGGGGGGAGGGAGGAGGGATAACATTGGGAGATATACCTAATGCTAGATGACGAGTTAGTGGGTGCAGCGCATCAGCATGGCACATGTATACGTATGTAGCTAACCTGCACATTGTGCACATGTACCCTAAAACTTAAAGTATAATAATAAAAAAAAATAAAAATAAATAAAACAGCAAAAAAAAGCACTTCCAATCATCCTTCCTTATTTTATTTTTCTCCATAGTACTTATCACCATACCACACATACACACATACATCTTTATTCTTATTTATTCTGTCCATAGTCCGTTTTTTCCCACAAGAATATAAGCCCCATGAGAACCAGAAAGTCTTTTTTAAAAAATTCGTTTTGCTTAATATTACAATCCTAGCACCAGAAATAGTTCCTGGTACATAAAAAGCCCTGACTAAACATTTGTTGAGTTAATGAATAAATGATATATAGATATTTTTTAAGTATGCACTTCTATGAAAGAAATTTTAAGAAAGTATAACTAGTAATTATTTTAGACGAGAGAGAATTTGGTAAATTTCTGTATTTTTTTTCTAACCATGTATATTGTTACTTTTCAGAAGTCAGAATTATAACAACACAAATTATATTGGCAGCAAAATGATAGGATATCTGTTACTTTTTTTCTATATATTTCTGTTTTTTTTAAAGGTAAAAAATGTTTTAAATAAATCTACATGTTTTAAAAATTGCTGTTAAAGTTACAAGCAAGGTCAAACAGTAGTGGAGTAAGGAATTGCCGAGCTCACTGAATAGCCCAACATCTGAAGAACTATGTCAATTTTAAACGAAGAAATAGTATAAGATGCCTAACAAATGACACAAGCGATAAGTAATAAGTGTTCTGATTTGAAGTGCAGAGAAGAGTTTACTGAGGTTTGATGATATTATGTGTAGCTAGAGGGTGAAAACCATTTCTCCTGCTATGTTCATTCACGTATCAACTAATAATAATACGGTTGTGATGTAATGTAGCAATGGAAAACTTGGATCTGGTAGTCCATGTTCAGAAACAGAATAGACTGAGCTGGTTTTATTAGTTTGAGTGATAGGCTATTATATTAATGGTTCCACCCGTGACAGGGTGGCCCTCGCTCATCCTAGTGCTGACTAGGCCCCATTTCGTAATGAATGATGGCCTCTGTCAGGCACCAGCACTCTGATCATCCAACACGTACAAAGAAAAAAGTTAGTAATAATTCAGGCACATTTTACCAACTTACATCCAAAGGTATTGACAAGGCAGTATTGTTAAAGCATGCTGAGTTTTCAGTTAACTGCATTAAAAATATGTGAACTCCAGTAGAATTATCTGCCAATATTATGAACATATGGCTCCTTTTTTTAACTAATAAATATTTCTACAGATATGAGACTAATGAAGCACACAGTGATACTGCCTTTTCATGATTATTAAATATACAAATTCTCAAGAGCTACTAATAGATTTAGGTCATCTCAAGCATAATTTCATAGAAAACCACTTCAAGTACCAGGCCTTACTTAGCATAGTATCTATGATGAATGAATGTGGTATGAACACACAATTACAGAAATAAAAATAAACACCATGGCTTGTTGAGGTATATATTTCATTCTCAATGCACCTAAATAACTTTTTAAAACAGAAATGTTATTATTGATATTTCAGTGGCCTTGTTACATTGTATTGGACGCTGGGCTTCACCAAATTACAAAAAGATCTTACAGTCAAGAAGCTGTCCCATTTTTATTCCATTTCAGTCATAGAAAGACAGCCTTGATGCTAAAAGCATTTTATATTTTTTTACGAGATCATCAGCTCAGGATTTTCTGATATCTCTCAATTTTTCTCCACTTCAGCTTTTCTCACAGGTAATAATAAAGCTATTTTGATAGAAATGTAGCCATCTTACGGTTTTCTTTTTAAGTGGGGCTCTGTATTTTTCCCAATTTGAAACAGTAGGTACAGCAAAGTACAGCCGAGTGGAAAGAGGGCAATGTGTGGAAGCAACATGTTCTCCCGAATGTTTCAGGAATCCAGTCTGAATTCTCTTTCATTTTTGTTACTAGTTCATGGTGGTCCCCCCTAGATATTTTCTGAAACTAAATTTGTTTCCTTCTACCACCTTTTTCTTGACTTTTTTTTTTTCCAGTGCTGATTTTTTGGAATGTGTAGGTTTGGTAATTTTTATCATTTTCAAGATTGATTGCAGTGATCTCTATTGTTTGGTATTTTTTCCTTTGGTTTTCACCATTTGCTTTTTCTACTTCTGTTCATTTTGTTGTATCACTTATCTTTCTTGTTAAAGTATTAAACTATCACTTAATACTTTCTTAAACTACAGCTCTTTGTGGTCTCCATTCCCTTGCTCTCCTTTAAAAATATATGTAGTAAGACTCAAGTCCCATTTATATTTTGTCTGAATAACACATATATATTCATAGTGAAACATGTTAAATAAAGTTAATATTCTGAAATTCTCATATCATTCCTATTTTTCTAAAAAATAATCAAAACTGAATTTTTCATAATTGTTAAGATATCAAAAATATCTGTCATTAACTTCAAGACATAAATAGAGAAATCTAATATAGTATAATTTTGTTCATTTTTAGCAAACGGTTCTGTCCATAAATTTTATTTCAGGCTACTAAACCACCTAGATCATGCCAAGTGGTTTATTAAATTTCATGGAAGTAAGAGGTTTAGAATACCTGTGGATTTCATTCAGGATGAAATAAACATAAAAGAAACATTTCGGTATGTGCTTTGGTTGAGGCTGGGGATTAGGTGTGTTTACAGTTAGGTAAATTTCTGAAAACTAAATTCAGGGACTAAAATTGGATTTGATTTCAAACAATCCTTCCATAGCATGTGCGCCGGTTGCTACGCAACACAATTTAATATCAACAGATGATGCCAAGTGATTTTTGCGTACTGTAATTGGCTTGCAACTTTTGCTGCTTGAAAATTGTGAAGAGAATGCGATTATTTAAATTTCAATGGCTATGTTAAAAATGCTAATTTTTATAATTAAAAAAACCTACAACAAGAAAACCGACATCTTAAAACTGAAGCAAAGAACTGTCTTCTGTGATAATAAATGTACGACGGTCTGCAAAGTTCTTCCACCCCTTGGGAAAGCATAGACCATACTGAGGTAGCTTTTGATGCTGGTCTACTCACCTAGCTTCTCTGATGAGTTGGATGTGGAAAGCTTATATAGAGGCAGAGCTCAGTTAGTGTAATTTATGTATCCTTGGACGTCAATCATTCCTGTTGAGAGGTGGGACTTGCAGGCTCTCAGTGCATTAATTAAGAGCTCATCTCAGCAGAGCCATTTTTCTACCTAAGGACCAAAAAGAAAGTTTTAATTAGATTTTTAAAAGCAAGTATGTCATATATGAAAGCAAGTATAGTTCTTTAGTTGGTACGAGAGGCAACAGTTCGAAGGGTCTCTTCCAGACAATACAAGGGGCACCAGTTCTCAGTCATCTGTGACATTATGAGTAAGTGGGGGAGCTTCATTCTTAAACATTGGTTTCGACATTTGGACAATCACTTTATGAAATCGCTGAAATTTTGACTATGTTGTTTCATTGCCAACATCATTATTGGACCCCTGTCTAATTATTGATGCAGAGCTGATGCTGATTGAATGCAATTACAACGTCAAGGACAGACAGGAGTTTTCTCTGATGGCTGGCGTTTTGTTCCAGGCTAGCTTCTGACTGAATATGCAGTGGGCAATACAATGCAAGTTCAGCAAAAGGGAGTGAGGGAACTTGCACAACACATTAATTTCATGGGTTCAGTGACGGAGTGAGTGTGCCCTTGCCAGCTAACCTAAAAATATAGGGACTCGAGAGAGGTAAAAACTAGCTAGGCTCACTGGTGTCAGCTGCTTGAGAGAGGCTGTTCTCCTGGAATAGCTTGTGTGAGGCCATCAAACATACTCCTTAGGGTTCGCTTGGGAAATAATAGATACATTATTGATTAAAATATTTATAAATTAAGGGAGGGAAAACACATTTTAAAAGCTAGTTCAGATTCTACAAGGGAAATATATCTACTCATAGCTATTAACCCCTCCCCCTCCATAATTTAGGAGGGGGGTTCAGAATGCATGCTTGGGAGAACGAAAACAAGTGTTTGTCAATAGCCAGAAAAAAAGCAAATAGGAAAACTAATCTAAAAATACAGGGACTCGAGAGAAAACAAAAGGAAATGCTACGAACAATCAAAACACTACATCTTAGAAATAGTGAAGAAATTACCAAACCTAAACATTCTAAAACATCAGCATTGGAAAAAGCAGAGGTACAACATTTCTGCTTTCAGAAAGGTTATAGACGATGGGGACATATAAACCCAAAAACAACAAGCACAAAATAAAGGACTTCATAAGAGTAAGGGGGTTGCTAACAAACAGGACCAGTACAATGGACAGATGATTCAGAAAGCAAGGAAAGCTCTGGCTCAAAAGAACAGAACGTGTGTTCCACTGTTTCTCATTGGTGTTATATTTCATTTTATTTTTTCTAAGGGAGGATGTTTAGGAAATCCAGTTACTGTATACACTGTAAATTTACCACCTAACTAGCATACTTGACATGTACTGAATAACAGCCACAAACCTTACAAAAGAAACTATAGATTTTACAGGTATATAGCTCGTGCAGTATGTTTCTAAATGATAGTGTACGATGAAAACATTACTGTATGGACAACTTGTCAGAAGAATAAAGCTGGAAAATTGCAACCCATCATTTATGTTAATGTTCATAAAGATATTTTATAATCCTTTCTCAGCTCTTTCCCTTCACATATTTTTCCAGCTATTTTTCCTCATTTATTGTGCTGTATAATGTTTATTGCACAATACATAGAGTAGTACTCCCCAGATACGAGTTGGCAATTGTGCTGGTTACACCAATCTCGTGTGCCTGATAAATTTATGTAATACCACATCCTGCATTTGAGTACCATTACTGTGTCTTTCAGTGCAAAATTTTTATTTGCATTTAAGCTAGGGCATATCCCAAAGTCAGATGACCGCTTGGGCATATCATACTCCAGGATGTCTAAATGGTAATATTAATATATACAGCGTCATGTCTTGTGGTTATGTGCAAGTTATTTACCTCAGGAATCTGTTTTCCAAGGAATCCTTAAATTATCTTTATGATAGACTGAGGACAGAACATGTTAAAATTAACAGACACTGAATGCAGTTATTTTTAAAGGAGAAAAACCTCATGATGTGCCTCTTCATGTGCTGTCAGCGTTTTTTTCCCCCTGAAGAAGTTACATATGGTCTTGTGATCTGAAGACATCTTCCAGCGACATTGACCAGGGCCACTCTATTATACATTCCTTGTCAGTTCCTATGAGCCTTGTTTCTTAAGAGCATGACAGGAGGAAAAGGCTTCAGAACAGGCAGCACACTTTTGTACTTTTAGCCAAAAGTATGAATTTTCTTATTGCTTAAATGTGTAGCTTCATAGGAACCTAACATTAGGATTTGGGGTAAAAGTAAGCATTTTCCTGAATGAGAACTTTTTTGTTTTTCTACA
This sequence comes from Homo sapiens, assembly GCF_000001405.40. Classification (NCBI taxonomy): domain Eukaryota; kingdom Metazoa; phylum Chordata; class Mammalia; order Primates; family Hominidae; genus Homo; species Homo sapiens. Next base: position 181,737,259 of record NC_000004.12, on the reverse strand, counting down.
TGAAATCTTCTCAACTGGATGGGACCTTTCAAAGTTCGCTAAAGTGGAAGTTCGGGTTAAATTGTAAGTGGAACAATATATCTGTACTAGACTTTGGGATTTGTTCTGAAATTGGTTGCAATGGTGCCATGGTGTTCCATGGAAGAGAACTTGGTCTGTATTTGAAGAACTACCGGTAGCTGATGGAAGACCTGACTTCACCTCCCCAGCCCTTGTTTCAGAAAATTCACATCGTTTTTCAAAGATTCTTGTGGTCTGAGACTCTATTAGATACTCGACTTGGTCCAAGACTCTCACCACCCCAGGAAGTGATTGTGTTATGGGCCACGTGTTTCTCCTGGCTTCTCCTCCTAGCAGCCAAGATGGCGGCTTCAGGACAAGAAAGCACGTGCATCGCCTCTTCCCCTAAGATTTCAGTGGGCCTCCACTAGTTCCTGTCAACATGGCAGGGGCTGTTTTATGTATCCATTTGGTGAACTGGGGGGTTATGAAACAGTGAGTCCCCACAGGGAATCAGGGAGGCTCAGTCGGCTCCAATTCAAATTTTAATTTGTTCGTGATTTAAAAATAACCTAGTTGAGGCCAGGATTATTGGGTTTTAATGGTATTTGGGTGTATACGCTCACATAAAGCTATGTGGCCCTGGAAAACAAACAGATTGTATCTACTCACAGAATAGTTTTTCCTGGGTGAACCAGGAAAATTTTTTGAACAGTTAGCTAACTCATTCAGAGAACTCAGCCACGTTAGTATATATTAATTTGCCATGTTTTCTATACTCGTGGGACTTATATCCAAAGGCAAGCTATAACGAAGCTCTGGATAAAATGGTCTAGTTCTGTTGTCTTATCATTGGCAATTACATGTGAAAGAGCAGGTTTATTATTGTGTGACAACCTCTACTCTTTTTGCATAATTTGATCAGAAAGAATAGAAATTTATATTTTCTTTTTTCTTTTCTGAGATGGAGTTTTGCTATTGTCGCCCAGGCTGGAGTGCAATGGCGCCGTCTCGCCTTACTGCAATCTCTGCTTCCCAGGTACAAGCAGTTCTCCTGCCTCAGCCTCCCAAGTAGCTGGGACTACAGGCACGTGCCACCACGCCCGGCTAATTTATGTATTTTTAGTAGATACAGGGTTTCACCATGTTGGCCAGGCTGGTCTTGAACTCCTGACCTCAGGTCATCTGCCCGCTTTGGCCTCCCAAAGTGCTGGGATTACAGGCTTGAGCCACCATGCCCGGCCAAAATTTCTTATTAGAATATGTTATAAGAAAAAAAGATAGACATTAAATTAGAACTTTGGGTTCAAAATCACACGTAGCATTTATAGCAGAAACTGGGACTCCTGGAAGTCTTTAAATGACAAAAATACCAACTTTGAGGTTTTATAATTTAGTTGGCAATTGTGAAATTTGTTATCAGAGACATTTTTATTTCTATTAGTGAGAACCCATACAGCAAACTGTACAGATACTAATTCGATCTAGTAGCACTAAGGAAAGACAAATCAAGTCTTGCTCTAGTGTCTACTAGAATGTGTGGGTTTGCAGAACAGGAATGGGTTAGTGCTGTGTAAAATCTATTTATTTAGATAGAGTTTGTCCCAGGCCATATAAGAGAGATGTCTGGGTGGGTTGTCAGTCTTTCATCATTGACATTTTATTATTTAGTTTTAATGCTGAGATATCTTATTGTATATATGTCTAAAGGTTTTCTGCTTTGATATGTTTATAAGACAGAATATTAAATAAGTGATGATTTAGTCCAATATTGATGCAGCATTACAGTAAGTTTATATATTTTAAAACTTTTCCCAATTCTGACTGAGGAAAAATGATTAATTTGTAGTGACTTTCTTGACATCTAAATTATTGGAGGGAAAACAAGCATCAAATTGTATGGGCATTAGGTTATGTAAATATTGTCAACTAATATTTGTTTCTATGGGATGCTACAAGTACCACATTATTTTCTTGTAACTCTTTTACAAGTTTAAAAACAATGGGGGAACATAATTAAAGTACTCTATTAAGGACATGTTCTAATGTAATTTTTGAATGAAAATAACTGCTTATAATAAAAAAATGGCAGTTAGTGTAACTGTAGAGGTAAAGCCACAGTGATGAAAAATAGTAGAATAAATCTATATTTATTTTAAAAATAATATATATTTTTTACATACCCAGTTCTTTGCATTTCCTTGTAAATTCTGTATGTGGGCATATGAGCACACCTCATTCATACTTGTTAATTGCTTCTTTATTAACAAGTTTAAATGATTTTCTTTTAAAGAACATTGAGAGTGTTTAACTTTTTAATATTCAACAAGTATTCCATATTTCCAAATAATCTTGTTAATGTCATGACATTTGAAAAGCTTTGCTTCTATCAAGCCATTTCTTTGACATTCCCATAGAACCTATGCACAGGAGATTTTAAAGAGAGGTTTTGGTTATTCTGTGTTCATTTTCACTCCTTACCAAGAGTTAAGGTACAGCTAAGGCTTGTATCTCTTATTCTCATATTCTCAACAATTTGAAGCAAGGAATAAAATAGCAGAGAATTCTTTTTCTGTGCTTTGGAAAATATTGATCCTTTTTTCCTGTGCTTTGGAAAATCTTGATCATATTTAGCCAGTTGTACTTACATGTAAAATATGAATCTCTTTGAAAATTGGTCTTCTGCACTCAACATTGCCTAAACAACAAATTTGGTCATATATACATATATGTGTGTGTATATATGCATATATATGTTTAATGCCAAACCCAAAAATCTTCAACTTCCTCCATTGTTAGTACTAAGAAACGTATGTATGTGTTGGTGATGTAGGGGGTGAAAATGAGGCTTGATTGATTCATTCACACACGTATTTATTCAATTAATTTTTATTGAACTCCCAAACAAGTGGTGAGCGCTATGCTGTGTTCTGGGGATTAAAAAAAAAATGAGCAAAACAGATGAGGACCCTGCCCTCATTAAGCTTCTATTTTAGTAGATATATATATAGGTGTTACCTAAGACCTCAAAGCATTTTTACCTATTCAGTCTTCACATTTACCTCTTTTATTTGCCATGGCATCCTGAAATATTATCAATTCAGTGATGTTCACTTTCCAAAAACATTCGTAAACATACTTGGTGTTGAAGTCTGATTTGCCACATAAGATGATTGAAAAAGCAATTCTAAATCACTTCTAGGCATTCAGTATAAAAGGAAATTTTCAAAGATACGTTTATGGCTTAATAATTAAATCTGGATGAATATGCCTGCTGGGAACTTCTACAATAATAAAATAGAACGGCAGGTTCCAAACCGCAAACAAAGAACTTTTTCTTTCAAAGATTTGAGTCACAGCATATTAGTGTTTAATGGATTTTGCATTTTTAAACGCATAATGTCAGAATTCCTTGGTAAGAAGTCTTAATAATTATTCAAGTACAATCCAAGTGGTCCTGAAAAACAAAGAATGGGAAGCAGATACTCAACTGCGTCCCTCTTCCGGGGACTCTAAGTACCTGAAACAGGAAGATACAACTTTCTTGATTCAGATCTGGAGCCTCTCCTTTCCCCAACCATAAGCCCCATGAGATACTTGGATACTCAGTCTTTTTCTGCCTTCTACAGACTAGTCCAAAGCTGGTAGCATCATTCAAACAAGTGATGCCCACCAGATGAAATGGACATCTGGAGACAGTCTTGATATGGACCCACAGATCTCAGTATGCTCAAGCGTTATCTAAGGCAAAAACGAGGAGAGTGTAAGAGGATGCATGACAACTTCTCTTGAGAATCTGGTGATTTCAGTCACTCCTTTCTTATAAAACTGATCACAGAAAAATGACATTAGTTTCTAGCAATAAGCAACAGCTGAGATTATAAAGATATACAAACTTTCCAAGTCTTTCAGAAACATAGCCTGAATCAATAAGAGAGAAGATTTTGGAAAATAACTACATTTTAAGACCACTTTTAAACATAAATAGATGTCAGAAGATTGGACTTAATGTATGTTTATATCTATTTACATCTATGTACCTTTCTTCATTTATCTGTCTTCAGAAGTCAAAGAAAAATAAGGTTCTACTTTCATCCCAGGATAGCAACTTGAATAAATTGCTTATATAATGACTTTAATTCCAGAGGTCCAAAGACAAAAACGCAACTCCCAACCTTCATCTGCATTTTCAGGCCATATAAAATCACAACACTTTAGAGTACTCTCAGTACAGTTAGGCGATTCTAATTTGTGTCCATTCTCCTCCTTCTTTTCCTTCTCAATAAATAATGGATAAAGCAACAACGGGTCTTTGCTGACTTTTTAATTCTTCGAATATACCAAAATTATCTCCTGGAAATAAATTAACGTCTATACAATAGTCTGCAAATGGTTTGAAAGTAATTTAGTGGTTCTTAAAATGCTCCATGTGTTCTATTTTATATTTGAGCCAATTAATCACTCCACTCATCCCCCGCCCCCCTACTCATCCCACCTCAAAACGCAAGCTGTGTCACTCTGAAAAATAATCGAAGAGAGAGTCCTTCAATTATTTTTGCCCTTCTTTTCTTGGTTTGCTATCCAATTTTCTATTAATTGGAACTAACTGACATATTAACAGTGCAAATGCAAACGTTATGCAAATCTGAAATGGAAAGTTCTTTTTACCGGAAACACAATTGATAACTATATAAATATAATAACTGTGTAACTACGGCCCTACCTGATTTATGAAAAAGGTATCCTTTTTCATTATAATGGCTGCTTAGGCCTTTAAGATAATCATTACGTTTTTATTCTACCTTTTTTGTTTGGAATTTTTAAAAAATGATGGCATTGCACATTTCTGTACATTAAGAAACTGACATAGGAAATGAAATTAAAATAACCTGAGTCAAGTTAGTAGAGGGATGTTTCTAGAATGTATTGAAGTGGGTGAAACTGTTTTGGTGGGCTGTTCCTCCTGGAGTCATTTCTGAGTTCTACAGTCATTTCTTGCCAAGGTCAGTTGATGTACCTCTTTTCTACCATGCATCTATCCTTCTAGCTCCTTCTCCCATCACCCATCCAGTCATTTCTCAGCCAATCACCCATGACTGCTGTTGGGTTTCCTTCAGATTGTAATGAAAGCAAATTGGAACACTGAATTGGGGAAAATCGCCTCATAAGCAAATTATATGCAAGATAACTTTTTTCTTGGACTCATATTCTGTTTCCTTTCCCATTTAGTTTTAGATTCCTTTTGCATTTGAGGATTTTATGTAAGTTTGAGATTGATATTTAAATAAAATACAGCCTGGCCATGTCCCATTCATCTTATGGTCCCTTCAGTTATAGAACTCACTCTGGTGCCCAGGGAGGTAGGACTTTTAGGACAATCATTTTCCATGTAAAATTTATTCGTAAAAATGTTCATTTGTCTCTTAACTGCTTTGTTAATATATAGTACAGTGGACCATGGTGACTTGACTTTATTTTCTTTTCTATGTGTATGCTGAGCAAAGACAACAGTTGTTCCTTTTAATCAGTCACCTTTGGGGGACAAAAAGTCCACGTGACAAAAGCCATACTAATTCAACACATTTAATTTAAAATAAGACACACATTGTCTTGAACAGAGTAGGCATTTAATAAATACTTGTTGATTGGGAGGCTGAGGCAGGTGGATCGCTTGAGCTCAGAAGTTTGAGACCAGCCTGGGCAACATGGTGAAACCCTACATCTACAAAAAATATAAAAAACTAGCTGGGTGTGGTGGCAAATGCCTATAATCCCAGCTACTCGGGAGGCTGAGGAAGGAGGATTGCTTGAACCTGAGAGGTCGAGGTTGTAGTGAGCTGGGATCACCACTGCACTCCAGCCCGGGTGACAAAGTGAGACCCTGTCTCAGAAAAACAAAACAAAAGAAAAACTTGTTGAATTTAGCTGAAGTTTATAAAATATACTCATGCATTAAAAATTTTACTCATCCCTTAAAAGGAATCTTCATTAGTATTAAAATTTAGCAGGAATTCCTAAAAAATAGCACATTTACCTATTTAATACAGTTATGCAGAACTTTAAAAGTATTACCTGTCCTCTTTTTTAAAAAAATGTATCTCATATGATATTCTTTTTTGCCCCTATTACGAAGTGGACATAATCTGAGTAAAGAATTAACAAGCTGTAAGTTGTGGTTCTGACATACATCTCTTGCACAGACATGATTTAGATAATCATAATGCATATCAAATTCATGCTTTAGCTGGGTGGTCTACAATTCATAATGTGGAACAGGATTCTTATAATCTTTACATTATCTTCAGAAATGCTCGTTTTCCATACTGAAAACTGTTGTTAAGGAACAGTCAAATAAATACGAGAATTGCCGATCTTATCTTGTGAAACATATAAACAGCATGAGTCGCATTTTTACTTTGGTGGCTGCATAGCTTCAATTTTACAGCTTAATTTTTGGAGCTGCATTAGCCACATGGAGAAGTCATACTAGAAACTCGTTAAAAATGTAGTATGTGACTTTCTGTGTTGCTTATAAGATTTAGATCATATTAAATTATAAAAGCATAAAACCCCTCTAAACAGTGAATTTTCTATCAATCCTGAGAAATTATAAATCAAAACAGAACAACAAAAGTCTATCTGGTCGCACTGCACTGTGGGTTTTCCCCCACTTCCTCCACATCTGTCTCCCCTTCTTCCTGGGAAACATGGCTGCTGTGATCTAAGAGACCAAAATAGACACCCCTTTATCCACGAAGTTAGACCCCAAAGTTACGGGAACAAAGTTACCTACAGGTTGGAGGCCAGCTGGCAGGGTAAACTCTAAACTCCTACGACTAAACTCCCTAACAATAGGAGCCATCGGCTCGGATTTACAACTCAGACCTCTGCAACTCTAATTGTGGAAAGGACATGCATTGCAAGCGTTCCTTCTGGATGATTCTTTCAGCCACCTTCTAGAGACTGTGCACCAAAGGGCTTTGTGGCTTACAGTCCACCTTTTGTGGAAAAGAGCCAAGTGCCATCTCATTTTAATGCGAAAACCCTGCCCCAAAGTGCACATGGGCTATATGTTATATTTATGTTTACTCATTACATGCACTTGACTCCCCTCAAACGCGTGTATAGCTTTCCCCCGAAACCTGCTGAATGTGTATGACTATTGTGTGATACGAGCCCTGCGAGGCATAAAACCCAACCTCTCCTGCCCCGCTTTGAAGAGAGAGCACCTTTGGTCCGCGCGAGAGACTGTCTCTTCCTGGCTTGCAAACTGATATCCCCAATAAAGCTCTCCTTTCTATTTATCCATCCTGATGGTCTTTTGGACAACATTGTGTAGCTAGAAAATAATTTTCCAGCTTCTCTCAGACATCGTGTGGCCAGGTATTTAAATTCGGTCTAATGGAATGTGAACAGTCATCTGTCCTTGGACTTGGCCATGTCTCCTGTCACCATTGGCTGGAAAATGTACATAGCAGTGAGCTGGCTCCGACAAAGACAATGACAATAATGCCCTCGTGGGCCGGCAGGGCAACAAGACCAAAGCACTTGGTTCCCTGAATAACCCAGTGGAGAAGAGCCACCCTGGCAGCCTAGACCAGCTGCTCTGTCACGTGAAAGAGGCTTACGTCCTATGTTTAACATACCAAATTTGGGGTTTTCATTGTAATTTAACTGAGCCTTTACTCAAATACATCTGTTAATGATAGAGCCACAAAAGTTGCATCTGAAATTTAATTTGTAAAACAAATAAAAACAACCTGGCTGCCTTTCCGGTTCCTCTAAAGAAAGCATCATGAGCTCTCATTAGTTCCTGTGACCCGGGCTTCTGCTACATTCTTTGATTTGCTCCTCACAGGAAGGCTTGGAGGAGGGAGGAGCAGCCATCATGGCATTTGCTTCCACAGTCATCCTGGCAAGCACGTTTAGAGCAACGACAGTCATGTCATTCCCCTTCCATTGTCCACATAGCTTCAATGAACCCTAAGTGTCTTTCGAGGCCCAGATCAAATATCACCACCTCTTCCAGAAATAATATTTTGACTTTTTCAGCGAGAAATAACTTCTCATATTTTTTTAAATGCAAAATGAATCACACAGAATTATGTACAGAATTATATCTGTGCATGGGACATCACAGCATTTATTAATAATTACATATGTATTTTCTTCACTTCCCTCTATTAAAATGTAAGCTTCCTCTATGTCTGGTTTATTTTGTAGTGTTCACAGTGTTTTGCATGTACTTAGAGCAACATAAATTGATTGTTATACTGAATGAATAACTTCTCATTTGTTAAATAATAAAACAGTTCTTACTAAGCTTAAGGAAACAACATAATAATGTATCTTAAATGTAAAAAAAAAATTTCACACTCATCTAGAAGCCATATAAACTACTACTGTCAGAGGTGTTTGAACCAGAGCGACTCCATCTTGAAAAGGGGCTGGGTAAAAGAAAGCTGAGACCTGCTGGGCTGCATTCCCAGGAGGTTAGGCATTCTTAGTCACAGGGTGAGATAGGAGGTCGGCACAAGATACAGGTCACAAAGACTTGGTTGAGAAAACAGCTTGCAGTAAAGAAGCTGGCCAAAACCTTCACAAGCCAAGATGGTGATGAAAGTGACCTCTGGTCCTCCTCACTGCTCATTACATGCTAATTACAATGCATTAGCATGCTAAAAGCCATGCCCACCAGCACCACGACAGTTTATAAATGCCATGGCAACATCAGGAAGTTATCCTATATGGTCTAAAAAGGGGAGGGACCCTCAGTTCCAGGGAATCTCCATCCCTTTCCCAGAAAACTCATGAATAATTCACTCCTTGTTTAGCATATAATCAAGAAATAACTGTAAGTATATTCAGTCAAGCAGCCCATGTTGCTGCTCTGCCTGCGGAGTAGCCATTGTTTACTGTTTTACTTTCTTAACCGCTTTCACTTTATGGACTGGCCCCAAATTCTTTCTTGTGCGAGATCCTAGAACCCTCTTTTTGGGTCTGGATAGGGACCCCTTTCCCGTAACTGCTACTACTACTATTAATGATTTGGCCATTCGACTGAGACACACCTAGATGATATTAATATCAGGTAGAAATAATCGTTTTCATTAAATTGAACACCACCATCTTTTCAACTGTTTTTTGATAAAAGTTTTAAAAGGCAAGAACATGAGTCTATTACAGACTCTAGAAACATTATGTTGTTTATCACAAAAAGATCAGACTGATCTGATTTCAGTGGGAAAATCTATAAGCAATTTAAAAAATCATGTCTGATATTTACTCAGTGGCTATCTTATTTACTAGGATTTATAAGATTGAATCATGTGTTACCCACCAAATTAAGGCATAGTAGACTTGCGATTGCTTCTGAAAGTAACATTAGGACTAGCTGTCAAATCGGAGAGTCAGTTGATCCTTATTAGCTGAACTCCAGCTTAATTAGAACATGGAGATATATATAATTTAAAAAACGTATCCTTAATACTTAAAAGCTTGGGAACCAGAAAGAGAAGTCTCAAGGAGGCTTAATAATGCATTTATGGATTTTATGTTCTCGATTCTCAAATGCTCATATTTGAAAGTATTGTAGTAAATCTGACAAATAATAAAATATAGTAAATATTATCTTGCCCTAATATTCTAAACGCCAGCTTTCTCTAAGGGTAAAGAAATGTATGCTCTTCAACAGATTATGTGAATGAGATAGTATTACATTATAAAATCATCTAATTATTTTTTCTCAAGCTGTGATATTATAATGTATATATTTTGGGTTTTGTCCATGATTCCTGGCTCTCAGCTCCTGGGACCCTTGTATTCCCTAAGTGACTAGAGAATATCTTTTGTTAAAGTATTTGGTCTTTTATCCTTGGTTCCTGAAGTAGTTCCTAAGCAATAAAAGTGATAGACAGCTTCTGTTATTTACAACAAGCTCTTTCAAGCACACCTGAGCCTATGTTAATGAGGTGATTTTTGGAAAACTCTTAGATACCACAAGATGGCGGTGGGGGCTGGGTGCCAGGGGAAGCAGCCATTTGCTCAAAGGGTTGGAACTTTTAATCCCAGGTCACCCAACCTCTGGGGAAGGTAGAGGGGTTGAACATTAAGTTGATCACCAATGGCCAATGGTTTAATCAATCTTGCCTATGTAATGAAGCTTCCATAAAAACCCAAGAGGCATGGAGTTGGAGAACTTCTGGATAGCTGAACACACGAAGGTTCCTGGAGGGTGACGTCCCTCCCCGCATACCTCTCCCTTCTGTATGCATCTCTCCATCTGCATCCTTTGTAATATCCTTTAGAATAAACCAGTACATGTAAGTAAGTGTTTCCCTGAGTGCTGTGAGCTGCTCTAGCAAATTAATTGAAGCCAGAGGGAGTGTCTGGGAAATGCAATTTTAGCCGGTTGGTCAGAAGTGCAGGTAGAACAACCTGGGGCTTGCTGTTGTCATCAGAAATTTGGAAGTGGGGGGTGATCTTTGGGACTGAGCCCTCAACCTGTGGGATCTGACTATCGCAAGGTAGATGGTGGCAGAATTGAACTGAATTACAGGACACCCAGCTTGAGACTGCTGCAGAATTGATTGCTTGCTTGCTGGTGGGGAGAAACCCCTACAGATTTGGTCACAGAAGTATTCTGTGTTGATTGCTGTGGTGTGAGAACAGAGGAAAAACAGTTAGTTTTTTTCCTCCAATAAATTTATTTCTTATACTTGTGGGACTGGAAGAAAGTGAGTTTGACATTCAGAAGCAATATTTCATAGCTGAGTGAATTTATGCAAGTTACTTAACCTTTCTGAGCCTCTGTTCCCATATCCTTGAAGATTGGGATGATAACACCTACATAGAGTGTTAGTATAAAGCGTATATGTGAAATTGCATGCAAAATACCCATTACAGGCCTGGAACAGCAGACACTCATTACACATAAAGCCCTCTGACATTTCTACATGGTAGGAAAGAAAATTGGTGTTCTTCTACTCATTTTGACTCCCCAGGGACCTCATTTAGCATATAGTAGGTGGTTAAAAATTATGTGCGTTTTATTTTTGAATGAATAAATTTATATTTTGAAATAATCTTTGTATTCTGTAATTTTTAAATAAAATTTGCTAATTTCATAAAATATATTTATATTTTAATAATATGTAATTTGAATATTTGTATTTTCTAATGAGTAGATCTTTTGAAAAAAATCAAATTCTCTCTCATTCTATCATTAACTTATATTTCTTTCCTTCTTTCCTGTTAGCATTTGAAACACTTTTGAGTATATACATTTGTTTGAACGGCAGGCAAAGATATTTGAAATCCATGTCTTGAGTCTTGGCATTCAAGATATTAAGCTTTTCCCTAAAGTGTCGTTACTAAAATACTATCGTACTGGTATTAGGATTGAACGATTTGATGAATGAACACAATAGATAGTCTTGAACTACATCTTAGCCTTTAGTAATCACAAGCCATCACAAACCAAGGGACAAAGAATAAATCATTAAAAAATGGTTTGAAAGGCTGGGTGCGGTGGTTCACGCCTGTAATCCCTGCATTTTGAGAGGCCGAGATGGGTGGATTACGAGGTCAGGAAATCGAGACCATCCTGGCTAACACAGTGAAACTCCGTCTCTACTAAAAAAAAATACAAAAAAATAGCTGGGTGTGGTGGTGGGCACCTGTAGTCCCAGCTACTCAGGAGACTTAGGCAGGAGAATGGTGTGAACCCAGGAGGTGGAGCTTGCACTACTGCACTCCAGCCTGGGTGACAGAGTGAGACTCCGTCTAAAAAAAACAAACAAACAAGAAAGCTGGCGATTTCAGAAAAAAAAAAAAAAAAGAAAGAAAAAGAATGTGAATGTCAGATCCTTATTTTGCAGTTTTAAATGGTGTAACAATGTATGTAAAATTCATATAAAGACATAAACCACGTTGCAGGGAAAGATGGCAATTTGCATGTGTATTTTCAATACTTTTCTTTCCTGATGTCCAGTAAACATCAGTAAAAATACTCACAAGGATAGGAAGAGTGAGAAAAGAGAGAATACCACAGAATTTTGGAGGCTAAAAAGCAAAAGATGGGCAGTAATGTATTTTGTAGGCCCAGGGATGCTGAACGCTAAGCTAAACATTGGGAAAGCAGTGAAGCAGCCTTGATTTGTCCTGCACAATAGCCTGAGTCTAGAGGTTTACTCTCTGGAGGGTAAAATACAGGAATTCCAGACTGGGAGGACCCCAAACACAGTAGAGAGTACAGTTACCTTTCACCAAACTGGAATTAAAGAAATAGGTATATATTGAATGCTGAGAACACCTCTTTCCTTCCCATCACTTTCCTTACTCCCTGAAAGGTGGCAATCTGGCCTTTATCCCTCAGACAGAACAATAATAGAGAATTTTGTGTATATTCTGATCTGCCAGGAAAGAAACACCAAAAATATCTGACATGAAATTGCAATAAAAGGCAGCCTGATTTCCCCAGAGACAAGTTCAAAGTCAGTATACCTTCCTTAAATGAGTAGAATTTTCATTTAGTATTTTAGTCTCCAAATTTTAAATATGAATAGTCAACCAATTGTCTAACAAAGCTTTTAGTGTAGAAGACAGAGATCAAAACTAACAAACAAAATCCCCCCAAGTCAGTCACTGTGTGGGCAAAGGAAATCTTCAAAATATATGAATTATCTTACAGAGATAAAAAAGATATTTTATTTATGAAACAAAAGCAAGGTGTTATTAAAAATAAGTTACTTTAGAAAACAAAGAGCTTTTGGAAATTACAAATATGATGGCAGAAATGAAAAACTCAATAGTATATTAGAAAATAAAATTGAGATAATTTGAGTTGGAAGATAGGTGAATACTTAGAGAACTAGTCCAGGAGGTATGATACCAGCAAAGAAAAAAAAAAGAGAAAATGGACAAGAGATAGCCATTATTAAGTCAGAAGACTTGAGATTTTACTCTAATTGAAGACAAATGAGTTATGCTTACAACAGATTTAAATACATATGTTGACAGAAGATGCAACATCCCTGAATCAGAAAAACAAATCATTTCTTACCCACAACAAAACCAGCAGTTGGAAAAGTTCTTTTGTGGGTTCTCTAAGCATCAAACGCCACAGGGCAACATGAACGGAACTGGATTTTACCTGCATGTGCAGTAAGGTGAACCAGTGGAGAAGCATCCCACATTTTACATGACTCTGAGCTTTTATAGGCCTGCTGGCACATCTGCTCATTCTCTCTTCCAGAAAGAAAGAGATTGCTCGTTATCCTGAAATGTAAACAAATACCTCCAGGGAAAAAAGTAGATGGCTCTTCTTTACCACTTTAGGATGTCTCTTCAGAGGGATACACTATCTCTAGTTTCTAAAGTTTGCTAATAAAAAATGTTCTTTTCTCAGAATGTCCAGACTTTACAGGTCTGAAGTATCAAAAATCCATTGAGAATTGTCTTCCCACAACCATCAATAAAATAATTCAATAAAATTTCCAGAATCCACTTAGTTCTCTGCCCACTAGATAAATACAGAACATTACTGGTGCACATCACTGTGAAACTTAAGAACTTGTAAATAAGCCAAATTTCAACAATACTTCAGAGAGACAAAAACTGGTCATACATAAAGTCAGAAGAACTTTTGAACTACAACACAGAAAACTAGTGACAATAAAACAACACCTTTCAATATCCTGAAGGAAAAGTGTTTCCAACTTAGAGTTCTATACCCAGCTAAATGATCCATCAACTGGGGGCAGAATAAAGGTATTTTCAGATATCCAACAGAAATACATTTACCTCCATGTTCCTTTCTGATTAAGCTACTGGGAAATGTGCTCTACCAAAAAGAGGAAGAAAAATCATGAAAATGAAGAAATGGACTCCAAGAAATAAAAAAAGCCATCACAGAAGAAAGCCATCAAGAATCAAAGGAAGATAACGAATGGAGATTCTAAGAAGACAGGGTCACACGAGATGCAGTAGACAGTCAGTCTGTATTGCTTCAGAGATTTAAGAGACAATTCCGAGGGCTGACTTCACCAGCATACCCAACATCATTGTACAATCATTGAAATTAAGGACAGAATGCCTGGTTGACTCTGATCTAGACCAGTACTTTATTTATCTTGACGATTTGCTGATGACATTTCTGGTGTCCCCTCCATGTTCCTGTTTTCTGGCTTAGTAGAACACACATTTTATCGAGTCAGTGTTGTGCTGTAATTAAGTCCTGAGCGAGGAGGTAGGCCATAGTGAGCTCAGAAGCCAAAAATAGAGCAGCTTCCTTCCCTGAGAGTGGTTCCACTGTCCATCTAGCCTGGCCCATTGTGGTCCTTCTAGACCCCTACACACAATGAGTCCTGTGCTTACCAAGACTCACCTATGGCTTTTCCCAGTGACTTCCCCAGAGTGTGTTGTTGAGTACCTGCAGCCATTAAAAATCATACTTTTGAGGAATATTTAAGAGCAGAGAAGATAATTAATCATCATGAAACATAAAGATTGAAAAAGGAGACAGATTGTATCCACACTATTATCACAATTTCATTTTAAAATGTACTATACAGATAAAATATATATACATTAAAATATGAGTAATTTTAATTTCATTGTTTATGCTTTTCTGTATTTTCCATGTTTCCTACTAGAAGTAATTATTAACTTTCAAATTAGAAAAACATATTAGACACAACTACTCAAAGAAACAAATCTCTGATCCTTATGATACTTCTAGCTACAGACTTCCTTTTCTTTTCCTTTAAAATTATGTTTCCTTGAAAGAGTGGTCTATAGTCAATGTCTCTAATTCCAACCCTCCCACTCACTGCTAAACTTCATTGCAATAGAGTTTCTATCCATATACTCCACAGGATATACTCTGGCAATTGTCATCATTGGAGGATATTCTTAAGTCTTCATGCAATTTCACCTAGGAGTTTCACCCAGCCAGTATTTATTGAGTGCTTACTATGTGCCATGAACTGGTCTAGGCTTTTGACACCAGTGACCTCTTTCTTCTTCTTAAAACACCCATTTCCCTTGGATTCCATTATGCCCTGATCCCCAGTTCTGCTACCCTTCCATTCTTTCTATGTGTCCTTTGAATCTCTTCACACTAGCCTGACAGTTGTGGCTTCCTAGAGGTATTTCATGATCTTCTTTTTCATCTCAGTTTAGAAACCCTTGAATACATGGATTACATTCACTCTGTAGCCTCATCACTGTCCACTGTTGACTCTAAATTTTTATGTCCTGTTAGATTGCTCCTCAGATCTCCCAACCAAATACTGACCAGCCTTAGTGGTAAGTCCACATGCATCTCCCACGGGCACTACTGCATCAGCACATCCTAACTGAATGTGGGTTGTGTTTTCCTATCCTATATTTTCTAAGTCAGTGACAGCCACACCATCTACCCCATAGTCTAAGCCGAGAGGCTACACGCTGTCTTGTAGTTCTTGCTTTTACATATCCTTATTGCCCACACTAGGCCACCAGGTCTATTAACTTTGCCTTTTTGAAATCTTTGTAATTACTCCCTTTCTGCTATCCCTACCTAGGTTTGACTTCCATCTTCCCTGGCTGCATTCCTCTTCCTCCCCAGATCTTACCCTACCCACTCCACTTCTTTTTTTTTTTTTTTTTTTTTTTTTTGAGACGGAGTCTCGCTCTGTCGCCCAGGCTGGAGTGCAGTGGCGCGATCTCGGCTCACTGCAAGCTCCGCCTCCCGGGTTCACGCCATTCTCCTGCCTCAGCCTCCCGAGTAGCTGGGACTACAGGCGCCCGCCACCACACCCGGCTAATTTTTTTTTTGTATTTTTAGTAGAGACGGGGTTTCACCGTGTTAGCCAGGACCCACTCCACTTCTATACGACTGCCAGAGTGAGCATTCCATCATGTAAATTTGATCATGTGGAGGTAGGGGCCTACTTAAAAAGAATCAAGACATGAGCTCAGCTTTCAGGATAAGGGTTGAACTTCAGGCCATGACATTCACAACTCTACCTTGACCTTGCTTCTTTCCTGAACATCATCTCCTGCCAATCTTACTCTCCAGCCTTCCAGAATGATAGTTTACATATCTTCTTGCCTCTCTGCCTTTGTACATAATGTTCCCCCCTCCCGGAATGACCCTTTTTTTTTTTACCCTTGGTATTTATCTGAATGCTATTCATCAGTCATAAATTCAGGAGTTGGTTCATCAGAGACGCTGTCCCTGACTCTGCCTTCATGCTCATCTGGATCAGGCATCTCTCCTATGTGCTTCTGGCAGGCCCTGTTTTGGCATCAGTCTCTCAGAGCCTGGCCACCTCACTTCATGGTCATCCCACTGGAAACCTTGTTTCAGTGATGGATCTTTCGCTAGCTCTTCTCCAGAGAGATTTCCTTCAGAATTAGTTTATGACTCACACAAGAAAACTTACCTTTATGGTCCGACCTCATTTTTTTTCAAAAATAAAATTGCCCAGTGTGATCACCAAAATTATTTCACAGATTTGACATTGAATAACTTTTGGCTGTTTCAAAAAATTCAAATATGCTTTCAAAGGACAAAGACTTCCTCCCACTGAGAATATTCAAAAGACTATTGTCAGATGTAAGAATTCTTGAGTGTTTGTTAAAAAAAAATCAGTCAAAGGACTTTATAGTTTTAAATGTACACATGCCACCCAATACATATTTCAATACAAAATCATTTAAAATACAGCTTGTCAATGAAAAATCCAAGCTAATTTTTAATTTCAGAAAATGAATGCCCTGTATAAATACTTTCAATCAGTGGGTGAGGGAAAAATGGTATAAAAATGCAGCCTGTAACACCACACATAACTGGAATGTAATACTCTTACACATCAAAATAATCACAGTAAGGATACATGAAATAAAAAATGACATCAAATAGGAATATCTTGGGAGAATTATAATATTGGCTTAGAATATTAATGGGAAAAATATAACAGTACTAACATGGAATTTTAATTCATTGTTCTCTGTGTTTATTCTTAGTCTATTATCAAAATAATGCCATGGAAACTTATTTGTTATTAGTATTTTTTCTCAAAGAATGCGATTCTGTTTCAGAAGAGGAGAAAAAGAATGAAATACTGATTTTGAAGTATTTGTTGCTGAATATTTGAATATTTTAATCTAAATATACGATAAAAATTAGATACATATATGATCCAGCTTCACAAAGAGTTGTTCTTAGAAAATGGTTATCCAGCACATTAAGGTATTGAAGTCTTTTGAGAATGTCACACAGTAGAGGCATTGCATGAATATAAAACAAATGAAACATGCATGCAGTAGGCACATAATACATATTTGTGAAATTGAATACCAAATACGAATCCAAGGAGGTGGCTGTGAATCAGCAAAGAGACCCAGAGGTATTTACAGAGTCATTACTTCCAAGATTCCAGATTTCATTTTAACGAGCATCAAGGCATCATTTAAATTCTGTGTAAGTTGAATTTATGATAGAGACTATTGCTTACAATTACATGCTATCTTCTATCACTGGGAAATACTACTGTCTCCCCCTGGCTGAATGTTTGAATCCCCCCAAATTCATATGTTTTAACCTTAACCCTCAAGGTGATGGGATTAGGATGTGGGGCCTTTGGGAGATAATTAGGTCATAAGGGCTCTGCCTTCATGAATGGGATTAGTGCCCTTCTAAAAGAGGCCGCAAGGAGCCCTTTTGCGCTTCCACCGTGTGAGGACACAGTGAGTGAGTCAGCACAGCCTATGAGGAAGAAAGCCTTCACCAGACACTGAATCGGCTGGTGTTTTGATCTCGGACTTCCCATCTCCAGAACCGTGAGAAATAAATGTCCGTTGTTTATAAGCCACCCAGTTTGTGGTACTTTGTTATAGCATCCCAATGGATGAAGATAGTATCCAAGCCCTTTCAACATGATTTAGAACTTTTTTGGTTTGGGCATGCAGATTTTCTAAGGAGAATCCTGATGCCTGAATTACATATATATATATATTTTCATTTTTATTTTATTTATTTATTTATTTATTTATTTTTTGAGACGGAGTCTCGCTCTGTCGCCCAGGCCGGACTGCGGACTGCAGTGGCGCGATCTCGGCTCACTGCAAGCTCCGCTTCCCGGGTTCACGCCATTCTCCTGCCTCAGCCTCCCGAGTAGCTGGGACTACAGGCGCCCGCCACCGCGCCCGGCTAATTTTTTGTATTTTTAGTAGAGACGGGGTTTCACCTTGTTAGCCAGGATGGTCTCGATCTCCTGACCTCATGATCCACCCGCCTCGGCCTCCCAAAGTGCTGGGATTACAGGCGTGAGCCGCCGCGCCCGGCCCATTTTTATTTATATATATGAACTAAAGGAGAAACTATGGCCATGCATAAGTGGTGTCTGTTTTACTGGACCTTTAATGAACACATAGCTAAGGGCTACAGTTTCCTACTGCTGACTATACAAAGATGAAAAGCAAAACTAATCCTTGCCTTCAGGAATGTCCAGAGGGCCAGCTGGACACATTCCACTACAATTTAATAGAGTGAAACAAAGAAAAAAAATGTGAGATTACAGATGCGAGGCTGACCCAGGTAAGCCTAGAAACTCTGGAATAATTGACAGTCATCTTACATTTATGAACCTAAATATGCAATTTCCATTGCGACCAAACCCTTGGTAAGCTTGGATTCATTCTGAATTCAAATCCTGGCTTTCATCTCTTACTAGCTGTGGCATTGGACATACAATAATTTAGCAAATTAGGCTAAAATCCACTATAGGAGGTAAAAAGAGACATAATCATGAGCTATGGAGGTTTGAGAAGACTTAATGGGTGAGATGGGACTCAAACTGAACGTTGGGTGACATGGAAGAATTAGGTAGACTGAATTTTTCATAGGACATTTTGCTTATGTGGAAGAAACAAAGTTTCAGTGACGGGTACACACATGGTGTATGATCCAAAAGCAGTCAGCTATAGAGGTTTCATGCCGAGGAGAAAAAGATCCAATTCCAAGGTCACAGGAAATCTTTGAATGTTATTTCATAAAAGATTGGCATCATGTCTTTCCAGACTTGTATTCTTCCATTCTTTTATACTCCTCACTAATTTCTTTCAAACATACATTTAGAAATATTTAACTGAATGTAATATTTTGCCAGCATTTATGATTATTTCCTTTTAGTTCTTTTATTAAGGAAAAACACAATATTATGTCGAATGCACAGCCCAGTGTTCTCAGTTAGCAAGTTATCTGATGTATCTTGCAGTAAACCAGCATCCAGAAGAGGCATTTTTCTGCTATAAGAAGAGAACACTGTTTAAGATTTTTAAACATACAATCTTGCACTATTCACATGTTATCCCGCGAAGGTATAGAAAGAAGTTAATTCATCTTACTCAAATACATTATCTCTACTCCCCTCCTGCACAATGTTTTATTTTTTTTAAATACGATTGAATTGGTTTTTGTGCCACATCGTTCAGTAAGGAGGAATAGATACACATTCTAGACAGAGATATACCAGATGCAAACAATACCTCTGCAAAGTTCACAAGAGATTTATCACAATAAAAGGGGCCAGAAGAATCTGGACATTTCTAGGTTACTGTGCTATTCCCTACAGCTATTCTCTAACCATCTCAGACAGGCTGACAGAAACTATTGTTATAACTTCCACTGGTGTCGTATTCATATACCACATTGGTTAGACTGCAAGACCTCAGGAAAGGCAGGCACTATAATGTGCTCTTTCAATTTGCACACAGAAACTTTAAGAGTCTATTATCTGGTTTACTTACAGTGCCTATCAGCATCACTAAAAAATAGAAAATGGAAGCATCAGGTTGAAAGTAAAAGAATGTCTGTTATGTATAGAATAAAAGAAAAACTTAAAATATCTCTACTAGGACATTTTTATACCCCGTGATCATCTCCTGCAATTTTCTCTCTGACATGAAAAAGTTTCTCATGGACAAAGAAATAAAGACAGAACTCCTATTACATGGGGACCTGCCAATAATTGTGCATCCACATTCAATTCCTAGATCATTCACATACTTCTAATGTGCCATTCAGCAAGGGGCTCGACAATGAAATAATTATGTGAATGATCTTGTCTGCATAAATTCCTGTTTACTTAGAAGTCAGCAGGCAACTTCTAGATTCAAATCCATACATCCCTTAACACATGATATGTGCTAAGGGATCAAAATCAAATCAAAGCTCTAAGACTCAGTATCAGGAGGGGCTAAAAGACTAGTACATTCTGCGCTTCTGCTTATCCACCAAAGTTGGCAAGAATATGTGCTAATAATCCCAAACCGAAAGAAATATTCTGAGAAACAGTTTTTGTTGGTGAGGTATTGGGGGAGCGGACCCAGAGGTGGGGTGGAGAAAGGAGAATTCATATGTGTTATGATATCAACTGATGAAATTTCTTGTTTTCACCCCAGCTTTTCATATTTTTCTGTTATTGTTTTGATAAACTCTGCATACATAAGTTAAGCCTGTATAATATTGATTACCCTCTAATGAGGACTTACTTTGTGTCAGTTCTGAGTATTTTATACATGTTATCTCATTTAATTCTCCCAAAGCCTTTTGATGTAGACTCTATTTTTATGACTCTGATTTTACAGATTACCAACTGAAGGCACAGAGAAGTTAAGAAAAATAGTCCAAGGTACATAGCTAGTAGATGGGAGATCTGGGATTCAAACCCAGGAAGTCTTATTTACGTGCAACTAGACTTGTGCTAGTCAGTGTTGTAGGCAGAGCCATGGAGGGCTACTGAGCAATTAAAATATGGCTGATCGGAATTGAGGTAGGTACTACATGTGTAAAACAGACACAGGACTTCACTTAGTAAGAACAGCAATGTACTATATCTCATCAATAACTTTTATATTGATTACATGCTTAAATAATATTTTGGATATATTGGGTTAACGGCATATTATAATTAATTTAATTAATAGACAATATAATCCATATATTACTTTATTAAAATTGGTTTCTTTTTACTTCTTTAATGTGATTACTAGAAAATTTTAAATTATGTATGTGCCTAAGATTATATTTCTAATGATAGCTCTGGTCTAGACTCTTAACCACTTCGGAATATTGCTCTTAAAATCAGTACATTTTAATCCAAACATAGATGCTTCCTTCATTTTTATTGTACATTTTGTTAGCTTGTTACACATGAATAGTAGTATAATTTCTTCAAGTTTAAAAATGTAAACTGAGCCTTTACATAAAACCATGCAATGGACTAACTGTAGAGACATTAGTTATTTTCAAAGGTTGTTGATGACCATGTGACTGATGAACAGTGGAGTCAGGCATCATCTGTATGAGGAATAAGTGTGATCCTATTATTATCTGTGGGGGCACTAAGAAAAATAGTAAGCATCATATCACCAATATCTATTAAGTACTTACAAGTCAAGCATTTGCCAAGCCAGCGCCATCAATAGAGTTGGTACTGCCCACTAGGGCATTTTGGAAATTTGTGGGTACATTTTTGTTGTCCCAATGATTGATAGGAGGTCCTGACATTTAGTGGAAAGATGCCAGTGGTACAAGACGTCTTGGGTCATTTCTACCCAGTGAAGAATCTCACTGCATACCCAATACAGATAAAACAGCATTTTACAATCGTTTCAGCCTAATTGTAGTTACTTTGTTGTTTGGGATAGGATCTCTTTGTCTTGAATTATTAAAGAAACATGAATTTAGGAATAATGGATTTTTTCCATAAAAG
Organism: Homo sapiens; assembly: GCF_000001405.40. NCBI lineage: Eukaryota > Metazoa > Chordata > Mammalia > Primates > Hominidae > Homo > Homo sapiens. The sequence continues at coordinate 181,715,495 of NC_000004.12, read as the reverse complement.
TATAATATTTATAAACTATTTTGAATCACCAGCTAAGAGGAAGTTAAGTATTTACATATGCATTTATCCTGTATCTCAGAATTCCCAGTTTGAGGAATGTATCCCAATAGTACTAGATTAGCAAGACTAGTAAAAGAAATAGACACAAGGCTATTCACTGCAGTACTATGTGTAACATCTAAACACTTAAACAGCTCAAATGTGCAACATTTGAACTGGTGGGACAAACTCTGGTATATCATCACAATGGAGTACTATGCAGCTACAAAAAGAAATAGAGCTTCTCTACTGCTGAGGTGACCGACATAGTAGAATCTTAAGTGAAAGAATGAAGTAAAGAATAATGTATACAGTAGTGGTTCTCAAAGTGTGGGATTAAACTGAAGGTTCCAGACCCTGCTCTACCACGTATAATTAAGAAAATGGGCAAATATTGGTAACCCTCAGTTCTTTTTCCCACTGGAATATGCCAGCAAAATCTTAAAGAATTATCTGTGAATGTATTTTTCAAAGTGCTGTAAAACAATTAGTTGGTATTAATCTTGAGTTCATTGCTTCTGAGAACTTCAATAGAAATGAAAATTTATCTCTTTGTAGATTTTAAAACTTTGCGAAGTTTCCTAAACTAGAATCTCACAGGCAATAAATATATTTTATTTGTCTTTGCTCTACTTTTTTTGCATAGATGGTTCTCAATAAATATGCATTGAAAAAATAAAAGGTAAACAAATAAGAATGGTGTTATGTTGCATATATTTATAAATATTTAAATTTTCATAAAAAAAGAACTCCAGCATCAATCACATCCACATTTTAACAGAAAGAGCTGGCCTATGGAGGGAGGAATGGATTTCACTTACTTTAGTGTGTTCTTAAAAGGAGGAGAAAGCAAGAAAATATATACTGGTCACAGACACAAGGTTGGCTTCTTCCTGAACTGTCAAACCACCTATAGGATAGGATGGTCTGGTCTGCCATCATGGCTCTGAGTCATCTGTTCCTCCAGTGAGCCTGAGGTTTTCTTTTTCTGTCTTTCTTTCTTTTTGAGATAGCATCTTGCTCTGTCATTCTGATACCCAGGTTGGAGTGCAGTGGTGTGAACATAGCTCATTGCAGCCTCCACCTCCCAGGCTTCAAGTGATCCTCTCACCCCAGCCTCCCAAGTAGCTGGGACTACAGGCATGTGCCACCACACCCAGCTAATTTTTTTTTCTAACTTCTTTGTACATATGAGGTCCTACCCTGTTGGCCAGATTGGTCTTGAATTTCTAGCCTCAAATGATCCCCCTGCTTTGGCCTCCCAAGGTGTTTGGATTATAGGCATGAGCCACCGCACCTGGCCCCAAGTTAAAATTTTCAATGCACCATCTCACATGCAAAGAAATGTTCTCAGTGTTTCCCAAAGTGTTTTCTGAGGACCACTATGCCCAGGGGATGCTCTGTGTAAAAAGGGTTTCTTCCTCAAGTAAGTTTATCTGTGGGTACGTGTGCCTCCCTCAGCAGGTCATGAAGCAGGTAGCATATGAAAGACCCCACAAAGTACCTGTCTTAACCTGTGAAACTTATTTGATCCAAGCACCAGAATACTGACATTCTGTGGGAAACGCTGGCTTGGCTAAGGGTACCTTGATCACCGTAAGCATTTAGAAATAAAAATGAAGTATGATAGGATAATACAAAAAATGGCAATAATCAATCTACAGGGTTTTTTTTCTGTGAGAATTTAAGAGTATAATTATGTATTTTGATGTTAGGGAATAATTGAATTCTGAGGTCAGAAGAAAGTATAGGGATATCTAGTCTACTGGTTCTCAATCTTGGTGGCCCAAACCACAAGTAATATAGTGGTAATAATTAGTTATAAAGATGTGGCTGTTTTACATCTTTTCGAGGGCAGGTGGTACTAAGTACTTACCAACACCAGGAGTGATTTCCAAATATTCAAGGCACATGGAGGCCTTACTTTTGGTGGTAGTGACCAAGAAGATTTTCCCTCAACCAAGGTAAAGGCTTCACAACAAAGGAGATACTACAATACCTCCTTTGACTTCTCTTAGGGCAATATGACTGACTGGTGAGGTTTAACTCCACCATCCCACATAATGGGGTTTCAGAAATCATATATCTTTGTTCTTGACCAGCAACATTTAGGAGCTCACCAACTGTAAAGAACCTTTTCGTGGTCTAACTAAGTCCATGCCTCCCATTTCTTCTCTGCAGATGCAGACCTGCTCTTATTCAGGTGTTCAACCTCTTCTTTGTAGCAATGGGACCATGGAAAGTGACTCTTCGAGCAGTGACAAAGGCACACTTAGTTTCAACCAATCATTTTGCCTGTAATTATTTTTCACTTTTAGAAGGTGCCAACAGTCTAATTTTGGTCCATGAGATGTGAGGACAAGTTGGCTGAGAGGTACTCTGGGAAAGGTTTCCTAGCTTTCAAAAATACAATGAGTAAATAATTTCCTTTTTTACCTGTGAATGTTCATAGTGATGATGGGATAGTTGGAGAGCAAAATAGAACTTGCTTCCCCTATGATGGTACTGAGTTAATCAATTAATCAACCCTGAAGCCCCCCTCTATATCCCAACATCTTGTGACATTAGAAAAGAAGTCCTCTTTTTAAACAAATCAATTTTTAGCTGAGGATTCTGTTACTTGATAAATCATTCTTACTGATTTTCCACAATTTTTAAAAGAGAAATTTTGTAATTTCTATTTTTAAAATATCAGATATTTATTGCTATGAGAAAGATAAGCCAAGATCTTCATATAACATACATTGGTATAATAAACTGCAGTCCCACTGCACTTATTAATTCTATCTGTTTCCCAAGAGAGCGAAAAATAAAACAATTAAATATGGACTGAGGGAGTAATAGGGCTTATTAGTTTATTCTCTCATTGCTATATAGAAATACCTGAGACTGGGTAATTTATAAAGAAAAGAGGTTTAATTGGCTCACTGTTCTGCAGGCTGTACAGGAAGCATGATACTGGCATCGGCTATGCTTCTGGGGAGCCCTCAGGAAACTTACAATCATGGTGAAAGGCAAAGGGGGAGTGATACCTCTCAAACGGCAGGAGTGAGAGCAAGAGAGTGGGGAGGTCCCACAAACTTAACCAAATCTTGTGAGAACTCTATCACAAAAACAACACCAAGGGGATGACGCCAAACCATTTATGAAGGATCCACCCCCATGATCCAATCACCTCCCACCAGGATCCACCTCCAACATCAGGGATTATAGTTCAACATGAGATTTGGGTGGGAACATAGATCCAAGCCATATAAGGGCCTTAAAGTCTACAGAAGGTATCAGAACCAAAGGTCTCTCAATGCTCCTTCCTTTGATCTTGCTATTGACTGTGCACTGACTGGCTGGGGTTGGGGAGGAGTGAGAAAGAGATAATAAATGAAATATTTTCTCTTTTGACTTAATACAAAGCTAAAAATGGGGAATTTGACCGATAATTGTATGTTTTGTATTTACACCATAATAAATATATCAAAACAAAAATAACGGGGATCACTGAAAACATTTTCCTAGAGCTGATCACAGGCCAGGCTCTGTTCAAACACTACACATGATTCATTCATGTGCTCTTCACAACAACCCTTTGAGATCGTTTTCATTACCCACCCATCCTGCACAGCTGGTCAAACAAAGGCACGGAGATTGGAAAACAAGTTATCCAAGGTTACACAGCCAAGAGGAAGTGGGAGTGGGATTTGAACCTGGGCAAACTACCTTCAAGGTCTGTGCTCACAAACTTAACAATATTGCCTTCTAAGGAAACGCTGAGCTTAATGAGAGCAAGAATGGAAGGTCACCAAGTTGGGTTTCCTTTAACTTTGCAAATTTGTAAATCACAAGGTAGGGGTCTTCCATTCATTCATTGACTTTATTGCTGATGTTGTTGAATTTTTATTTTATAACTGCAACCTCTTATTTTGTATGACTTTTAAAAATGTCAAATAGGATTGTTTTGTTTCTATTTGACATTTTCAAATAGATTCAGCTTCAGAAGATCCAAGAACTGAAGCAGATCTCAATTCTAAAACACTTGGGTCTAGAAATAGTATTCTTGGCTCCCAGGAGTTCTGACTCACTCTATCTTTTCAGAGTCAGGCTTTCTAGGTCCATATGTGCTGTGGCCCTCCTGGAGGCACACAGTGGATTTAAACTGATATATGATTTATTGACCAAATGATGGTATTTTTAGTATTTTCCCCTTTTCTAGAGATTCTAATTATTTGCAATAATTTCAATCACATTTATATTAGTTCTTGTGCATATGTGGCTTGTTGGATAGCTTAGCTTACTGCCTAATTGCTTTGATCAGCTAGAATACAAAAGCCAAAGCATGTGAATTTGTAGCTATTTTAGCCCTAGGTAATTTTTCTAATGTAGAAAAGGTAGTTTATATTGTTCTACCCTACCCCAGGTCTAGTGCGAATGGTGAGGATTAACTATATTTACTTAAATTTAGTAAACAATATATACATTATATTTAAAAGTACCCTTCTCTGATTGCCAATTAGAATCAGAGATGTCTCATATTTCTCCTCAGCTACTACCTCATTTCTCTTTTTTTTTTTTTCTTTTTTTCCTTTTTTCTTTTCTTTTTTGAGATGGAGTCTCGGCCGGGCGCGGTGGCTCATGCCTGTAATCCCAGCTCTCAGGGAGGCAGAGGCGGGAGGATAGCTTGAGCCAAGGAGTTCAAGACCTGCCTGGGCAATATAGCGAGACCCCGTTCTCACAAAAAGGAAGAGATGGAGTCTCACTCTGTTGCCAGGCTGAGGTACAGTGGCGAGATCTCAGCTCACTGCAAACTCTGCTTCCCAGGTTCAAGCGATTCTCCCGCCTCAGCCTCTGGCCTCCCGAGTAGCTGGGACTACAGGCACCTGCCACCATGCCCGCTAATTTTTGCGTTTTTAGTAGAGATGGGGTTTCATCATGTTGTCCAGGATGGTCTTGATCTCTTGACCTTGTGATCCGCCCGCCTCAGCCTCCCAAAGTACTGAGATTACAGGTGTGAGCCACCGTGCCCAGCCTACCGCATTTCTTTGGTCTTCTTACAGGAATACCTTCATGTGGCCAGATCCAACGTGCTCCTCCCAGTCTGCATCTTATTTGGTCCTCGTCAGCATTTTTTAAGTTTACCCACTCTCTCCTTTGAAATGCAACCTGACTTCCTGGAAAACGCTTTTCTGATTTTCTTCCTGTGTATTGACTCCTCTATCTTAATGGCTCTTGTTTTATTCCTCTAACTCATCTTGGCCTCTAACTGGTGGTACCTCCTGGTTTAGTCCTCAAGCCTCTTCTCTGATTTCTATCTAGGTTCTTATTTGGCACCATGGCATTAAAAACTATGTATGTGTTGATGGGTCTCTAATTTCTGTTTCTAAAGCCAGCATGTCCCCGAGCTTAACTGTGAAATATCCCACTGTCCCCCCAACACTGGGATATTTAATATGCATGTCAAATTTAATGTGTCCAGAGTAAATTACTGATTCTTCCTGCTCCATCCACCTCAAATACACTTCTTCTTCAGTCTCTCTAGCTCAGGAAAGGGCACTGCTCTTTACCAGTCATGCAAGACAAAAACTTGATTCATCCCTGATTTTCTCCTTTCTCCCATATGCTACTCCCAATCCATCAAAAAAATCTTCTGAACGCTACTTCAAAAAATAAGTCCTGAATCTAACCACTTTCCACCTTATCTGCGCTAATGTCTCGACTCCCAACTAGTCTCCCAGTTAATCTTGTTTCCATGGCTGTCCCCTCCTATGATCCACATCTGTGCAGCAGCCAGACCCTGTCCCTCCAATGTCCTGTATGTGATCTGGCCAGGGGCCACCCTTCTGATCTCAATTTGTTGCTTCAGCCATGCTGGTATTCTTGATGACCATTCATACCACAGGGCCTTTGCACTTGCAGTCCCTCAGCCTGGAATATTCTGCCTCCCTCACATTACTCAGTCGTTGTTCACTATTAAACTTTTAGAGGCATTCCCAGTAGTGATCTCTTTAATGGTCTCACACTTTCCTACCTCTCTATCCTCATACCCTGGGGCTACTTTTCTTCATGGCATTCACTGATATGTTATTATATATGTCTGTCAGCCCAGTCTTCTCCAGCTAGAATATGCATTGCTTGAAGTCAACAATGTATCTCTTGTGTCTTCTGTGTCCTACTGTGTAGCAGGCAAAACAATACCTGTAGCAGGCAAAACAATACCTGTAGCAGGTAAAACAATACGTGCTACACAGTAGGCATCCAAATACTTGATGAATAAGGAATCTAGGAAACTTTGAATAAATAATTTAGATTGATTAATATGTAGTGTCTTCTATAAATATTACTGGAAACACAGCTTTCCGTTAGCACAGTTTTATATCTGTATTCCTCCTCAACATACACAGCTTTTGTAAGTATTATTACAGACTTAGTGGTTTTTATAAATTCTGCTTACTCCAATTGACTATTTGTTTTCTATTTAATACTCAAATGGCAGCAATTTTGAAAGTTCTTTTAAGTTGGATTCCTTCTACATTTTAGCCCTATCTCAGATACTTTTGAAATTATCCTTGCTTTTTGGCAACCCAGAACATTCTAGGCCTGTCTTGATGTTGCTGACTGCAAACGTGGCATCAGCCATCCTCCAAAAACTCTCATTTCTTTAAGGCAGTGGTTCTTAAGCATGGCTACACATTAGAATCACCTGGGAGCTTTAAAACATCCTTAGACCAGTCAGATCAGAGTCTCTGGCAACAGGTTTCATGTATCAGTACTTTTTTTTTAAAGGCATAGCCAAGATTGAGAACATTACTTACTGGGGACTCAGATCAGGAGAATAATAAGGTCATATTTGATTTTCATAGAGTGTTGGTTTTAGGACTAAAAAAAAAAAAAATCCTTCAGTTATTTTAAAGACAGAACAAAACAAAACCAAAGAACGCCAAACAACCCCCCAGAAACCCAAACCCAAACCTTTTCTTCATGAAGGTTGAATTGATGTTCATGTTTTCTTTGTAATTTATTCAACTAGGTTTTCTCTTATCTCGTTCTAATATAAAACATTAAAATTTATATGTACTTCTAAAGGTACCAGTTTGTCTAATCTGGCAATACGATGCTATATATTGTCAAACCAAATTATGTCCGTAAATTATTATATCATTTAAGATAATGAAAGCATGCCATTTTCTTAAACCTAATTATATCTTATCAGAATACATCTATAAATCACTATTTTGCCATTCCATTTAGGGCTTAAGAACAATTAGCCCATGCTGCTATAATTAGACAAGAATATTTAAGCAAGATATATGTGAGGATTACAACATGATATATAAAACTTTTTAAGATTATTGACCCACTGTTTTTCACCCACTTTAATATACTTTCTGGAATGAAATGAAAAGTAAAATCATAGGTAACATGTTGAGAATTTTTCATAGCTTTGAAGGCATCAATAGAAACAATCCCACTAATTAATCATTTGCTGCAAACAGAAAAAAAAAGACTAAGAATTATTATGTATTTGTTCACTTCTGCTATAGCCTTTATTTTTTCCATAATTTATCTTTTCTGTATCCTTTTATGAATCAATTACTAGATTCTATTAAAATCCATGAGATATGCATAGCAAACTATATATGCTAATTTTCTGTTTGTACTTAACGTAGCATTTAGACCAACAAATCCTTAATAACAGTGGTTAAAAGAAGGATTCAAAACAGGCACATAGTATAGTATCTATAATTATTGAATGCTAGAGCTGGAAAAATATGGAGGGTTGAGGTCATCTGACCGGATATTTCTTACACATTTTTAGTCACTGATGCCTTTGGTCATTTAAGGAAGTTGATGAACTGTCTATTCAGAAAATTCATACAAGTATGGCCACTGACAAAATTTTCATAACCACTCTTGGATGCTTAGCTGTGGACTTCTCAAAATCCCATTTTCGATAAGAAGACCAAGATCCAGAAAGGGACAGTGACTTTTGTTATCAATAATTCTAGATTATATTATACTGGTGTTTCATTTATTCTGTGTGTGAATTTCAGACGAGTCTCTAAAGATGGTGTTCTTCTGCCATATTAGCACGTGGAACTTTTTATTTGTCTCTGAGATGCCAGATTCTTTTCAATTTAGAGAGAAAAATGGGCCCGGCAGAAAATAACTATTCAAACTTATTATAAAACCCAAAGTACAAAGCAGCCTTCCATTTCCAGACAGTGTATTCGTTTTGTTTTGTTTTTAGATTTCGCGCCCTGTTGCTACTTTCCAGGTAACCTGATTTTGGGCCAAGCAAAGCTGCCAGCCAGAAAGGTAGAAAAATGCAAGTCCCCTCCCTTCTGCTGGGCTCTAAGAGCCCACCCATTTATCTGCAAAGCATTTTCTAGTACATCTCCTGGAGAATATAACAGTATGGCCTGCAGTCTAGTACTTCCATCAGATTCTCTCTTGTGGAAGATGAAGAAGTGAGACACATTCAACATCCTTATGTGGGAACTTCCAGGACCAGGGAGATGGCAACCTGGCTGAGCTAGGGCTAACGTATTTGGGCTCAGGACATCAGTAACCAGATGTAATTGCCACAAATGAAGAAATGAGCTAACAAATGTCAGAACACTTAAGACGGCCCCGCGATGGAGAAAATCCAGCCAGAAGCCTGGGCTAATTCATTTCTCCCCTATTACTTCTTGTAATTCAGGTTTTAGCTGTGATGTTGACAGGTCTCAGATAGCAGAGGAGAGACACTCCCTGTTTCTCACAGCGCAGTGAGGTCAACCAATGCGGAACCAGCTTCCTTCGCCTGTTTGTTTTTTTTCCTAGTTTATCACATTGAATATATAAAATTGCTTTAAAAAGTACTTTAATATTTATTATATTTCAATAAAGAAGAATACTTATCTGGGGAATCCTACCCATCAGTGGGATGAAATTCTAATATGTTGATTGCATATTTCTGTAGGCTTGTGTATAACTTTACTATCTCTGACTAATATTATGAAAATTGGGACTGTGCTGTGCCACAACAGTCACAACCAGTCTATGGACGACTTTACGATGATGACTGTTATAGGCTGAATTTTGCACACTCCCCATCCCCGCATATTGAAGCCCTAGCACCCACCGCCCCTGGATCTCAGAATGCTAGGGATTTGGAGATTTGGAGGCGGGGTCATATCAGAGGTAATTAAGTGAAAATGAGCTCACTGGGGGTGGGCCTTAATCCAATATGACTGGTGCCCTTATAAGAAGAGGAGATTTGGACACAGACATGGACAGAGGGAAGACAACGTGCAGACACAGGGAGACAACAGCATCTCTAAGCCAAGGGGAGAGGCCTGGAACAGCTCCTCCCTCATGGCTCTCAGAAGGACCCCACCCTGCCAAAAGCTTGATCTCAAACTGCTACCTGCCAGGATGGTGAGAAAATAAATGTCTGTTGTTTAAGCCATCCAGTATTTGTTACAGCAACCCTAGCAAACTAATACAATGACTTATTATTATTATTTTTTAGATGGAGTTTTGCTCTTGTTGCCCAGGCTCAATGACTTAAATTTATATTAAATGAAACCAGTACACGATAGTGTAGGGTTAGGAGCCCAGGGTGGCTGCACCCTGTGAATAGGTCCATGCTATTCACACTCACAAAATTTGCTCCCTCAGAGGGGAGATCAGGTAAAATGACTGTTAAACAGGCATATAAATTTTATTTTTATTTTAAGTTCTGGGGTACATGTCCAGGATGTGCAGGTTTGTTACACAGGTAAACATGTGCCATGGTGGTTTGCTGCATCTATCAACCCATCACCTAGTTATTAAGCCCAGCATGGATTAGCTCTCTTTTCTAAAGAAATGTATAGATTTAAGTTGAAAAAAGAGAGATAACCAATGTTTAGAGATCTTAAGATTGAATGTCATGGTTTTTACTTATCAATCAAAGAGAAAAACAATGATGAAAACACATAAGTCATTTCTCATCAATGAAAATGATGGTTAGGCAGCAGCAAGCTGGAAGTTAGTTATACTTTGTCCTGCTATACAGACTCCAAAGCTTTCTCTTTCAAGTGTTCCATAGTGGAAACAATAAATTCAAAAGAGAACACAGAAAAGATGTCAGACTTCCCCCAAATTGGTATTCCCTAAAGCCTTGTATATAATATTTGAATGTGTTGATTCATTAAAAGTTAATCGGTAAACTCTTCGTAATGGCTAACCTCCTCCGCGGTTTCAGGAGATATTTCACTCTTGCAATTTTCAGTGCAGATTGTGCTTTTTCTTATAGTTCTTGTAATAATTGGAATAAATGTATTATGTTGATGTTGATTTATTTAATGACCATTCCCCATCCCTCTACCCACCCTATGTCCAATGAGGAGAGAGATGGGGGTCTCTCCTTTTTTGTTTTTTTTTTTTTGTTTTGTTTTGTTTTTGAGATGGAGTCTCACTCTGTCACCCAGGCTGGAGTGCCAAGTGCAGTGGTGTGATCTGGGCTCACTGCAACCTCTGCCTCCTGGGCTCAAGTGATTCTCCTGCCTCAGCCTCCCGAATAGCCAGGATTACAGGCACGTATCACCAAGCCTAATTTTTGTATTTTTAGTAGAGACGGGGTTTCACCATGTTGGTCAGGCTGGTTTCAAACTCCTGACCTCAGGGGATCTGCCCGCCTCGGCCCCCCAAAGTGCTGGGAGTACAGACATGAGCCACCGGGCCCTGCCAGGGGTCTCTCCTTTATCACTAAAATCCCATCACCTAGTGTAGAACAATGTAGGAATATGCAGAAAGAGCTCAAATCAGCTGCTGGGTAAATATTATAGGCTAGGAAACTTTCAACAACCAATGATCAAAATGGGAGAATTCCTGTATGGGTCCATCCGTTATGATTTTACTTTGTGTTTGTATGTTCTAAGGTCTACCAGAATGAAAAAAAATAATTTGTATCTGAACAAAATTATTTGGGGGTCACAGTGAAGACAGGAGGGAGGAGGAGGAAAGAGATGACATACTGGTGAGGGATAAAGGTCTTCACATACAAGAAGCTGCAACTTTTCCCTTTCCCTCAACCTGGTAAAGAGAATTTATGTTTCTCTCTTAATCTCCTACCCACACCTACTGCTGACAATATTCCTCCTGGGACAGGTAAGTTCTTTGACTTTGCAAGGCAGAATCAGGAGGAAGGGAGAGAGAAACATGGGTTGGACCCTGGAGCTGAGGAGGTTCTTTGGGTGGGCTCAGGGGTAGGTAGGAGGAGTGACTGGGAGGGTAACATAAAACAGTGAAAGGGAAAATACAAACGCGATTGCTTAAAGAGGATGGGCTATGTGACAACTTCACAGCCTCCAGATGGAAGCATGGAGTTATTTTGATGTTATTTGGGTTGTTGAACTGAGCTCTTTAAGGTGCCAAATGACCGCATCCACCTCCCTCATTGCAGAAGTTGGTACTTCCAGAGAAGACCAAGGAGAATGCTGTCTATGTGTCATTCCGTTCCTGGACAGTATGCCTGGGACAAGCCTTTATCCACATCTGAATATTCTGTTATATTTCTTATGCAAGCGGACACTGAACCATTGGGTCATTTTTCAAGGTTGAAACGCAATTTAATAAGGTCAAAGAAAACAATATGCTGCTTTTCTGTTTTCTTACACAGGTAAGGAAAAAGAAAAAAAAACTCCCCAAAGAACTTCCATCCATTAAAGAGGAAGGAAGATAAGTCCTGGATGCCAAGAGGAAAACGAAAATTAGCTTAGCTAGGCAGACAGACATTGCTTCCACCTGCTCAACACAGGAAATGTGAAGTTAGCCAACTCAGCTGTTATAAGGAGGAAACAGCCTCCCAAGAACCCCTACACTTTCCTCTGCTTTGGGGAGCAGGAAACACAGTGACCCTGATCAAGTTTCTGAGTCTGGGCGAGAAAAGTCATAAAGGGAAGAGGGAGAAGGTTTTAACGCATCAATATGGCACCTCGTTAAAGACAAAAATCCATCATCCAGTGACTAGGTCTTATCTAGTTCCCCTCTTAGATCTGTATGCAACCATTTACGTTAAAACTATGCAATCTTACTTCACGTATGTTAGAAATAATATTTTGCACTGTAGGAAAGAAAGCCTGAGGGTAAGTTATTCAAATCCCCAAGCACTTAGCAGAGAATAGAAGGCTCTCTAACAGTAGACAAGTACAGTCTATTGAAAGGGATCCTGCCATTTCTATGCAATGTACGACTCCCACATCTGAAACCAGGAGAGACTTGGCTGGTGTGTGGTGTGTTAACTTAGAATGTGAACGTGCGTCGGGGCAGTGTCCTTTAGTGACTGACTGAGTAGCAGCGAGTCTGGCTGATCTGCTTCGGTCTGAAAGCAGCTCCAGTGCTTACTGTGTGATCCTCATCAAGATACTGAAGCCCTCTGCCCCTGTACTTCCTCTTCCATAAAATCCCGATGATGATTTCGCCTACCTTATCTATTGTTGCAAGGATTCAGTGAGTTAATATGATTGGAGTACTTAGCATATAGTTAATGCTTAATAAGTGTTAGCTTTTTTTTCATACTGGCCAGGGACAATTCATATGTTACGTAAGTGTCAGTTTCATTAGATGCTAAATGCTCTAAAATGACCAATGTTTAAAAATTAAATATGATAAAAATTAATGATCACAGAAGTTACCCTAATATGAAATGTGAACACATGTTGAAATCTGAGATTCAAAAAAATAGAATACTACACCTGTATATGCAATGAGGACTAATTATGTTAATGGTAAGTAAAATATGTTTTTATATGTTTACATTATGTATTATTATTATTGGCTGGATTTTTAAACTTTAGTTTTCTTTGTGAAAATGCTTCTTCAGAATCAATAAGCTCTTTGCAAAATATATTTTACATAAGAAAATCACTCCATTTGTTTTTTACAAAAAAGAAATCTGTATATATCTGATCGAATTACTTTCTCCATTCTGACAAAATATGGTTTTCCCCTGTACTAAGTACCATGCTTTTGTTTGACAAGCATATTATCCATTGAGAAAACTTTGAGAAGTGGAGTTTGATAATATGTTTTCTTTTTAAGAAAAAACAATCTTTCCAATTTTGTCTTTGGAAATCCTCTTGGCAGTTAGCACTTACTGTTTGTGTTGAATTCTTCCATTTTATTTATGTATCGTAATAGCAAAGAAAGCAGTTGTACACATTAGCACTGATCTGACATCTTACTGAGACCGAAGGACAGAAAAACGAAGGAATGACAGCGAGGACCAGAAGCCTCAGAACGTTGTCCATAGCCTCAGTTTCAGTTCCTACTCTATCTGCATATCTGAAACTCACTTCTATTTGCCGTCACAACCTACAGTGTTGAGTTAACAAGACCATAGTGTGCACTGTTCAGTGGCTTTGTCGTGTGCCTAGCAACATTTGCATAGTGCCCACTGAGTATAGGCTGGCTGCTGGGGTGGGTGGATGGCACGGACCTAGGCTGCTTCTGGTCAACAGATCCTGTGCTAATGGCAAACTGGACAAGGACCCAGCTATAGGAGAACCACAAGCCATCATACGCCAAAAGCCTCCTGTTCCCCGAGCATATTTTAAAGTAGCATTACTTGCTTTACATGGGTTTTAAAATTGGGATGTCCTGATAAGGAAAAGAAAAGTTTCCTTTATTGTGTATAAATAAATGTATCCATTTATTAAAGAAAGTTGGAAAGCTCCGTTGATTTACATGAATTCTCAGCTTCCAAAATCATGTGCAGGCACTTGAACTTAATGAAATATTTATTCAAAATCAACAAGCTGCCCTCTAGGAGTCTTTCACTATAAAGGCAAGCATTTTGTTTCGTGCACTTCATTCTAATCCATGGCAATCTCGCAGTGGCCTAACATTAGGGAAACTGATTTATTTCAGACTGAGAAACTGATTTATTTCAAACCAGGCAACTGAAATAGAACGTAAGCTTGCCATACAGGTAAAAGTGCTTGCCCTTGGCTATTACCTCGTCTGACTACAGGGTTTTCTGGAAACAGCAAAAGCTTTATGAGTGTGAGCTCATGGCTAAATCAATGTTTATGCATGATGTATCTCTGAATGGCAAACACTTGCTGCCTGCAAGCTAAACAATGTTTTTATCTGTTTGCCTATTTCTGGTTCTTCAACCACTGCACTGAGTGTTGCGAATCACATTTAGTAACAATTATCTGCTGGTATTTCATGAAAAGGAAAGTGGTGTGATTAATGAAAAGTGACACACACCGATTACTTTGTCATGCCAGTCTCCTTGGTGGGAGAGTGCCTCTGTTGAACCCAAGTCTGACCTGCCTTACCTTTAACAAGGTCAACGAGAATACTAAGTGCCCGGAAGATTAGCTCCTACAAATGCTCCAGTATGACTTAACGATGCTGCCTCCACTAATGAACTGTAGGTAGCCAATTAAATAGAATGACACCACTTTCACCTCTGTAGTAAAGGTGGAATTAAAGACAAAAGATGACCTATTTTCTATTGAAGTGTGTAAAATATAAAAATTGCTGATTTGACATGACAATACTCCTTACTAAAAATAAATTAAAAAATTGAAATCGAAGTTCATCCAAACACAGCAGATGATTTGCTTCAATATTCTCCTTTTCTAGTTCACATCAGAAATGTTCCTCCGCCCCAGTTTCAGTGACGGGAAGTCCTGATACCTTTCTTCTTTATTCCCCTGTGGCCACGCACAGCACCAAGCTGACAAAATGCTAGTGACTGCTACTATAAAGGGGACTTTACTTTTTGAAATATATTTTGTGTGACCAAAGATGGCTCATCATTTTTGCAGCAATGGAGTAGAGGTAGGTCACAAAAAATGAAGGGAAGGGAAAAGATGATCATCTTTGAGGAGATTAAATATTTCATCAAAATCCTTACGCTTCTGCTCATGTTCTCAGTTGCAAGAACGTAGCAATGAAATGAGATGCAAAATGGAATGTATTGCATTAACTATGAAAACATGCCAAATCCAAAGCCTATGCTTAATGAGATCACATATCGAAACATATTTTCTCCTCCCCTTATATTCTACAAATTTTAGCAGATGGATTCTTTTTTGGATCAGTAGTATTTACAACTCTATTTAGAAGCAATTGATTCTTTTTAACTTGATTAAAATCAAGAAATAAATGTATTCCTGAGAAGCAAAAAATTACATATTATTTTGTCACTGACTTATATTAGGAATGCTTTCTCACAGAAAAGAAAAAAAAAAAAGACCCTGAAATAAAATAAAAATCAAACTTAGAAATGCTGACGTTCACTTCAAGGAGGCAATTTTCATGAGCATTTTATTTTCCCACTTGCAATCTGCACAATCTAGCGACACTGTTTCACGCGGTCAGTGTCTACTTTATTGGAAAGTCTCACTGATTCTGAATGTGAATGATGGAACAGCCACACTGGAGGGTCACTTTTCAACTTTTCAGGTGAGTTTTCTCTATCTTCATAGAGAATTTGCCAGGACGACTGAAACAAAAAAATAGGCCTACCTCATTAGGAATGCTACGCTCATTTGTCATTATCTTTCTCTTAAAAGAAAGAAAAAACGTCCTCTTCTGAGGACTTGTTAATCTTCATCTGGATTTAAGTGTCTATTAGTTAGGCAGCCTTTCGTTAATTGTGGAGGTTAAACTAGCAGGTGCTAATTGTCTCACAGGGCATATCCAATTTTCTTTCTGCAGTTATTAGAATTCAAATACTTTCTGTACAGATTTGTTTTGTTACAAAAGGAAACAAAATCACATCTACATGAGATGACTGTAAGTTTATGTCTGATTGATTTAAAGCCTTACAATTAAACTGCATAAATGTATTCAGAGTTCTTGCCCTAAATCTCCTTCCCAATTTAAAGGAAATTATATTTTGTATGTATCTCAAATGTGAAAAACTCCTCAGTTAATTAGTCTCTATAAATTGTATAATGATGTATTATATTAGCAATGTATCTAAAGTATTTTCTTTTTCTTTCTTTCTTTTTTTTTTTTTTTTTTTTTTTTTTTTTTGCGACAGGGTCTGGCTCTGTAGCCCAGGCTGGAGTGCAGTGGTGCTATCATTGCACACTGAAGCCTGGAACTCCTGGGCTCAAGATCAAGCTTCTGGGATCCCCCTGTCTCAGCTGCCCAAGTAGCTAGGGCTACAGATGTGTACCACCATGCCTGGCTAATTTTTGTATTTTTTCTAGAGATAGAGTCTTGCTATGTTGCCCAGGCTGGCCTCAAACCCCTGGCCTCAAGCAATCCTCTGGTCTCAGCTTCTCACAATGCTGGGATTACAGGTGTGAGCCACTATGCCTGGCCTTGTAGTATTTTCTTATCTCTGTTGCCCATAGGCCTGAATCTTGATGGAGAAATGGGTCAGGTACTGGAGTAGACACACTAACACATAAATTGACACTGTAAACTTTATCTTAAAACTGTTCTCTTTGTTCTTCTACTTACTTCTCCAACACACAGTCCTCAGCAAAATAGTCTCACCTGAAGTCTGTGTTTTCTTTTAAAAAAAGTTAAATGTCATCTTCATTTATATTCTTTAATCATGTTAGTATCTATGACTTATATCAGAGGGAACTTAACAGATCTATATTCTTGCTTTTTTGAAAGCAATGTACAATTTTGCATTAAATGAATAATTGAAAATCACTTTTTAAATGACAAATAGTAATATATAGATAATGTCTAGAATCGCAAGGCACTTTGAAGATCATCTTGATTATAATGGAATGGAAATTGAGGTCTAACGAAGTTAGGTGATTTGCCAAGATCTTACTGCTAGTTTTTGGCAGATTTGAGGTTAGAATCTTGGTCTGCTGTTTTCCATTACAGTGTTGTATTTTTCTTTGTATTCCATACCACCTTTCAGTGTATTATCTGGAGACCAAAAATGTAATTGTTTTGAGTGTTGAGATCTCTGAATAAGAGGGCTACTATTCTGGATGAAGTAGAGTTCTGCAGTGAAAGCATGCCAGAGTGATTTTTTTTTTCTAAAATAAAGCCTTTAAATGCATGGTTTGTGGGAAATGTCTATGGAAAAGTTTGTTGGCATTAAAATAAATAACTAGAAACATTTTTAAGACTTGGAATAGACAATGGAGAGAATCAGAAATCTTTGGAATCAGATGTTAATAGTCTTTTGCTAGTTTTTGGCCTTGAGCACCTTATTTCTGTCTTTGAGCCTGTGTGTCCTTATTCACAGAGGAAGACGTAATACATTTTATCTTTTTTTTTTTTTTTTTGAGACAGAGTCTCACACTGTCACCCAGGCTGGAGTGCAGTGGCGTGATCTCGGCTCACTGCAACCTCCGCCTCCCGGTTTCAAGCAATTCTCCTGCCTCAGCCTTCCAAGTAGCTGGGACTACAAGCGCCTGCCACCACACCCAGCTAATTTTTTGTATTTTTAGTAGAGACAGGGTTTCACTATGGTGGCCAGGCCGGTCTCAAACTCCTGACCTCATGATCCGCCCGCCTTGGCCTCCCAAAGTGCTAGGATTACAGGCGTGAGCCACCATGCCTGGCCAACACATTTTATCTTAAGCGCTTTTAGTTTTTGCTTTTTTTAGATATTAGGAGCAAAAACCATACCTAACGGTGGTTTGCACAGAGTAGGCATTCAATAAATGTTATTTTCTCTTTGCTTTTAGAAATTAACACATTCAGCTAGAAAATCTGATTATTGTGCACATTTCACTTAATAGTGTTTAATAATATAAATGAAGTGAGATTTGTACTGTAATACAACATTATAAAGCTAGGAAATGGGCTGGACGCAGTGGCTTACGCCTGTAATCCCAGCACTTTGGGAGGCCAAGGCAGGCGGATCACGAGGTCAGGAGATCGAGACCATCCTGTCTAACATGGTGAAACCCCTTCTCTACTAAAAATACAAAAATTAGCCGGGTGTGGTAGTGGGTGCCTGTAGTCCCAGCTACTCAGGAGGGTGAGGCAGAAGAATCGCTTGAACCTGAGAGGCGGAGGTTGCAGAGAGCCAAGATCACGCCACTGCACTCCAGCCTGGGCGACAGAGCAAGACTGTCAAACAAAACAAAACAAAACAAAAACAAACACACAAAAAAACCCACCAGGAAATGGAAGAAACACTTTGATGCACTTCCTGCATCTACTGATGGCTTCAAAGGAAAAGCCCCTCCACCTGCTGAAATCGGTCATATGTTGCAGGAAGAACCCGTGTCCCCTCCACAGAACTCCCTGGTCTCCAGAAAATGGCAGCCAAGGCACTCGCCACTCTCAGTTCACTCCAGAACAAAAGACCATGCCCGTCCTGGGCCTGAATAGCATTTCGTTTGAAGATTCTTGGGCCATAGTTGTAGTTTTGAAAATGTTTAGTTATAGCAGACAGATAATTGTTGGTCATCAAGGGTCCCTAATTAGTGGAGGGAGGCAGGGGTATGAGCCACGAAGAGAGAAGTTAGTTAATACCAGACAATTTGTAACAACAACAACAAGATGAAATCTGGCTTCTGAAACTTCCTGTTCTTCCTTCTTCTTCGTTTCAGGCTCTGTCCTCCTGTTCACTGGCATGCCCAGGACCCCGTGCTCTGACGCACACCCTTTTGTCTATACCTTTGTGGGGTCAGAGTGCTGAAATGCAGAGAGCCCGGAGTGCTGAAGTCACAAGTTCTGAGTTCAATCTCTGCCCCTGTAACTCACTAGCTGTCATCCAGGATGCTTCAATTCCCGAGCCTCAGTCCCCTCGTACATAGAATGAAACTCATAATAACTCAGTTTGGTTAACCTTAGTGAGTGCGTACAGTCTTATGGGCCAGGCCCTGTGCTAGGCACTGAGAATATAAGTAAATCAAATTTGGCCCCTTACTTGAACATTCTACCTAGTCAGATATTTATTAGAAATGTATGAAAAGAGACAAATAAAGTAGTCTATATGAGCTGTTGTGATACATAATTATATGTACATAAATCTGCGGTGCTATTAAAGTGGGTAGAATGTTTCATGTTAATACGTTTATTGATGGGCTTAGAGGGCATTCCTAATACAATTTTCATGTATGCAGCATATTACTGTGGCCTTTGGAGACAATGTCCCCTTTGGTCAATACATTGGTGGATAAATGTCAGGTAATAAAGGAAGTATTGATGAGGGAGAGGGGAGAGAGGGGCGGTAGGGCAGCAATGGAAAGCCGTGTTGCCTTCTCTCTGCTGTGTGCTGTAAGTCTAATGGCAACATACGGTATCATTACAAGATTTCTATTATATGCACATAAAACTGTAACTCTGTCAGATAAAATGTCTCAAGTTATTAGTTCTTCATGTACATCGATAGCTGGAATGTAATTCCACTAGTCTTACGATTCACCATGTTGCCTTGTCATAAAATGCCCAAAGAATAGTCTTTGAAAATACAAACGCGTGTCCGGCTTTAAGGGGCTCATTTACACATGACTTTACTTCCCATTATTCTTCTTCTAAATGACATTTCCAAAATGGTAAAGTTATATTCTGACTTGCATGGAAGTGCTGTTTTACCCCCTAAATTAAAAAAAAAAAAGTCTTTCCTCTAGAAAGCACTTAGCCTATAAAAAGAATACAGTCAGTAATACTGCCCATTTCCCTGGCACAAATTGTTCATTTTCCTTTGGCTGTGACCAACGATCCATTACATGGTAGATCAGCGGTTTCAAAAAAACCTGTTTTTTAATCTACAAAGTTAACCGGCTCTGCTTAACGAAGTACTTTGTTAACATAAAATAATCTGTGTCTGTTCTGGCTTAGAAGTTGGAAGACTTTCAACCCAAAACAATTATCTCTCTGCCCTAGGAGAAGATATGAACACAAAAATGGATAAGGAAGCTCAGTCTTCAGCATTAGTTTGGGAAGTAGGATAATTCACACTCAACCACATAGTAGGGAGTGGGAGAGAACATGCCAGTGGAAAGAAAGAAAGTTGAATAATCACACTGAACTCCAAGGATTTCATTATTTTGCTTGCTCTTCCATGAAATACCTAAATATTAGAAATAGTATATTTAAATATACAGTAATTAATGAAAACATATTCAAAAGCTACATGTAATTGATTTGGGGATTACTCATGATTTTGAATTGTTCACATCACTGCTCCCCCTCTGTTGGCTCTGTTACCAAGAGTTGAGTCTACTTGCTAAATTGTCTTCCAGTAAATTCTGGATTATTCCACAATGCTAGAGTTTGAGGGACAGAGAGGCCATCTTTAGCTATGTGTCCTTCCAAGACATTTCTGGGGTCAGATTATTTTGATTATTACATAATCAATTGTACAAATAACATACTAGCAAAATTATTTGTTAGGCAAATATTAATAGCATTTTTAGGATGTTGAAAATAGTCAATTATAACAAACAGAATGATAAGAAACCACCATTTTATCATACTTTATATTTCCCATGCATTCTGAAGTCAGCAAAGTGCCTACAACAGAATCAAAATGAAATTAATCCAACAAAATCTTAATTATAGGTTGGACTGAAGAGTATGGAGAGAGAAAATACTGACTTTGAAGTAGTTTGCCTTTGAAGTTAAGGTGACAGAGAGGCAATTGGAATAATACTAAAGTGGATAGATAATTTTCTTTCTTCTAGGATAGCAGAGTCTTAAATCACAAAACAGCCAGTGATAAACATGTTTTTTTCTCTTAAATAGATAAAAGAACCGAATAAGGGAGAAAGTTGGGTTGAACAAATTGGTTGTTGTTAACGCAAAGCTCTGTGTATTCCATTCCGGGAAGAAAAGCTTTCCTGGGGTCATTCTTATTCTCTGGCTGGGTCACATGTGTGTTCCTAGCAGACCTTTTAGTCATAAACAACTGGTTCTTACATTTGGGGTCATGTGATATTCGTCCTGTATAACTATTTTAACTGAAAGCAACCTGTAAAGAAGTGCACTGTAGTTCAGAGAGAACTAGCTAAATAGCCCATTGTAAATTCTAAGCTTGCCTTTGCTTTAAAACTGGAAATGGATCATTGGTTAGCTTGTGAATGTACACAACGAGCCTGTTAACACCTTGAAAGTAAGGATTGTTTTTATTTATCCCTTTATCCTTAGATCTAGCCCAGGAGTAGGTGCTTAGTAAAGGTTTGTGCGGCAGTACATAGTTATAGACTTGAGTAAAGTTTCTAAAATTGTAATTAATAAATGAATCTGTTGTTTTGTAGTGATAGCTTGAGCCAGCAGCAGACCTGGAGCCAAATCTCAGGTTTTTCTGATGTAGGCTGTGTTTCTTTGTGTGCATAGGTCAGAAACCAACTTATTTCAATTCTTCTTTATTTTCCTTACTAATAACAGCTGATTGCTACAGAAACTTTACCATGTTTTGGCACAGTTCTAAAAACTTTACATATGGAATAATCTCATGTAATACTCTAAACAATTCTGTGGAATTGGTACTATTATTATCCCCACTTTTAGATTAAGACGTGAAAGCTTAGTGGGATTAAGAAATTTATTAAAGATGCCCAGGTATTCTGACTACAGATTTTGTGTTCTTACTTATTACACTCTGATCACCCCCAAAAGATCTGTATTCTGAAAAGAGAATACAAATTAATAAACTAGGTCCACGTAGGTTTATCCAGGAAGACCTAACCAGCCAATCAGATCTCTACTGGTGCCCATTACATGCAAGGCTATTCTTATCCTCTCTGCTCCATGTAGGAGGAAGGAAATCTTTCAAGTCCTTCTGCCTGAGGGTAGGATTTCCGGAAGGGACAAGCTGATGTTGACCTAGGCACCACGGAGAGCTCTCAGAAGCCAGGGCAGAGTAATTCGGCTCAGACTCCCACTGCAGAACTCTACTCAAGGATCCAAGTTGTGAGCTGCTGGAGCTTAAAAATGAGGACTCCTGAAGGTTCTTTTTCTCCCGCTGAGAGCAAAAATAATTCACTGCGCCGCTTCTTTTCCAAAGTCAAAGTCAGGGGACTACATAACTGCACTCTTCCTGGATGGCTACACGTTTCAGATGGGATGATGACAATGCACCAGGCACTCAGGGCCATCTCCACTGGGTGTCTGAGGAATGGACTGTCAGTGGTAATTAACACACCAACATAAAATTATGGGTGATGGATCTGATTAGATGCAAATGAACCTGACAGGTCACCTCTGAAGGCCTGTGAAGTCTCTAAGACGAGTCATAGCGAAATGAATATTTTGGATTTTAATCCAATAGGCACAACCCCATAAATGTACAATGGGCTATTTAGCTAGTTCTTTCTTAAGTACAGTGCACTTCTTTACAGATCGCTTTCAGTTAAAATAGTTATACAGGAGGAATATCACGTGACCTCAAATGTAAGAACCAGTTGTTTATGACTGAAGGGTCTGGTACATTTGATTTGCTGCAAATTATCCATGTAGCAAAACTGCATGGCTGGGTCTGGGAACGAGCACAGCCTGACTCTTTGACTACTCCTCTGGTTCTTCTATCCCTTGGGGCTCCAAGGGGATCCCAAACTGTCCAGAATTCCCCTTCACAGTGCCTGTTCTAGCACTGAACTCTTCGAGTAGTTTCTATGTCCTCTCCTCTCCAGCTTCTGTGGCAAAGGCAGCATCTCTTAGCACAGCTGATCTCATCTAACTGTTGGAAAGCTGATATCTCACCTTGGGGTTTTAAGAGTGTTATTAAGCAAATAAAGAGTGATGAATTACTAATGATAGATTTTCAGTGGCAGCAAAGACCCTCTGATGCCCCGCATACCATCCTGTACCTCCATGCCTACTCTTTCCAGCCATAGATCCTGATCTGCCTAGGCTCTTTGGTATTACTCTCATAGTATGCTATTAATATTTTCCATCTAAATTAACTGTGTCTATGCATACAAGGACACAGATTTTTACAATTAATGCAATACCAAACTAAATACGTGGTTTATACCCAATAAGAGCAATAATGTAAAATCCATGTGCTTATGCCCTCTATCAATGAGGAAACATAAGTGAGGAACCTTATGTTTTAAAGTTAAGTGCTCAGTTACATGCATCTTGTTAGAACTTTGAACTGGTAATTACCTTGAACATTAGACTACAATTTAAAATCCTAGAACATGACACACGTAATGCTCTGCATTGATTGTGAGCCTCTGACATCTTATACTTTAGCCTCTTAGACTTGGAAATGATAGAGTGTAAGACAACACAGTGAAAATTAATTGTGTATGCCAAACGCTTATTCAACAGTGACTCTTTTGCAGAATGCTGGAATATCTTTACTTGAGCCAAATTTGCCAAGTTGATTATAAATGTGATATCTTACCTCTTAATACATTATACAATTTGCACATAATGGTTCCAAGGGAACTTGCAAACCATAGTAAATCATAAAATTCATTTTGCTTTGCATCAATTCGTTCATCCATGTGCCAACTAATCACCTCATTTCAAAATTCAATAAGCCTAAATACCTGGATTTATGACGCTTTGTCAGAATTAACAAGGGAATGTCAACAATGCGGAATTAGAAGTCTATTGCAACTTAAAGACAAGCACCTAGTTGAAAACAATGAAAAAGACTAGGCAGCAATAATTATATCCACAGCGTTAGCAAATAAAATAAATTAAAACTGATTTAATTTCTGCTCTGGGAGATGGGGTGGGGAAAGACAGAAAAGTCTTAATTTAGTCAGTTAAAATACTGAACTGGTTTGGAGGCAAAACTTTAAAGTGACTGTGAATTAGATTTGTAGTGTTAACTCTTATTAATTGCAAATAAAATTGCACACACAGGGTATATTTTTAAGAATGTATTGGTTGATCACATTGTATAATGGTCACACTAGTTCTCGCAACTTTTGTTTTTCTTACAAGAATTTTGACGGTGCAGATCCTATTGCAGGATTTATTTGTATAAAACCCATTTACCCTATCATTAAAATAAATAGCATAAGGAAAAAACCCTCCAGTTTAGGCAAGTTACACACAATTCATGCTAAGGGGGCCTCTTTGCTAAAACTGCATTTTACACTTACTTTTATAAGATGTCATTCACTTTCTACATCCTCTAGGCTTTGATCTGTAGTTCTGTTACAGAAAAATATCTATCATGCTGATATGAAATGTACGATCTTATCGTGTGTGTGTATAATAAGTATATACACACTTAAACACACAGCTTATGTATATGAGTTTGTGTATACATATACTTATACACACACTTATTATGCACACATATACATGTACTTAATTATACACACACACACACACACACAAGATCATATTTGTCACTTTGAATTGCAGAGCCAGAAAGAAGAAGTACAATTATCTTTGATTTTATTTCAAAAATAAATTCTTATTCAGTCTCTGAGTGTATATTTAAACTAAAATAATTTTTCTGCTAATAACAATGCATGACTTTGCATTTGATTTTTAATGTTTTCTTACTAAATTTTCCTTGGAAGCCTAAAATAGCATAAAGAAAAAAATAGCACGCATGCAGATGCATAGAGCATTCAGTAAAGACAAAGCAAAAGGAGAGAGCCGTCATATATTTTTCTTTAAAAAGGCTTAAAAAGGTATTTGCTTGTTAGAGTCACAAAAGGTCTATATGGTTCTGTTACCCCTTTAATTAAATTCTTAAAAATAATCAGATGCAAAATGACAAATGACAAGAAGAGAACATACCACTGCTGAATAATTTTATCATTTATACCTATAACTGTCAATCCACAAAGGGCTATTTTTTATATGTCACCTAAATCATAAGAGCTGGTACCTTTTTCTGTGATTCACGTTAGCCCTGCTCTATGATTTACTGCTAAATTATTTCCCTTCCCTTTCAGGGAATTTTTTTTTTTATCTCCTTTCTGTGATTAATCTCTCTGGTTTGAATGAGCAAAGCTTTTCAGATGAGTGAGTGTCACAATTTCGTTGAGCATAAATTTTTTTCAGTATGATTTTTTATACATATGTATTTTTTAAAGTGCTCAGAAAAGACAATTATTTATTTAAAGGCTTATATGTCCATTAAAAAAATCCTTGCCTACCTCAGTTATATATCCCTGGCTTTTCTTCCAGAAACAAATGGTCTTTGCTTTGACAAGATGCAGTGACAATGGTTATTGGTGGTGACACCACACAATCACAGAGCTTTTTTACAAAGCGATGGCCCTGGTTGAAATGATTGAAGACCACAGAACACCTCAATGTCTACCCTCCCTGTGTGAGAAAGTGCCAAATAATCCTGGTGTGTGTGTGTGTGTGTGTGCACGCTCACGCGCATGTGCCCTCATACTGGTTCTTGAATACTCACAGGCTTACCGTCTCTGTGAATGACTGACACATCAGTCCCCGAATTTTAGTCCTTTGAACAGGGAAAGCAGGTGTTTCAAACTGCTTTAATGAGCCCCATCAACTAGACTCTGTTACCATATTGGGTGCCTGGGAATCACATTTTATCTGAGATTGACACGTTCAATATGCACATGGCAATCTCCCTGAAATCAATTGAAACCGCACCCCTGCATCACCTCTCCATCCACATATGTCTTTTCTCCCTTCTCTTACTAGCAAATTTGACCTCAACTTTTTACGTGTATATACTTAAATGCTTATGTTGTCCATGTAAGCAGTCAACTTCCTTTAGTGTGGTAGGGGGATGTATCCGTAACCGACCTCCATGACAGCCACCAATAAGAAGAAGAAAAGCACACTTCAGTGAGTCTTTTTCCTTTTTCAGTCCATCAAACCTTTACAGTGAAAACTGCTTATCGATAATTGAGTGACTTTTATTCCCCTTCTCTTCCTGTGCCCTTTATTTAGTGAAAGGCTGAAAGAAAAATGTCCTCAAGGGGAGTGAATTCTTAAATACAGTAGAGGAAGATCATGCCATACTTTTACCGAAAATCAGATTATCCATGATGGAGTGATCTGAGTTTGGTACTCCATCTGCTCCCCGCAACCCTACTTCACCAGAATTGTACCCCGGACATAGGGGAAATATTTAGGTACAGAGTCTATGCCTGGTAGATGTGAATTTCCCCTTTCCTTTACTTCCTGTGCCCACTGACCTGAAGACCAGCAGGGAAACCATCTTGACAGGTGTGGCTTTGCCGAGTTGGATGGATTTCCAGTTGGGTCACACACTTTGGCCAGATTTCAAACAACAAACAGAAAGAAAATTTAGTTGGATTAAAACAAGCACTGTCAGAAATTGGATTTTAAAAAATAGCTGTGCATTCCAATTTTCAGATGAGTTTTGCCCTGTCTAAAATGCTGGCATATAATCCCGAGATTTTGTGCAATAAATTACTGGAAACATGAATTCTAAATATAGGTATTGGCCATCCAGGCAGGGGGTTCTGCATGTGGGGCGGCGTCATCGCCTGCATTCTTTGTGTGTGCCTTAGTCATTGATTCACTCCTCAGCACCAGCCTACTGCTCTATGAATGGGGCTATACATGTGGATGTAAAGATAAAGTGTATGTATGTCCAGTAGAGGCAAAGAGAAAAGCAGCAAAGTGAATGGGGGAGAGATTATTTGATATATCCTCACTCTGAGGGAAAATGTGAAGTCTGAGACTAAGGGTACCCAGGATGAATGGGGTCCCGTGAAAGGGAGAAGTGAATTGGAAACAGAAACGATAATCTGGCATTTTCTTTTCCTCACAAAGCTCTTCAGAAACTTTGTTGTCTGGTATCATCTTGCTTAATAGTTGGAGACATGCACTTAAACCCCGACTGTTGCAGTTTCTCCTGTCTGTGCTACAAACACTCATGGACATACACAGATACTCTGTGGCAGGCCCCCTTCTCAAGAAAAAATATTGTTTCCCATTGTCCATTTTACCACAGGAAATGTTGAAGCCAGATACTCAGTGGACCACAGTGACATTTATGGGTCAAGATGCACATTCAAATGCAAGTTGATTTTCACAGCAGGGGATGTGAGACACAATGACACGTACTTGCAAAACCCTAAGGGCTAACTCTGAACGAATAAAAAAAAATGTTTTAACCACAGACTAGAGCACATGAATTGGCTTCTATCAAGAGAAAAACTTTAACTTTGTTGAGTTTGAAGATACGACTTACACAAAAAGTACTGATTTTTCATTTTTTCCCTAGTTACTATTGCTATAAAAAAATCAAATTTCCTTTGTGAACTAAGTAGAACTGAAATGGAAACTTTCAAAAAAAGGGCTTAGACTTAGGCAAAGAAACTTACCCTAGTGAACAGATTTTTAACCATGCTCAATTTTGGGTTAATGAATACCTTTGCTCTGGTTAGAAGATTATGATAATTTTGCAAGAAGTAGATGAAAGTGATGACAAAGATAGCTCCTATGTACTATGGAATTTATTTGTCCAAAATTAAGGGAGTTCATTCCACAGGTTCTAGAAATAGAGTATAGAGAGCAGATATTTCAAATTGTTCCACTTTCTGTGAGTAAATTAACTCACATACATAAGTGATTTACAAAAGTGATTTACATAAATTAATGTAAATCACTGACAACAGCACCACTTACACTCAGTAAATGTTTGCTAGTATTATTGATTATTTATCGAATATGCTTAATGTTTTCATCACAGATCAAAAGACTTTGTTCATCCCTGCTGCCACAAATGTGTTACTTTAAATGAAATACCAAGGGTCTGCACTTGTAGAGGTCTTGGAGCAGTTAGCCTAATGTTGGAGGTCAGTGCCTTCTGTGGCTGTCTTGGGCTGACCAGGCTTTACTACTAACTCAGAAATTACAGTAGAAGTAAGTCTCACCTCTGCCTAAAAGAGGTGATGGCTTCATGGGAATTTCTGATACGAAATAATTCAGGGCAGGGTTTTTGAGCACTGCTCCAAACAGGATATACATCCCAGACTTCACCTAGACTGCCAGCGTCTAACAACTGGCTGCAAACAAGTGGCTGGAGTCACCAACAATGCCTGGATATAGATGGCTTTTTAAAGACATGAACAAACAGATGGAAACAAGTCGTCAAAGGAATTCTCAAAGTTTGTATTTAAAATGTTGTTGAAAATGATAAGAATGTCAGCATTTTATAAGACTATGAAGCTGAAAAGAGAACAAAAGAAAACAACTACATTTAGTTTCTACAAAAGTTTGTGCTATCTTTTCAGCCAAGCTAATTTTGATCAAATGGAAATCACTATATACCTAACGGATTAGTCATTAGCATGTGGGATTAAATCGTTTCATTACAATGCAGAAATGAACAAAATAACCACTAAATAATAGTCATTTTCAGTAACAGCTGGCCTAATGTCTTTCTACTAACACATGTAATGGTCCGTCTTATTTAAATTGGTATTCTTCTTCCATTATATGACTATTAAATGTTTTAATAAAATTTTATTTGGAAGGTCTATAAAATTACTAATTTGGCATCAAAGGGTACATTTCTAAAACTCATTTTATAGGTAAGCTCTATGCATCTCTCTTTTTTAATAAGAACCCAGAGAAGCAGCATATATGCAGTTAGATGGTAAAGCAGAAATCACTTTTTTATAGAAAGCAACTATTCATTTACTGAATGGAACAATGTACAAAGAAAACATAAAGTTTAAAAGAGGGGAAGAAAAAGGAAATCTACTTTGTTCTATTAAATCAATGAGAAAGCATTTTCAGCAAAGTACATGCCAAGCTATAGTTCATCGATGAGTATAGAAATGGCCAACAGGAGTCTATTATTTTATTTTAAAAAATTACAGTGATTTTAAAAATAAACAGGAAACCCACTAGATGATTTCCACTAAAGAAGATAACAAATGAATTAAATGAAAACAATTACTTCAAAAATGCAGCTGCATTAATTTTATAGAATCATTTTTGTCTTTCTCCACAGGTTTATGGATATGCTGCCTCTTCTGCTAAACTGTAAATCTTTGAAGACCAGGAGCCACGTCTTACTTATTTGTGAATTTCCATAACATCTAGTAGAGTGTTTTCCACCTAATTGGGCGCAATAAATGTTTATTGAAAAAATAAAGAAGGCTATGGGGAACTTTCGTCCTTTATGTTAAAAACAGCCTGAAATATGAAGTTCAGTCTGAGAAAAAGCAATTCTAGTTCTTCTCACTGAGGGAAAAGAAGAAAAATCTGTCTGATTCAACAACAATTAAGTGGCACTGCTTACATCACGAACTAAGAAGATTTCGAAAGTATTCTTCTGAAACAAGGAATTATCACAAAGAAAATGTTCATCTCAAAAGTGTAGAGTGATCCTAAAACATTTAACTGAAAAATCTTGTTCCCTGTTATTTATGCTGTCGGGATGTCTGGGTAGCATGGATTGGTATTTGAGTCATTCCACTATCTGCAGCTGCTGACTTCTAAACTGTAGATGTTGTAGTCATTGTTTATTACACTTCGCCTACAAAGATGAGTAAAACTAGTTTGCCAGAGCCCAGCAAAGGGCACAGTGACTCAGAAAAAATATGCATACTGATCCGATTTGATGATTTTCATTTGTCATCCTGCATTTTGTTTCCCATACAAAAACACCTTCGATGGCTAAAATGTCAGAACAATACAGACAAGTAATACTAACACCCTGAGAACAATATTTGAAAAGTTACAATTAAACGTGTTCCCTAGGAACACCCACTAGTAGATGAGAAAATGTGCAGGGATTTCATATAGGGGTTTCTGAGATTGGCAAGCTTGAACAACTTCCAATGTTTTGGGAAACCACTTGACTTATTAATTACCTGCTGCCTTTACTAGCTATCAAGGGGACATAAGCACATTTGCAATGTCAAAAACTCATTTCTGGGGTGGGTGGGGGCAGGGTGCCCATCCGTCCTTTGGCATTATTCTGGATTGCTTGCTCTTTAGGTATGATTCAGTGTGAATCAGGCTTTTCTTTTGGAGATCTTTTCACGCAATGCTCTCTGGGAGTGAATGTGAAAACTCCTAGCCATCTTGTTGAGGTATTACTTCCAAAACAAGTCTGAAAAATTCTTATAAAATTGTAAACCTGCCTAAAGTATTGAAAGTGGATTTAACCAAACATTACAAATGTAATGAGATTAATAAAATAATATCAACATTTTGTTTGGATTTCACTATAGCACCAACTAACATACAATGCCATCTCTTATGGAATAAGTTGAGATGGTAGATTGTGCTTCCAGGGACATGATTTTCAGCAGTGCATATTTGAAATCTTCAGTTTCACTTGAAAGTTTTTCCTCTAGAAATGTACAGTTAATGGGATATAATTTTGTAACATTAGGACTAAATGAGCAAAATATCTTATTAAACAAATAAAAATCTCCACCAGAGGTGAAGGAATAATGAATTCTACCAAACATTGAAGAGTAGAAGAAATGATTTTAATCACATTCTGCACACTTAATTGACTCCTGGCATCTTTTTAGATGTTAAAACAAACAAACAAAACAAAACAAAAAAACAAGCATTGGCCAGGTGCAGTGGCTCATGGCTGTAATTCCAGCACTTTGGGAGGGTGGTGGGAGGATCATTTGAGCCTAGCAGTTCAAGACCAGCCTGAACAACATAGCTTGATGCTGTTTCTACTTAAAAAAAAAAAAAAAAAAAAAAAAAAGCCAGGCACGGTGGTGCACACCTGTAGTCCCAGCTATCTGGGAGGCTGAGTGGGGAAGAATACTTGAGCCCAGGAGTTCGAGGCTGCAGTGAGCTATGATGGCACCACTGCACTCCAGCCCAGTCAGTAGAGTGAGACTCCACCTCAAAACAAAACAAACAACAAACAAACAAAAAACAGACACTAATGTAAGTTCTTAATTTCCCAAAGAGGAAAGGGTATTGCATACACCACTTTTTATTTATCTCAGTCTTAATCTTAAAACATCACTGACATCAGTCTATACAGAATAAGGGTTGCCCCATCGGAATCAGCATCCGTGGTTCAATCCAGCTCTTGATGCACAGTGTGTATTTTAATGCATTTAGGGATTGCCTAAGAAATCTAATGTGGCCAGTTACATCATCACATTCCTTTACTTTAAAAACACATTTCTCACATTTTCACACAAACATATTCTCAAGAGATGATTTAAGTGAATGGGATGTGAAAACATTAGATTCAAAGTCACAGGGTTTATTTTCTTTACATATTGTGAAGGATGAGGAATGGGATAGTAGGAAGGCAGCAGAAAGAGGAGGTGTCCATAGATCACATTCAAAATAATGGATTCCTAAGCCTACTTTTGTATCTGTAAAATGATTGGTAAAAAATTAGGGCTTTCGGCCTTCACTGTTGTCACGGCCCATTCTCCTCCCACATGCACTCGTGAATAACACTGCATAGGAACCGGAATCAATCGGATCTGGGACGCAGGTTAAATAAGCACCTGGAGGTGTCAACCTGTGTGGAGGACGCCAGGAACGCTAAGCAAAGCAAAGCAGTCCACTTGGACTTTTCAGCTAAAAACTGCCTCAAGTGATCCCAGAGCCGTCCTTCTCCCACCTACAATAATAACTACTATTTGTTAAATGCTTCCCCGTGGTGGGTATTAGGTTAATTTCTTTATGGGTTTAACCCATTGGATTCTCATGAAGACTTCATAAGGAAGACTTCCATGTTAACCTCAGCTTAAAGAAAAGAGGACCAAGTCAAGCTGTGTGCTCGAAGGCTGCTCAGGTGGTGGAGTTCCTGATCTCAAAACAAGGGCTCTGAACCCCCACCTTCTGTCCCCTGTCTCAGACAGCACAGGGTCCGTCATCGGGTAGTACAGATTTCACCACTCTCTATGAGGACTCTGCTCCATTCCTGCAGCCACGGTTTGGGATCATCCATACCCTCTTCGCCTCTCCTAGACCATCGCCTTGCACGAGTAACTGAAAGCTTCGTCTGACACATCTCATCTTTCGATGAAGTCGCTTCATCTGCTTTTATTTTCTAGTGCATAGGTTCTCAAAGGGTGGCCCAAGGACCAGTCGCATCAGCATCAGCTGGGAGCTTATAGAAGCACAAATTCTTGGCCCCCCCACTAGACTTACTGAAGAATAAGAAAATCTGGGAGTGAGCCCCGCAATCTTTGTTTCAATAAACTTGCCAAGTGAGTCTAATATAAAGTGTAAGCTCTTAAGCAAGACATTTGAGGCCCATCATAATCTAGGAGTCCACCTAGAACAGTGGTTAGAAGTGTAAGTTTTAGGGTCAGAATGCTTGACTTGCACCTTTGCTCCATCAAAGATGACTTGGGCCTCTAGGTGAGTCATGACTGACTTTCAGTATTCTTATCTGTAAATGTCGGAATGAGCTATTTCCGAGGTTTTACACAATAATTGATAATAGTCCTCTACCTGGTATATAATGAGTGCTCAATATACATTAGGGATATTATCATTGTTATTAATTCTCCAATGTTATTTGCTGTCACTTCCTACTTCCAATTTTATTTTTTAAAATTTTATTTATCTATTTTTATTTAATTTTTTTAAATTTTTATTTATTTATTTATTTAATGATGGAATCTTGCTATGTTGCCAAGGCTGGTCTCAAGTGATCATTCCATCTCTGCCTCCCAAAGCACTGGGATTAAAGGTGTGAGCTACCATGCCTAGCCTTATTCTAAAAGTTGTTACAAGCCGCCCCTGAGATCTCAGGAGTCTGGCACTGCCCTCTTGGTTGGGTGTGCAGGATGTGCCTGACCGTAACATGAATTCCAGTGAAGCCTCTCCCTTTACCCACCTCAGCTCAAGCACTGCATCATGTTTGGCTGGAATTTGTGCTCATTTTCCCTCTTCCACACACCCCAAATGAATTGCCCTATTTTTTAAAATTTAATTCATTCTACTTATTTTTAACCACTCTTCCAATCTACCAAGGTCATTTAAAAGTCTGATGGTATTCCATGTGGTACAAGTCAATCCAATAGATGAATGCATATGTGCATATATATATTTTTTCTCTTCCCATCTTGACAATGTTATTTTGAGTCAAACCCAAAACCACATCCTGTTGCTTTATTTTAAATAAAAGAGGCCATGTTCAGGTTCACACAAATGTCCGTGTCTACATATAGAGGGGTCATGGGACCAACTGTTTTAACAATCAGTCAGTCAATCTGGTGAAACAACTGCTTTTTCCCATTTTTCACTGAATTGACTGGTAAACTGCCTAGAGATGCATACTTAAAGGAGAAAAAGACAGGGAAAAATGTCTTGGAAAAACCCTGCTGTCACTGAACAGAAGACCTCCACAAAAAGGGAAATTCAAAGTACAGACTCTAGCTGGCTTAATGAGATTTTGCGTTCGATGATATAAACACCCTCCTTGGCGGTGGCAGGATACTCACAAGGACTTTTTGTTGGACTATTTATTGAATTCTCTTTTTGTTAATTGTTACAGTTGATTTCAATTATATTGTGCTCCACTTGGGGGCCTTCAGCACAAGTCATATTTAAGTGTCTGATGATTCGCATTTAGCAGGTTTCAAGAGCTCAGCAATATTCTTATATTTTTTTCTAAATTCAGCTCAAAGGAATTGTTGAACTTTCATGTATGACATTTGCTAGCAATGGCATCAAGCTTTCCTTTTTGTATGAGATCATCTGAAATTAGAACACAGTCCACTGGAGTGCTCCCTCATCTCACATGTGCAGATAATTTTAGGAACACTGATTAACAAAGGTATAGAGTTTCATCACAATATTGCCATATTTCAAATTGAAATATTTAAAACATTTATAAATATTTAGAAAAATCACCCACTTTATCTTGTTTTATCCCTACTGGGGAAAAAAAAATAGCTGAGTCTACCTAAAACCAAATTTTGCCTGTGAATTTCATTTTCATAGAGATGGAAAGCATTTACTTGATGTATCATCGTGAGTCGGTATTTCCTTGACTCATTATCACCCTCAGGTTGAAGTAATATTTTTGGTGGAGTGAAGAAGAATTCTGATCTAGACAGAGTAAGCATTAGCTAACTTTATTGTAAAGTTACTTATACAGAAAGGATATTGCATCTAGGCAATAAAGAAAAATACTTTCTAGTTGTGGGTAGCAAAAACAGTACTCAGGAAATCACGGCCCACTGAACCCCTAAGGCTTTTCAGAGTTGAGCAATTTTAGTGATAAATGCCTTCAGAACAGGGGGGAGAAACAGACTGGTGTTCTTTACACCTGCCTGTGAGCATAAAGCAGTTTCTTTCCAAGGGAAGAAAATAATCAAGGTCCGGTGAAATGTTAGTTATTTCTACGAAAAAAAACTGAAATGGAATAATCTTTTCATTTATTTCAATTAGACTACTTCATAATCCAGGCAAGCTATGAGATTTGACCTCCAAAGTCTTTTTCAAATGCACTTGCTCCTTTACTCTCTTCTGCCCTCTGTTCTGTTTGACTTGGAAATTTTGCACATGGACTGTTTCCATTTAACAGAAATACGCTTACCTTAGACAATCTATGCTAGTTTTCTTATTAGCTAAAAGAATGTATAAATATAACGTGTAGTATACCTCCACATATACAGTTTCCTATGAGGAACAAATAAAAAAGGACAGAAAGATAATGTTCAGTTTATCTTCTAGCTCACATTTTAGCTGTTAAGATGTCCTAATTTCTATAGGCTCTCTGCATGTGATTCAGTATTTACCTGCATGGACAGTTGACATAATTATTTGGATAATTGAGATGGAAATTCCCTTTTGGAAAACGTAAAGTCAATGGGAAATTTAGAATGTTGAGATTAACGATGCATCTGTGAAACTTGACAATTTGGATTGACTTGAGTAATGGCAATATCTCATATCTAGCACTGTACAGTTTACAGAGCACCTTGGCTCTGCATGGCAATCTTTTACAGAAAAAAAGCACCAACCTAGGATAACTTATTATGATACCTTTACTCTCTAGACTTTTTCTATTTTTATAATTCCCTAACTGATTATTTGAACTATAATGTAAAACACATCATAGTAAACATATCAAAGATAGAAGCAAGATAAAGAAACACACAAAAACAAATGAACAATATCCAACAATTGGTTGCTTCGGCAAGACATCCTTAATGAAGTTTTCCTCTGTCTATCGACCTGTAGTTTGACTGGCTTATTTTAGTATATTTATAGATCCAATCAAATCTCAGCTTACAATTTTTTTGACAAATTAAAAGTGATTAAAATATATTTTTTAGAAAGATGACTTAAATATTGGATATTCTTTGGGACAATTTTTATAAAACTGTAACAAAAAGACTTTAGGACTCACCACATGAAATGTATTTACTATTTACAGCCTATATACTTGAGAGAGAAAGAAAGAGTATTAAAGCATTAGTTTATAGACTGTAGAGTTCAGATATAAATCTGGAGGGTATTAGCCCAGAAATGAAGCTTAAGGCGGCAAAGGGTTTACCTTCACGAATATAAAATAGAATAAAAATACAAAATAAAATGTTTACACCTATGACACAGTGTGGCAGCAAGCTGTAGGTAGGTATAGCTGAGAGCTACACTGACAATGAGATACAGTTTGGAGGGGGAATTGATTAGACTTGATCATGACATACACGAGCAATTTGCCAGGTAAAATTGTCATCTCAGTCAAGCCAGCCAGGAGATTCAAATGATGATTTGTGTACCAAGTCTCATACTGCCTGAACCCCACTTTGAACTAACTACATAAATAATGCAGAAGTGAGTGTTTAAATTATCTAGACAAACTCCCACTTTATTTCCAACAGAAAGACTTAGTTTTATGTATTATTTATATTATTATAACAAATGCACTATTTAGTGTAATTCAGTCGCAATAATACACTTGATCAAATGTTTTGACTTGTCATACATTATGAAAGTATACACTTTTAAAGTGAATTAAATCAGTGTCATATATATTCCCTCAGGAGGAAGGTGAGTTGTTTCAGAATAATCTAGTCCTGATAAAAATAGCTTGAAAAACTCTGGTTAATTAAATTTCCATCTAGGACAGTGAATCAAATCATGGAAATATTTCCAGTGCTATACAACATATATTTTGCTTGTTTATACTCATCTGGTTTTGGAAATGTGCATAAGAATTTTATGTAAGAAAAAATGTTTTATTTTAAACCGATATGTTAAGAAGAAGGTTTATAATGTACTACTAGGAAATGATAAGGAAAAAAACTTAAGCCAAATTAAATTTAAAGGAGTTTAATTGATCAATGAAAGATTCGTGAATGGGGCAGCCCCCGGAATCACAGCAGACTCACAGAGATTCCATTGCAGCCATGTGGTGGAAGAAGATTTAAAGACAAGAAAAGGGAAATGAGGCTACAGAAACTGGCAGTGAGGTACAGAATGGCTGGATTGGTTATAGGTTGGTGCTTGCCTTATTTGATCAGTTTGAACACTCAGCAGATGAATGGTTGAAGTACCCTTGCTGGGACTGGCCAAGACTCAGCTTTTGTTACAGGCACTTACTCCTAAGATAGGTTTTCAATCTTGTCTACCTATTAAGCTAGATTACAGTTTGTCCACAAGGACTCAATATAGAAATATGGAGTCCCTGGGCCATATTTAGTTTGCTTTAACAGACGTGTTGGAATAAGTTTAAAGCAAAATAATTCAAAAATTAATTTGTATTATCATCATATCGCTGTTATTTACAGCTTTTATTGGTAGATAATGATATCCCCAAATCATGTTTTCTCTGTTTTTTTTTTTTTTGTTTAAAACATTCTTGGGAAGCTTTTCATTCAAATAGCCTAAGAGAGATGATATAGATAGATACAAACATAATAGATATTTTATAAAGAAAATTAAGCAAATATTTTTTAAGCAAAAGTATATATATATAGAACAACCTAACAAATAATTTTGGTAATTTTTGTAATGATTTATGAAATAATTATTAAATGATACTTTTATTTTAAACTTATACATTCAGTTTTAGGATGAAGTTACTTTGTAAAGTAAGTTATGCCTATCTATTTTCTTTCCATAAATACACCCCAGCTACTGAGCTTGGCACTAGAGTTTTGATAGAGAGAAAAACAGACATGTTCCCTCATCCTCAAAGTTTGTGGATTAGAGGAAAGGACAGATACAAAATTGCCTCCTAAATTCTTGCCTTCCCCGTTGCCTCCCTCAAGACCTCCTCAATTCTCTTACCTCTGCAGGAAATGCATTTTCTCTGTCATAAGCCCTACCAACCCCTCACATTTTCGAGTCTTAGTATGAAAGCTACCTTCTCAGAGAGCTCTTTCCTGATTCCTAAAGCAAGTCTTCCCACAAACCCCTTCTTCCCTTGCACTGAACTCTGTTTTCTTCAAAAAAGTTATTACAATTCAAAATGTACATATATTTTTGTGGTGTTCAGTGATTTTTCATCTTTCCTATGAGATTATAGGCTCTGTAGCTGCATAGAACTTGTCTCTTGTTCACCAATGTTTACTATCACCTTACCATGTGCCTCGCACACAGTAAGTGTTCAATAAATATTTGTTGAATGAGGGCAAAAAATAATCGCTAAAATAAATGTAAATATCTGACTGAGATAAATTCTCTCAAAGAAATCGGATGCTACCAAGCCATATAAAAAGGAAAGTTGACCTAGGGGATCAGATAATGTTTTCTGGCGAAAGGAAATTGGGAGACCAGAGGCATGCAGAAGAAACAGTATGTGAAGATTCCTGTGTAAGGAGAAGCGCAACCTATTTAAGGAACTGAAATAAGGCTAATGAGTCTGGACCTCAGGAGAAGAGGAAGGTGCGAGTATGAAATGAGACTCCAGGGCTAAGTATGGCCAGATCACGAAAGACATGGCTGATCATTTAAAGCCCTTCTTTATTTAAAGAAAAACGAAAAGGCATTCAATTCTCTTAAACAAGAGAGAACCAGGTTTGAGCTTTTAGAGAAGCACTCCCACTGCAGTATGAAAATTGACAATTTGGGGAGGGCATGAATGGAGGCACTTAAAGCACATATGTTAACTAGGAGGCTATGTTGTCCCACAGCTAAAACAAAGGAGTATCTTAGACTATGGAAGAGGCATTGGACATGGTGATAAGTGGATACATTAAAAGACCAGAGGACTTCTTAGCAGACTAGACAATGTGAAGTGAAAGAGGGACATTTTCAAAGGAATGTCTCTTTTGCATAGCTGGATAATGACTATTCCATTCTCTGGAAGCTGACTCTGAAAGAGGAGCAGGGGGTGGAGGAAGACCAACGAACTCTAAAGTTTGGTTGAAACATGGTAAGTTTTCAGTGCCTATGGAGACACTCAGTGCCTATGGCAAGATATCAAGAGAGAAGGTGAAGCAGGTACTTGCATACATGAGTGAGAACATCAGACGTCGGAACTGGAGATAAAATTTGTGAATCATGGGCATTAGGTGTTAAAGAACGCAATGGACACAGGTGGGTTCACGTAGGGAGAATTCTCTATGGGAAACAATATTAAAATGAAGTTTTGAGGCACTCCCAATATTTAAGGGCCAAGTAGATGTCAATGAATCTGAGATGAATCTGAGAAAGGACTGAGCAGGAATAGTCAATGAGAAAAAAAAAAAAAAAAGATAAAATCGGGAGCATAGGTCATGTGACTGAAGCTAAGGTGAAAAAGTGTTTAAGGAAGAAAGAAATGGTTAATAAGGTGGGTCATGAATGAAGATCTCTAACGAGGACTAAAACATGCCTCCCAGATTGAATGATCTGGATCGCATTGGTCACTTTAGGGAGAGTTATCAAAGTGAATCATTTTGGGCTCACATAAAACAGGGTGTGTTGAGGAGTGTTTTGGCTCCATTATCTGTGACTAATAGAGCATAGCTTACACCTGTAATCAAATAAATAATCTCCTTTCATTTTGAAATATTTGTGATCTTTTACATTGATGGGAGTTTCTGACTTATAGTTAGAAAGGGATTCCTTACATTTTAGTAATGAAGATATGATCCATTCTAATCCAATGTTTCATAGCTGAGGAAAACAAGATTAAGAAAAAGTCCTGGCACTGGGGACTACCAGAGAGGAGAGGGAGAGGAGGGGGAGGGTTGAAAAACTACCTGTCCAGTACTATACCCACTACCTGGGTGACAGGACCATTTGTATTCCAAACCTCAGCAGCACACAATTTACCCATGTAACAAACCTGCACATATACCTCCTGAAACTAAAATGAAAGATGAAAAAGAAAATTCCTAGCATTTTCCAAAGTTACAGAGCCTGAAAGAGAACCCAGATTTCCCAACTGTTAGTATGTCCTCCCCTACTCCCTATTTTTAATCTCCCATGTTATATATTGTTTGTGAAGTTTTCTTTATATAAATCCAATATCAACAGCAATTTAGGCCAGTATGCATTTCACTGCACTATACTTTAATTCAGAATTGTAAGTCCAATTTAACAGCGCATTTTGAAGCTCAAAACTACCCTGGAAAAATGGTGTCTGTCAATTAAATTACAGAAAAAGAAAATGCACCCCCCCTTCCCGCAGCCCCACATAACACTTTAAGAGTGCTCATTAGTAATGGTTCTATTGGACAACATATTGAAAATGAGTCAGTAGAGGAAGAAACTTGATTTATGAGGCAACATTTCTGTTGTCTATGTACTCTTTTCTAAGGTGTTTTTTGCATAAAATATTTCCATATTTCCCTAAGGGACTTTTATTATCAGACCTTCCAATTTAACCCAACTCAAACTGGAGCAGTTAATATGGAATCTAAACTAATTGAATTGAAGAAGTTCAACTATATTTCTTCACCAATTCCACCCTCATTTTGCATGCAAAAAAATTATTTTCAGAGAAAAATGTTTACCCCTCGTGCGGCAACGGTAGAGCAATGATAATTTTCATGCAGTATATGAAAATCAGGCTTTCTACCCGATGGCCACACGCAAGAGAAAAACTATCCTGATGACCTTTCGAGGACCTAGAGTGTCTCTGCCATGTCTCTTTCTGCAGTGCCCATCATAGTACCTGGCCTAGTGAGCACTTAAGGCACATATGTTAAGAAGATAAAATATACTGTCACATGTACAATTCCATACATATTTTTATTCCATTTTGCCTTATATCTAATTAATGTTTATTTCCCAAATTGCAACAGATAGTAATAATCATAATAAAAGTTTGTAAGTCATATTAGTGAAAAATATTTTTAGGTATATTGCTAAATTCTGAAACAATAAAAAGGGCCATATAAAACATTCATATTTATTACTACCTAGAAGCCACAATTCCTCCAATATAACTCATTTTCCAAACTGCAAGGAAATGCAGTTTGGAAATGCAGTTTATAAAATATAAATGATTATTTAAAAAAAGCTCTATCTTCCACATAAAGCACTAGTCTTATATCTTATAATTTCAAAAGGGCATTCTATCTGCTCTTTGATTTGATAATATTTCTGAGAAATAACTTCAATTCTAATATACCCGGATTCAGGCGTGTGTATCAGCACTGGCAGACCCAGACTTGCTGTTTAGCTAGTGGTCCACCTGAGAAGGATTTAAAAATTATAAGTCATTATTGTCAAGTAGATTTTACTTGAGGACCTTCTGTGTCTCCAGCACTGAACTAGGTGTTGGAATGATTTATGGGACAGTGCTAAGGGTATACAGCCTGTTTGTAATTCAACTTTTGAGTGAAAAAAATATGTGATAGCAATTTGGGAAAACTTGATCACTATGCAATACATATAAGGGGTCCCCATGGTAAATTTCTACACAAAAATTCTGTTAATTATATTTTAAAAAAAGCAAGACATTTTGGAAGCACAGTGCTATGCTGAATGTGGTCCAAAACACCAATAGAGTATGCACATTGACCTGCTGGAGTAGTGCTGTCTACTCAGAACAATCCTGGTCTGAAAAAAAAATCATCTGTGTCCTCAACTGTCCGTTTTTCCAAATTTGCATTTCCAAGATTCTGTTCTGGGGAAAACCTAATAGAAGGTCTGTGGGAAAAAAGTTGCATATTCAAGTAATTTCATGAAGTCCTGCTTGCTGAATTACCTTCTTGGAATTTCACAATGCATAGCAGCTTAATAAGGCTTCTGAGAAGTCTTGCACAAAAGGAAACCATTTGATGTTGTCTGACTCAGCATTTCCAATACTTAATTTAACATGAGTTTTTTTTTTTTTCATAGACCATGTACTAACACCCCAATAAACTCCAGTTTTGAAAACTTAAGCTAGATACACTAATAAGATTATTATTGCAGTAGTAAGTCTGTATTTTGTCCTGGGTAGAAATTCACTAGGCTGGGTGCAGTGGCTCACGCCTGCAATCCCAGCACTTTGGGAGGCCAAGGCAGGCTGATTACTTGAGCTCAGCAGTTCAAGACCAGCCTGGGCAACATGGTGAAACCCTGTATCTACAAAAACTACAAAGAAATTAGTTGGGTGTGATGCCATGTGCCTGTAGTCCCAGCTACTTGGGAGGCTGAGGTGAGATGATGGCTTGAGCCCAGGAGGTGGAGGTTGCAGTGAGCTGTGATTATGCCACTGCACTCCAGCTAGGGCTACAGAGCCAGACCCTATCCCCTTTCCCCAATAAATAAAGAAAAGAAAAGAAAAGAAATTCGCCATACTCCTGCTGTGGTTGCTTTAGAAGACTGCAACCTCAATCATGTGTAATGTCATGGCCTCTTTGCCATAATTCTAAAACACACACACACACACACACACACACACACACACACACACACACACCACACACTTCTGACTTTCCAAGGTGGTCACTACTCCTCGTATCAAAATCTCCCTATGGAAATTGGTGTAATCTAGGAGATTTTGAATTAAGAATGAAGTTACGATAACTACCCACGTTAACAAACAATAGTATGAAATAATGATACATTTATTTTATCAGTATTCTTAGTTCTTCTGTTTAAAAGTTGTTCTTAGTGGTAAGCTGCTTTCAAACACGATGTTCTGGAAATCCTTACTTTAAAATGAGATCAGATTCTTGATCTCTGTAGGAACTGACTTCGTTGCAATTGCTCTCTCCCCTGAGCTCTGGATATCATGTTATTATATTGTAGATATTCAATATATGATTCCTAAATTGATAAAATTGCTTAAAATTTCTATTATAATTCTTATCACCAACCAATAATATTTATTGAATTGCTTGTTTTTATATGACGTTACATGATACACAGGTTTTTTAATCAAAGGCAGGATTTATAAAACGTATATTCTGAGACAGATGTTTGGTTGAAACACAGCTAAACAGAAAAAAGTCCATGGACTGAGACATGGTAGAAATTATAGAAACATCAATAGGGCATGGAAAAATCCACATTCCCCATAGAAATATGTTTGCGACACTACTGAGAACAGACTTTGGTTTGTTTACAACACAATAATAGGTATACGCATAAAACAGGGAATTTCATGAACCTGTGGAACATGGCTGAATTTTTGCAAAGTTCACTTTAGTGACTACTGTGTGTTGGCTAGGGCTATGCCTAGGGTCCTAGTTCTAGCTTTTTTACTTTTAGGTTATTTTGTTGAGTTTTGATGTCCTTATCTGTGATATGAAGACCGAATAATCTGCTTCTTTGTTTACTGTGTTGGTCAAAATAGGCTGACACAGCAAATACAGAGAACAGAGACAGCTACAGAAAGAGAGGGCATCAGTCCTCAGCTAGGGTGCCAGCCCCACCTTTGTAAGCCCCATGACAAGGGCAAAGTACTTAACTCTTTGAGCTTCAGTTTCTACTTCTGCGAAATGAAGATCACATCTGCCAGGCAATTTATTTTGAAGATTGATTATACTATATGCAAAGTACTTAGCACAGTTCCTGGCACATATAAAGGGAAGTTATTGCTAGCACCTATAATGCAGATGCAGGCGCTTCTGTAAACTGTTACAGAAATAAAATAGAATTAGCAATAATCATTATGAAAACACATCATGCTAACAGCTAGAACAGTCTCCCCTTTAATCTGAGTACTCTTTTATACTTTGTGTGAGAGAGAAGGAAGCTGGGCTAAATTACTTCTTAAGCTATGCGATCTTGGTTAATTTCACTAAGTGCCGTTCCAAGGATTTTCAGGGAAGTGAATATCACTTCACTCACAGAAGTGCTAAGTGGGTTTAAATGAGATGTTATACGAAAAATCCTTAGTATGGCACTTGACTGACAGTGGGTACCCAATAAATGTTAATTTTCTACTTTTTGTTTGAAAAGCTAGTATTAGTACCAAATATAGAAATAACAAATAAAGCAAATATTGCATTTATAGAGTTCCAAATATGTGTTCAATCTCACTTAAAAATCACAGTGAACTTTGTATTATTATTCTCTATTTCACAGAAGAAGTGAAGCTCAAAGAGGGGCAAAGATCTGCACAAGATGGGACACTGGAGCCTTGTGGCAGTTTTACTACATTACAGAGTCATCTGGACAGACTATCACAGCGTTTTTATCATGATAGTACATATTTGCAGTATATTCTTCTGCAGGTGCAAACGTGGTTATTGACCTCTGTAGAGGGGCAAAGATTTTAAGGTGCTATCCAAAGTATATATTTTGGAATTTTGCAGTCTAAATTTCAAGAGATGTTATCTTTTTATCAGGAAAAACAAAAGCAGGGAATAATCCTATTCCTAGTCAGTCTTGAGATACAATCTATCCCATGAGCCAGAGACAAGTAAGAAATGCGTCCCTGGGCCAGGCTGATGACTGTCCCTGTCTGAGACACTGGAGCGCATCAGAAGGAATCATGTTAATGTATGAACCAGAGCTACCAGGTGCCAAGCCCTTTGCTCATGGCAGGAAATGCAAAGATAAAAAAAAAAAAGTAAAGTTTGCTTCCTAGGAATAACCAGCTGGATGGGAAAAGTAGGCAATTAACTGGGTACTAACCTGCTATGCAATAATTATTGTACGCTGCTTGGACATAAAGAGCCACAGCAGGAAATGAAATAATGTACGTCGAGCACCAAGTGCTAAGGTGCTTTACATGGTTTCTCTTATTTCATTCTGCTACTGACTCTGTGAGGCAGGTATTATTGTTCAAGTGAAAAAACAGAAACTCAGACAGGTGAACAAACTTGCCCTAAATCATACGAGTATTAAGAGGCTAAGCCAGGAGTTATTTAGGTATGTTTGCTCTCAAGATCACACTCTGCCCATTTACTGCAGAGAGATCCAGATGATCTGAAACTTTCTGCAGTACTCTGCGACAGTAAATACAGCTGGTACAGATATTTACTCCTGTAGGAGTAAATATAACAGCGTTCTCATATTACTTTATGTGTATTTAATATATGGGTCAATTTATTCATGACAAACTTTAGCAATAATTGCTCTCATATTTATAATAGGAGGTAAGTTGACCATAATTTTTGGAAAACATGAACTCACTTGTTAAGGAGTCTAATTTACTCCACCTCATATTAGGCAACTCTCAGAGCTCTTCATCACTTTCTAATTCTAACCGTTTACTTTCACGGGGAACATTACCTATCCATGTTGGTAGATCATTTTCTATAAATTATGTACAACACA
Organism: Homo sapiens; assembly: GCF_000001405.40. Lineage (NCBI taxonomy): Eukaryota > Metazoa > Chordata > Mammalia > Primates > Hominidae > Homo > Homo sapiens. Next base: position 181,671,035 of record NC_000004.12, on the reverse strand, counting down.
AGCAGCAGTGTATAATGCCACTACTTAAATAAATATGTATTCTTTATAGTGTCACAGGTGAAGTATTGAAAGAAATGATATAATTTGCCAAGAATCCCATTTTGAAAATAACTTGTCCAGAATGCCGAACCTGTGCAATGCTGGCTTTTTTCTGCTGTTTAGATTTTTTTGTAATAAATGTGCGTTATAATAAAATATTTCAAATAAACACTGCATTATTAATGAATCTTGTGCTTGCCCTAGGGCAGCTGAGTCATAAATGGTTCATTTAAATTCTGGGTTCCTCCTGCGACAGACACAGTACTTCTAATAGTTCACTATGTGAAGACTGTACCTTCATTGTTTCCATTTCTACCCAAATGCTACTTGCTGATGTAATACCTACAGTGTTGAATGCCCTACAACCAAGTACACATTTTTTCCCTCTTAACTTCAGTGCCTTGTGTCTACAGCAAAACTAGTATTACTTAATATTGCTAGTATTTTCAAAAGATCACATATATGGGTGAATTTCTTCTCTAGTTCCACAAGATTCACTGCCTTTTTTTCTATCTTTCATTGGGTTAAAAACAATTTTAAGTGATGACAAGATGCATGGTTCTTAAATTGTGCTGTAGATCATTTCGAGGCCAAGAGAATTAATACAGCAGTATCACTTTGTGCTTTGGGACATTAATAACCTAGAATTACCAGAGAAGAAAACACGGTTACAAACCGGTCACTCTCGGCAATTACTTTTACCACAATGGGACTAAGGGACGGACCCTTTTACCTCCTCATTTTTCAAATTCATATCTATGGCACTATGCAGTTTCCATTAAATATTACCTAGTGGTTAATTAAAAATTATGAAATGGTATTCATTCCAAAGTATTAATCAATACTTGCAATCCATTTACCTTGAGTGTACAGATCAATTTCTAGAAGTCAAATTATAAGCTGTTTATCTTCTACATTTTTTCTTGGCTAAGATATACTTTTGGAGATAAAAAGTATATCTATGAAAATAAAATTTCATAGCTAAAATTAGAAATTGTAAACTGCCCTTTAACGGAATAATCATAAGATGTGTTTTATTAATAGCCTGCTAAGAAAGCCATCTTTTACATTCTTTCTACACCAGCTTTCAACCTGTTGCTGATGTGCTGGAATGTTTCAGCAGGCTGATACACACCGAAGTTCTCCCTAGAGGTCCCATCGAACAAGGATTTCAACACACTCATAACATTCTTAAACAGAGTGGGCTTCATCGGTGGACCCCAAAGTCAAGGTCAGATGAATCCACTGAACAGGCAGCCAGGTGTGTCAGGACTAGATAGACATCCCAGGTTTGCAAGTTAGAAAGGGGGCAGAGAAGCAATCAGTTCTTGTAGGTTCCTCTGTGCTGATACGCTGGGGGTATCTGGTCTAGCAAAAGTGATTCTCAAGTCAGAATGGGGTAACACTGGGAAATTACCGAGGAGGGAAGAAGGGGAAGAAACCCTCCTTGCTAAGAACCCTAACTCAGCTTCTCCATTATATCTAGTAAAGCTCTATACAAAGAATGCCCCACATAAGCTGTATGACATGGGGGTATATTGTGTATTTCCTTAAAAGGCAGGGAATTTAGAGGAATAATTAGGAGTACATGGTCTCTGGAGCCAAACAGTCTTGGTCCAACTCCCAAGAAATCCTTAGTTGTGTAGGAGCTTCAGTAAGTTACATAACCTCTCTGGGAATCCCTTCATCAAATAAAGGTGGATGATAATTATACTATCTCCCTGGGTTGTGGTGAAGATTAAATGCATTAGTATGTAATGAATTTACAGCAGTGTCCCACATGTAGTGAGTCTTCAAGAAATCTTAACTATTATTGTTACCAAATATTCTTGGCAAGTTGAGGGATTTAAGCTTTGTTATCTAAACAGGGCTCAATTATTGCTGGTAATTTTTTTTCAGATATTGTCTTTGTTCCTGACAATGCTGCAAATTGAGGGGAAGCCTGAGTTACTACTAATGACCTATGATTGGAGGTTATTTTGCTTCAAACACTCCACTAGGTAACAGAGAATATTCTCTATCTATCTATGATTCCATTTTCAAGGACCTTGCTATCAAGGAGAAGGAACAAAATGAAAATGTGTCCAGCTAGTGAGGTGTAAGTTAAGTTAAACTTTCTGATATTATGAAAGTTGACGTTTTCGAATAAGAGATAAGGAGAAGGCAGAGCAGGACATTCCAGGGAGAAGGAGCAGCAAGGGCAAAGGCGGAGGAGTAGGAATGCTTGTGGGTTGGATTGTGTTACTCCAAAATTTATATGTTGAAGTTCTAACCCCCAGCACCTTAGAATGGAACCTTATTTGCAAGTAAGGTTGTTGCAGGTAGTTGAGATGAGGTCATTCTAGAGTAGAGTGGGTCCCTAGTACAACATTCCTGGCATCCTTAGAAAAAGGGGACATTTGGGCACAGACACACCTACAAGAAGGACACTATGTAAATATTAAGAGTTGTGCTGCCACAAGCAAAGGAACCACTGGAAGCTAGGAGAGAGACCCGTAGCAGCAGCTTCCCCAGCACCTTTGGATGGAGCATGGCCCTGCCTGCACCTTGACCTCAGACTTCTGGCCTCCAGAACTCTGAAACAATACATTTATGTTCTTTAAACCACTGGATTTGTGACATTTTGCTATGGCATCTGTAGTAAACTAATACAGGAATAAAACTGGAGCATGCAGAGGACTGATTCAATTTTAGATCAGTAGAATTAGTGGGAAGTAAGCCTAGTGATAGGGTAGAAACAACGTTGGAGGAACATGAAAGCCAGACAGACAACTGTGGACGTTATATTTGAACACATTGTATGTGTGTGCTTATGTGTACTTCTTCACATTCATATTCATATATTCATCCATCCAATAAATATTTGAGCATTTACTCTATGCCAGGCACTGTTTTAGGCACTTGGGATGCATTGGGCCCAGAATGAAATTCTCATACAGATAAAAATTCTTGCCTTCATGGTGCTTATGTTCTAGCGCATACACACACACAGTTTCTCAGTAGAACTATTTCGTCAAGTGAAACATTAAGTGGAAGCTCTCTATATAAGACCAACATCAGTAAAATTGCCCTGGTAGAAGAGGTAAGTGGTGAAAGTGAACAGAGGACAAGTGGTTACTACTTGACCCACCTGTCTCATACCTCAGTGCCCTTATGACAGGTCCTCAGCCACCTTCAGGATTTCCAGAGTTCTCTCTGTAAAGGACAGTGTCTTAGCCCATTCTGTGAGGCTATAACAAAGTACCTAAGACTGGGTGATTTATAATGAAAATAAATGTATTGGCTCTTGGTTCTGGAGGCTGAGAAGTCCAAGATTGAGGGACTGGCAACTGGTGAGGGCCTTCTTGCTGCATCATGCCATGGTAGAAGGTGAAAGGGCAAGAGAAAGTGAGGGTGGGAGAACTCATCCTTTTATAAGAAATCCACTCCCCTCCATAACAAACTCACTCCTGAGATCACAGCATTAATCCAACTTGAGGGCAGAGGCTTTGTGGCCAAACCACTTTTTAATGGTCCCACCTCTTACATGGTTGCATTGGGGATTAAGTCTCCAACACATGCTTTTTGGGGGATGCATTCAAACCATAGCAGATGGTTTGCGAGCCATTGTTATAAACAAACAGCAGTAGTGGTAGGTTCTTGAACAGAGGAATAACATGAAGAAAGGTCTGTTTTGGATGACCAGTCTGGAAGTGATGTGCAGGATGGGACAGAATTAGAAGACATTAAGGGAAGAGCAGAACCTAAGAGGCTGAAAGTAGGAATTAATGGACGGATACCTCATCAGTGATGTCCTGATGAGGGCACAGAGGTAGACAATGAGGAGCATTTTGTGTAGTGGGACTTATGGAGAAGAATATGGGATCTAGGAAGAAGCAAAATTAAAAGTTTTGATCCCATACAGCTATAATTCTGTACAAAAATGCATGTGTAAGAATGTACATTACAAGATTGTTTGTAAGCATAACAATGTTAGCATTTGTCAAAGTATGATAGTATGTCTGCATCTGTACACTGAGATATGATACAGTCATGAATGAGATAGACTTATATGTGCTGATATGAAAACGTCTCTGTAGCATTTCATGAAATGGGACTAGTGCAGGAGCGTTTGATGAGCCAAGGGCAGAGCGATGGGAATGTCTGCCCCAGGTGCAGGTAGCCAGGGGATGTGTTATCTGTAGAGTATTGCAAAACAGTAAGGAAACTTACTAAATCCAGTATTCTTTTTATTATCACTGTGCAATGGCAGTTGTTAACAATGTCAGTGATCAAATACTTCTTTCAGAAAAAAAAAATTTTTGGTCTCAGTTTGAAACAATTGCTGCAGCTACTGTTGAGTTTTAATAATATATGCAAGCTTCAAAGTAGTACATTTTTATTATGTACCCCTTAATAAGCCTTGTAGTCTACATAGAAATTGATTCAGAGAATTTCTAGTTATAGAGTTGGCCTCTGACTCAGTAATATATGTTCATTTTGAGAGTAAAAATGCCAATTCTGCTTTTTAATCTTTCTAATCACTGTGCTATCATTGTTGATTGTGAATCTACTGCTTAATTGTAGGAATGGGGGCACAAGCTGCTTTCAAGGAGAGGTTGAACAGTTCTGAATCATGAATTTTGGAAGTTTTTATAAAATGGAATGGAAATGTATAATACATTTTCTGGTGAAGATACTTTAGGAAAATTTTTTTACTGCATATGTATTTGGAAGCTGCTAAAAATCTATCCGAAATAAATAAAGACATGGACAGTATAACAATTTCTTTCTGAGTTTTTTTTGTTAAATGGAATTTTATGAATCTCTGCCAGACTTTTCCTCATGGTTAAGACTTTACTTAATTTGCGTATGTATTTTCTCATGTGAAGGAAACTTTTCAAAATAAAGATTAATAAAAAGTGTGTTTGAGTCAATGATAAGTGAGAATACATTAACAAATCTAGCTATACTTTCCATTAGACATGACAATGCAAAATCATGATTAAGTTTACAGAAGTTAACGCTTGAATACAGAACTATTCACTACTGTGGAAGACCAATATATAGGTGTAAGTTTTTTTTAAAAAGTCAATATAGCTAAAATATTAATTACTTTATTTTATGCATTATTTTATCTATTTTTAAGATTTTTAGATATATACGAAATTTAATAAAAATTTTCACTTCTTTTCTTTCTTGAACATTATTATTTGCTTTTAATTTAATGATTATTACCAAAAATAAAGAAGAATGGTTAAAAATTGTCTCCAGGTGTTAAATGTGCTAGATTTTTATGTCTCTATGCAGAACAGGGTACGTGTGTGTATATATACATATATGTGTACATAATATGTCTGTATATGTATATATGTGTGTGTATGTGTGTGTATATATACACATTGTATATAGACACTTATATAAACATACATGTAAATTTGTATATATACACACACCGTATGTATGAAAAAGTATATACGTATACACACACGCACGCGATGATTCTAATTAGCAAACAAGTATATATGCATGTATATGTACACGTACAATATATATAAATGCACATATAATATTTGTACTGATGCTTAAATATGTAGAGCATTTTGGAAGGATGGCACAGAATATTTCTCCTAAGGAATGGGACTAGGAGAAAAAGAGAGGAAGACTTAGTTTTCATTTTATATCTTCTGTTCTATTTGCATTTCAAGCAGCTTATATACTACTTCAGTAATATTTTAAAGACTAGTTTAACTTTTAAGATAAAACGACCTGATATTTAACACCTAGGATGTCCCAGGTATCTGTTAAAAAGTTTATCAAAGAGATGATGTTCTGGTGCCTCAGTGCGTAGGGTATGCACCCTCACAAGCCATGTCTGGGAACCTGACTTCACCAACTGCCAGAATGCGAGCTTGGGGACATTGTGAGGTGCAGCTTCATCTATCTGAGCCTATTTCTCCTTTAGTGAGATTAGAATAAGAGTGGCACCCCCCTAATAAAGTTGACTTGGGTATGAAAGGAGTTAATCCCTATCAAATAGTTGGCACTGTTAATGTTACCTACTAGTGAGAATGTGATCTCGCTTTTTAAAAAAAGAAAGAATTCCTTAAGGGAGCATAAGAATTAAAGGAGTTGACAAGGAGCATGGGGGTAAAGCAGCACTCATCACCTGCAGGGTTCTTCCAGGAGAGCATGAGGGCAGAGAGCAAGAGCGGGGTCAATGTGCAGCTTGCACAGCCCAAAGAGTAGCTCAGGAGGGAGAAAGCCATGGACATCACGGGCCGCCAAGTCCTGCAAGGAGGCTGTGAATGAGAGGGGTGCACTGAATCTCAGATCTTTGGCTGCTGAAGCCATGTGCTAAGGTTTGGCCAGGAGTGAAAGTTGAGCAGTGAGCTTGGAAGTCTGTAGAGACATTGACGGTGCACAGTGGCAGCTAATAACACGTCGGGTTATCGTTCTAAGCACTTTTCATGTACCAGTTCATTTAAGCCTCACAATAGCTTTCTGCAGTAGATTCTATTTTTTTGTTTTGTTTTTTTTTATTTTTTAGACAGAGTCTCGCTCTTGTCGCCCAGGCTGGAGTGCAGTGGTGCGACCTGGGCCCACTGCAACCTCTGCCTCCTGGGTTCAAGTGATTCTCCTGCCTCAGCCTCCTGAGTAGCTGGGATTACAGGTGACCACCACGACACCCAGCTCATTTGTATAGTTTTTGTGGAGACGGGGTTTCACCATGTTGACCAGGCTGGTGTCTTGGATGCCTGACCTCAAGTAATCCACCCTCCTTGGCTTCCCAAAGTGCTGGGATTACAGGAGTGAGCCACTGCGCCCAGCCAGTAGGTTCCATTCTTATCCCCTTTAACAGATGAAGAAACTGAGGTACAGAAAAGGCAAGAAGCTTGCCTGGATCATTCAGCTAGTATGTGGTAGAGCCAGAATTGGAATCCAGATGGTCGAGCTCCAGAGGCCAGTCTCTTAACCACACCACTAAACTACCTGCCTGAATGATCATGAAGAATTATGTGTTCAAAGAGTCTGAAATGCCATATACCTGACAACTGAAGTAATCAAAGATAATTGTGGAAGAAAAGAATAAAAGGAAAACACTGGAATCATCTGCAAAGATGAAAGCGGTGCTGCGGGAGGCAGAGGATGACGGCAGCATTGATAACTCAAAAAGCATGGCAAGGAAATCACACACTGGAAGCTGAGAAAGGGCTGTCAGTCACTAACTCAGGAAGAAGTAAGTCATGGGAATCAAGGAAAAGTTGCCCATTCTTGTATGTTTCTTTCCACCCCTCATTCCTTGCCTACACTGGACACTGGTGTCAAACCTCACTCAGAAAAACTCCTTCCTTTAATTTTGAAGGATGTTCTTCCCATCTTTGCTTACTGAAATCTACAGCTCTTTAAGCATAGATGAAAAGCTGTAATTCATAAAATATTTATTTCCTAATACTCTCATTTAGAATGTTAAATTCTACCCAGCTTTTTGTTAACCAAACTGTAATATTTTTTCTCTACATAAGGTCATTGATGAGAATGAGCATTAAGGGACAGGAAGTTTCAAATTATTTGTGCTATAAGATTGATGAATTTTAAAAACCGTAACATTAGAGTGCACGGTGGCCCCAAATCCATGTGCCTTTGGAGAAATTCAAGTTGTTGCTCCCGTGTTAGATAGGGGAATGTGCAGAACCCAGGAAAGATTCAACCTCCATTTCCACCAACTGAAGGCCTCTGGAGCACAGGCAAACCCAGAAGGAAACCACAGACGCTTCAGGAACAGGAAAAGGAAGAGTTCCACATGGAATATTGCCTCAAAACCACAGAAAATGTCTATGAAGCAGACCCCTTGTTGAACTAGGTGATGAGTGACCAGTGATAATTTTTCAGACCCTGCAGAAAAAAATAGATTTTTAAATCATTTTACCAATTAGAAATTGGTCCAGTATAACACAAAAACGGAGACCAGGAAATAAATAGTCTTGAAACCTTTCTGGCCAATTTATCAGTAGTGTGCAAGTTCTAAGCTCCGGGTATCGTTGAGCTATAAAAACTATGGCAGTTTTATCCTTATCTTTTATCTTTAATTGGTCTATGGCCATTTCCTATCCATACTATTTGGCAGCTGTTGAAACACTTTATCCTCTTTTCCTACCCTATCTGTGTTAATAAAAAATAGGAGAGGGTAAAATAGTAATCCTAATGGGGCAAAAAGCCCTCTTAGAATAAATTGGGCAGAATCAATGTATAAAACACTTCAAGGAGAAGAATATAAAGCACTTAGTTGTTTATTGTTCCATGGATTACTTCAGCCCTTTCATTATGCAGCTGACATGAGACACATATGGTTCAATTGTTTTGTGTCTTCATAATACTAAAATTATTCAGTAGAAGGCATACATTAAAATCGTGACACAATGTCCTAATGGGAGAATAGTCTTGGGTCTTTGCCCAGGCCGAGGTCAGGAACAAAGTCTCTCACTCAGATTCCTGACATGCCAATATCCGAGAGAAGGACAAGGAACATTGTTTCAAAAGCTGTGCAGAGAAGTAATAGACTAATATGATGATTGCAGGACATATATCATATTAAAATAATAAACACAGTCAACAGAAATAATCAACACACATTAAAGTAGGAAGGCCCAAGGATTTTGGCAAATTGTTAAAATCAAATGAAAATAACTCATTTATTTTAGCCCATTTGTACTGTGTATCATGCAAACTCAGAATTGAATACAAATACTGGAAAAACACCTTGCCTTTATTTAGATTTGCATCTAGATCTGAAGTACAATTATTCACATATCAGCCAGAGTGGATAAAACCTCCGTTTGAATTTTTAAATAAATACATTCTGGCATGAATAAATTAAAGCTAACAAACACAGCCAGGGAAGTAGTTCAATCCTGTGCCATTCTTTGCTTCTCTGGCTATTTTACTTTTAGAACATCTGGAAAACTTGTGAAGGGTGGCTCCTTAAAAAGAAGTGATGTTACTACATGAAGAATTTTGAAACAATTGGAGTCTGTTATCTTATATTTGATGAGGCCAATTTGATAAGGTCAAGCCCAAGAACCGAAAAGCAGAATGAGGTTTTTTTTTTTTTACAAACTGCCAGTCCTTATCTCACTGCCAAATGTGGACCTTTTGGACTTTCAAAAGGACTCTTTTGGGAGAGGAAAATGGCAGAAGAAAGAGGGAAAAATCCACTTACTGTTTTATTGACTTATTAAAAGAAAGTGTCTCCTTTCATTAACTGTGAAAAAACCCTCCATTAATACAGAAACTACAGCAACCAACTGGAGCAGACCCTGATAACCGCACCTCCCAGGATAACCATACCAGCATATCAGTAATCATTTTTCTGAATTTTAATGATAGTTTTCAAACAGGGCTCGCAATTCAGTAGGGGCTAGTAAAACTTTACACTATCTGTTTAAGACTTTCTGTGTCCTTTGGTACACATTTTTGATTACAGCTTTGCTCTAGATATTAGTCCAAAGACTGAATCATGCCAAACATTTTACCAAAACAGCCTTTAAGAACTAGGGGAAACAGGGTGTTTTGTGCAGAAATTTAAATGGAATTTAGTCAACTTTTGTTGTCTCAAATAATTTCTCAACTTAGTATGGAAAGATTATGTGAAAAGGCAATTTTCGGAATATTTTTAACCTGAAAGTGCAGGTCCACTAGCCACTTGAATGATGAAATGAGATGAATAAGTTGTGGGTTTAACTGACTCATAAATAGTCAGCTCGTGAGCATGTGCTGATTTCAAAGTGTAAAGTAAGATCAAGGAAGGAATTGTGCCCATCGATATTAGAGTCAGTTTTTATGCCATTAAAGATTTTCACCATTACGCAACTGATTTAGCATTTTACTTCCAAAATTTGACAATTATTTATCTTCACTTGATATTGTTGAGAAATGTATCATTGTCTCTTCCATTTACATACTTACGTTTGGGGTCCAAATTATTAGATGATTTCTTATTTCTAATGACTTGAACTACATATCTGCGGTGCTCCTAGAAGCTTGTTGCATTGTGGATTGATGTAAAAAGAAATCATTTGTGTTGATGTTTTAACACAAAGTAAGATAAAGCATGGATAGAATGTAATCCTTAGAAATACAGACTTTGAAAGTATTTGATATAATAAAAAGATACTGAATATTAGCTTTTGTATTGGTTGCTATAAATTCATCCATCCATAATGCCTCAACAGGTGTAAAACATATTGAATGAGGGATTTTTCCAGTAACGTAAGAGGCATTAAGCAGATGTGCTTTGTACCAAATGATTTCATATTTCCATGTGACAAAATAGATAAGCCACATAAAGCCTAATTTCAGCTGCAAATTGCAAGCCGGAATAAGTTCCAGAATAGTAAACAATTAGCTGCTTTATTTTCTTTTTAATAAGACTAAATTACCAGATAATATCTACTGGCATCAACTTGGCTAATAAAAATCTGTTTGATAGGATTTGCCGTTTTTCCAATTGCTATCATGATCAGCTTTGCATTTTGATTATCTCTAAACTTTGCCTCAATTTTCTCATAGAAAAGCTCTCAGTGGTAATTGCTTTAACATTTATTCCAGGTCAAGTGGTTAAGTATGAATAATGATCTGTCAAAAATGTACAGTAATGCCGTCAATAGAGCAATTACCATTTCGCTGAAGATTATTATGGCAAAAGAGCACATTAACTGGGCACAATAAACAGAACAACAGAGAAAAAGGGGGCAAAGGGACTGACTGTTTGCAAAACCTGTGTGTGTTGTACATGTTCTTGACAGATATTAATTGTCTTTCAAGACCAATTAACCATACCCCCACAATGGTGTTCCCAGTATAGAGCGAATTAGGAACGTTTCATTGCTGATAAAAAGAAAACAAATGTTTATACAGCTTACATTTAATATTCCCAAAAAGGTTGTCTCGCTACATTTTCTGCAATGATGTTTATTTCTGCAGCTCCCTTTTCTCCTAGGAAGGACCACCGCAGAGCCGTCTTAGTTGTCTATTGTAGTGAATCACAGATTAAATTAATGCTAATGGGAGGTGACAACAACTGCTTTTGTTGTCAATATTACTACAAAGCCTCAATTTTTCAAAGCGTCTTTCTGTAGAAGAAGCAATGAATAAGACTGTAACTCAATACAGTACTACTTGGGGGAAAAGTGATAAAAAGGAAATATGATGTTTACCCAGACAACACACCATTGTTTAGTTGTGACTCTCTTACTATCTGGGGCTAAGGGGAAACCTTCAAACCAATATTCAAGAGCAGATGAAAAACAGCTCTTTACTTTGAGGTAATTCTGTAGCTAGCTGTACATTTCAGCACTTTTCCTGAATACCTTTTATATAATTCAAGAACAGGCTGCTGTTAGAAGATTTACCTTTTACCTTCTTTGACTAATGTTTAGTTAGAAGAAATAGTCTCAGATTTTAATTTTAATGGAAATGCACTGAGAAAATTGGTCATCAGTCACCAAAAGAATATTTGTTTCTTCACTCACTCAGAAAATAATTCTCTAATTCTATTCCCCATAGAATTGTTACCGGAAAGGGTCATGATTCAAACCCCAAGAGAGTGTTCTTGGATCCTGTGCAAGAAAGAACTCAGGGTGAGTTGACAGGGCAAAGTGAAAGCAAGTTTATTAAGAAAGTAAAGCGGTCAAAGTAGGGAGTTCCTGAAAGTAAGAGGAGGAACTGGCCCACCCTAGGTAAAATTCTTGTTTATTTATAGGATAACAATAACAACAGCAACAAAAAATCATGGGGAGATGATTTGCTACAACGGTTTGTGACAAAGGATTAATTTTCTTAATTACTATATTTTGCAATAATTGATATTACTATCTTTAAAGCAAAATTAGGAATGCTTCTGTTCTTACGATATTGGGATATCAGGACATTCCTGAGTCTGGGTCTGTTTAGTAAACGTTATCAATCTGTTCCCTTTAATGGCAAACATCCAGAGCCTAGGAATACCTAACTTTTGGGGACTGTGGCTCAGCAAGTCTCAGCCTCACTTTTCCTAGCCCTCACTCAAGATGGAGTCGCTGTGGTTCGAATGTCTCTGGCAGAATGATCATTATAGGCGCACGCTTTGGGTCACACAGAACTGGGGTAGAGTGTCCTGGCTCCATCTCCCACAAGCTGGAGCTTCAGACAGTTTCTTTAAGCTAAGTCTCAGTGTTTTCTTTTTTGTTTTGCTTGTTTGTTTGTTGTTTTCATTTGCAAGGTGGGCTAATTAAATAGCCTATCTACTATACAGATACAATGACACAATGAAGGTGAGGTGCTAGGTAAAGTGCCTGGCACATGGTAAGCATTCCAAAATGCTCTCTGCTCCATCGTGCTACGGAAGCTAGAGAATCAATGTAGCAAAACCCCACCTTCAGAGATCCTAGAACAGGATTTGTATGCAGCAAATAAAATTACACACTATGAAGCATGACTAGCATTAGTTGTGGTGGAGGTGGGAGTGGGGGCATGAATGTGCCAGAAGAGTCCAGCGGGGCTTTTCCTTTAAGAGTTGAAGGTTGAGAGGCTAAGAGAAGTTTCAGGTTGCCCCAGTACACTTGAGATACTGCCCTTTCTCTGTGCTTCCTCAACCCTCAAATATATGGACGGTTATTCTGTGAGATTTCACCACCGTCTCACTTACTTGCCAGTGGTTCCGCCAATCTCCCGAAATGCTTTTCAACATGTGATTTCTTAGTTTAACAGGTAGTATGAAAGAAAATATCTCCATGATCAAACAAGCTAGGAAAACACTGGATTAAACACAACAACATTCTTTTTTTCTAGTGACCTTCTCATGTATTTTTTTCTGTATTAAAAAAATAATTTCAACTTTTAGATTCAGAGAGTACATGTGCAGGTTTGTTATAAAGAGTATATTGCATGATGCTGACGTTTGGGCTTCTATGGATCTCATCACTGAGATAGTGAACAAAGTCCCCTATAGGTAGTTTTTTAGCCTTTGTCTCTTCCCTCCCTTCCTCCCTCCTTTTAGAGTCCGCAGTGTCTGTTTCTCCCATCTTTATGTCCATGTGTACCCAACGCTTAGCTCCCGCTTGTAAGTGAGAACACACAGTATTTTTGTTTTCCTGTTTCTGCATTAATTCACTTAGGATAATGGCCTCCGGTTCCACCCACGTTGCTGCAAAAGACATAGATTTGTTTTTTTTTTTATATATAGTTGCATAGTATTCCATGATGATTATGTATCCCATTTTCTTTATCCAATTCACCATTGATGGGCATCTAGGTTGATTCCATGTCTTTGCTATTGTGAATACAGCTGTGATGAACTTGTCTTTTTGGTGGAAAGATTTAGTTTTCTTTGGATATATACCCAGTCATGGGATTGCTGGGTCAAGTGGTAGCTCTGTTTTAAGTTCTTTGAGAAACCTCCAAAGTGCTTTCTGCAGTGGCCGAACTAATTCACATTTCCACCAACAGTATCACCAACACCTGTTATTTTCTGACTTTTAATAATGGCCATTCTGACTGGTGTTAGACGGTATCTTATTGGGGTTTTGATTTGCATTTCTCTGATGGTTAGTGATGCTGAGCATTTTTTCTTACGTTTTTTGGCCACTTGTATGTCTTCTTTTGAAAGTGTCTGTTCATGTCCTTTGCCTGTGTTTAAAATGGGGTTGTTTTATGCTTGTTGAATTGTTTATTAACTTCTCATGTATTTATTAAGTTACTGTGTATTATAAATTCCCAGGCAAAGAAAGTATTGCTATGGTGTTTCCCAAATTCATGTGGCCACAGAATTATTTTTTCCTGGTGCAACTCATTGGCATAATGCTGCGAGAAGCAAATCTAAAGATCACTGGTCCTCTAAGCTGCTCTCATTCTGTCCACATACAGACTCTTAACAGCCAAGCCCAACAGTGTAATTTCCCTCTTCGTTCTTTTTACTACGCGCACAGGCCAGGGAGCTGATTGCCTGCATCTGAATCCCATTGCACTGGGTGAGCTTGAAGAACTAACTTAGTCTTTTGGGATTTCAGGTTCCTTGACTGGAAAATAGAGGCCAAGATGAAACATTACGTCATTGTGTTGCTACAAGGTGATGCCAGGAAAGAGCTTAGAAACCTACCTGGCACATACTAAGCTCAAATCTATTTTAGCTACTCTCAGACTTACTGCACCCTTTCCTCTTGAAATCCTTACTCCCTTGGCTTCCTTGAGATGTTTCTGTCCTGGCAACTCTTCTTTGTCAGTTTTCTATTACGTCTTCTTCCTCCCTTCAATATTCAGTTCATAGCTCCACCCCTGCTATTTTTACATTGTCCTCAGATGAACAACACAGTAAACATCAATTATCAGCTATTCCTTGTTGTCTCCTAAACATCCACCTTCACCTTTAGGCCTATATTTTAAACTGCCTGATGGATCCTTTCAAAACCGAACTCAGACCCTCCCCGCTGCTCTCCTGGGCCCATCTGCATCCGCGGCTTCTCCTGTGTTCTGAATGTCAGTCATCACACCATTGCCTATTCTATTTTCCACCGCCAAATCGCACTTCCTTTATGCTAACTCATCTCCTTGCCTCAAGTTTTGCTGTCTTCTAATCCTTTATTTACAATGCTGGCTACAAATATCTTCATGTTACTCTCTTGCATAAATCTATGTAGTTATTTCAGGAGGTCGTGTGAACTCTTTACTATTGCTTACAAGCCCTTTCTTTGGCTGGCTTCTGTCTCAGGCTGCTGTGTCATCCTTTCTACATTGTGGGGTCTTAGCTTGGCCTGGGGCTCCATTTCCCATCTTCCTCTGCAGATAGGTGCCTCAAAAGCCTGGGTTCTGATTAATGGGGTGACAGAAGAAGTGATGTGTGCCATCCCCAAGGCTCGCCGTTACAATGACTGGGCCTTTGCTCACTGGTCTCCTTCTTGCATCTTTCTGGCTGGAAATGACAAGAACTGCATCAGCTGTTTTGGGCCAAGGGAGATGGAAACTCACATGTCAAGGATGGCAGAGCCTCCTCAAATGCACCATCATCCCGGTCTGCTCATGTCTGTTACAGTAGGGACAAAGAGGCTTCTAGCATATTTAAACCCTTTGTTTTGTGGTATTTTGGTTATTAAAGGGTGGACACTCCTCTGACTAATCTGTCCCTAATAGTTGCTATCTTATTCCTTCACCTCAGCTCTGATAAGCTTACTTTCAGTTCCTCAAAACACCATGTACTTTATCGCTTCTGGACTTTGCATATTTTGTTTCTTCTTTTTGGTGTGCATTTTCCCTTTTGTTCTTCTCCCTTTACCTGAAACTCCATTATACCCTTCAGGTCTTAATGGGATAACACCGCCCCTGGGAAGTCCTCAGGGACTGTCACCCTCCATTCCAAACTATGAAAGGGGCCTCTGCCATACATGCTCAAACCACATGGCAGGTGGCCATAGCACTGACCCAAGAGTATTTTAATTATGTAATCAATGATCCCCAGAGGTGGGTGGTAGGCTATGTGAACAGGCATGCTCTCTCTTGCTCACAGTTGTTTCCCCCATTGCCTTGCATGATGTCTGGTGCATAATAGATCCTCAGTACAGCTTTGTTGTGTCAGAGTCAATTCAAATGCAGCATGACCAAAACCCTGCTAATGATCTTCTCTCCTTAGCCTCCGACTCTTTTCTCTCCTGCAATTCATGTCTTCATTAATGGCACTATCATCTCTCTAGTGAGCCCAGAAGAAAATTGAGCATCCTCACTCCTTACTAACTTCCTTTTCCACTCTTCTCACGCTCCTTGGACACCATGTTATTTTTAAGGTCCCTCTGAAACGACTCCTAAATTATCTTGACTTTTGATTCTCACTGGCAGCTTCCTTCTCTTATTTGGATGATTCCAGAAGTTGATTTGCAATAGCTCGTCCCATGATTGGCCTTCCTGGGTTCCAGGGCTTCCTCCCAAAATGAACACAGTCGATTACTCTCATCTCTTTAAAAGTCTTTAACAGCTTGATTGCAAATGCCTGAAAATGGCCAGTCAGCTAGTTGTCTGTCTATCTCTAAACCTGGTCTCACTTTATGTTTCTACATTCACCTCTTTCCTCTTCTTGATCTAGGCCAGTAGTTTTTCTCATGTTGGATGGAAGGGGCCTGTTAACAATGGAGACTGCTGAGCCCCAACTACTCAGAGTCTGGGTGAGGCCGAGGAATCTGCATTTGTAACAAAGATGGGTGAGTGATCTGAGGACCACTTCTTTTTTTTTTTTTTTTTTTTGAGATGGAGTTTCACTCTTATTGCCTGGGCTGGAGTGCAGTGGCGCGATCTCGGCTCACTGCAACCTCTGCCTCCTGGGTTCAAGTGGTTCTCCTGCCTCAGCCTCCCGAGTAGCTGGGATTACAGGCACCCGCCACCATGCCCAGCTAATTTTTGTATTTTTGGTAGAGACGGGGTTTCACCATGTTGGCCAGGCTGGTCTTGAACTCCTGACCTCAGGTGATCCACCCTCATCGGCCTCCCAAAGTGCTGGGATTATAGGCGAAGGACCACTCTTTGAGAAGAATTGGTTTAGCCGAAATGAACTTGTCGATGTAGCCCAAATAAATACATCATGCCATTTTACACCAGAGAGCACATATCCTTTTCACATCCTGGAATATTCTTTTCCTCCAATTAAGCTCGAATGTCTCAAAACTCTGTGGCATTTTTCTTGTTCCATCAGAGTTCTTAATGAGGCCAAATCACTGAAGCCTGAAATGGTGGGGCCCACGAGTTTGGACTTCTTTTTTTTTTTTTTTTTTCCTGAAGGCAGTAGAGAATCAGAGGAAGGTTTATCGCATAGAATTGACATGATTGAGCTTTATTTTAGGACTATTATTTGGGGAGTAGTATGTAAGAAAAATTGAGGGAGAAAAAGACTAGCTAGACTTATATTAGTCCTGGAAAGAGATTGAAAGAGGGTGGCAGTGAGGATGTAAGGGAGGTGTAAGGAGGAGTAAAAGATGCTACTCAGTTTGCCAGCCTGACTGGCTGGGAATATGATGGCACCAACCAAAGAAGGACAGGCATTGAGACCACAGTACCAATGATGAAAACACTAGACTGTGAGAACGCATGGACACAGGGAAGGGAACATCACACACCGGGGTCTGTTGCTGGGTCGGGGGAAAGGGGAGGGAGAGCATTAGGGCAATTACCTAATATATGTGGGGCTTAAAACCTAGATTATGGGGGAATAGGTGCAGCAAACCACCATGGCACATGTATACCTATATAACAAACCTGCACGTTCTGCACCTGTATCCCATAATTTAAAAAAAAAAAAAAAAAAGCTGGTCTTATGGCTCATGCACGCCTGTAATCCTAACACTTTGGGAGGCCAAGGCGGGCAGATCACGAGGTCAAGAGATCAAGAGCATCCTGGCCAACACGGTAAAACCCCGTCTCTACTAAAAATACAAAAATTAGCCGGGTGTGGTGGTGGGTGCCTGTAGTTCCAGCTACTGAGGCAGGAGAATCGCTTGAACCCGGGAGGTGGAAGTTGCAGTGAGCCGAGATGGCGGCATTGCACTCCGGCCTGGGCGACAGAGTGAGACTCCATCTCGAAAACAAACAAACAAACAAACAAACAAACAAAACAAAACAATGGATTGGACCAGTGACTTCTCAAGAGTGGTTTCCAGACCAGAAGCATCAGCAGCTCCTTCTACCTTGTTAGAAACGCAGATTCTTCGATCCTGCCCCAGACCTACTGAATCAGAAAAGTCTGGAATTGGGGCCTAGCAATCTGTGTTGTAAGGAGCTCTTCAGATGACACTGAATAGTGCGGAAGCCTGAGAGTCCCTGGCCTAGACTGAATGTGCCATGCAGCAGGGTCCTGGTCAGCCCTGCCGATCGCTGCATTCCCAGTGTTTGGAGTGGTGCCTGGCATGGAGTAGGCTCCGGGTAAATAACTCCAGAGTGAACAAGTGTTATAATGTCAGCTGCCGATTTTTTGAGACAAAATTACATATTGTGCTGTATGCTAAATCATTTCATGTATTGAAAGAATTGCTATTTCCAACAATCCAATGAAGTAAGATCTTTTAAAAAAATTTCACAAAAGAGAAGAATTTTAGAGAGGTTAAAGATCTTGGCAAAGGTCACAGCAGTTCGTGTGTGAAGATTCGGTGTAAATGCAAATCTTCAGACTTTAGAAACTGAGCAATTAGTCATTACATGTGTTTGTTTTGGGGGTGGAAAGGAATGAGTTCACTTTTGAAAACATTGATTACTATTATTATTATTTAAGGTTAGCGGAACAGAAAGTATTGTTGTTTGCTTTTGTACTTTAAGTTTTGGAAGTTTCTAGATGTTTCTAGATGAAGGGGAAACAGCCAAAACCATAGAAATCACTGGACACAGTCAGGATGCATGAGAAAGAGGAGGAAATTCCTGACAATGCTGGAAAGGTGCAGTCCAACGTGGGATTAATGCTGTTTCAGTCAACATGGCATACTTCCTATATGGCAAAACATTATGCTGATAATGAGAATACAAATGTAAGATGAAGAGCATTTTGGAGGGGACAGTGAAGAAACATGGCATCAGTGGCATTATTTGGTCTTTGTCTTGATTAAGAAGGAGACACACAGACTTTCGTAGAGAGTGTAGGCGAGGAGGAAGAGAGTTTGTAGATGAAAGGAGTCAAAATGTTTGGAATAGCCTGTATATCTTATTGTGCCCTTACTGACTTCTGCAAAGTGCAACATTGCGATTGGTCCAATAATGATGACTTTGGAAACCCTCTTCTTTGAAGAAATATCAGAATGAATTATGGGCTGCCTTCAACCATGTCCCATGGAAGACTACAACAGCCTGAGTGGATTTTTTTTTTTTTTTTTTTTTTTACCCCAAAGTGCTTTGTGATTTGCCAAAAGGGAAAAGAAATGGGATTGAAAGAAGAGAAACAATTTGACAGAACAACGAAATGCATGCTAAATAATGATTTTACATTAGATGTTATAAGCTATTGTGATGCACAAGTATGAGATGCACATGTAAAAGGCAAATTGAAAGCTAATATCTTTATAGTATAGTAACTACAAAAATATTTGGTGTGAAAACCTTAATGTGTCCTGGGTTCATTTGTACAAGAGTCAATTTTTGTCCATTGAAGTGCAATCAATACAGTCAGATCAGTCTTATTTGAACGGATGTTTTATCTGAAATAGGTATTGGAATTATTCTGTAATATGGTATTGAAGAACAGGCCCAAATATCACATTAGACACAACACCAGCATAATCCCATTAGTTTTAAAATTCAAGAAGTTCAGCGTTCCTTGGTGTTAGATGTAACGCATCTTGTTTTTTCTGTCTACTCACACCTACTGATAGAGTTCTCTATGCCTAGTATAGGTTACAAAAATGTTGATATCAGGTTGGAATTTTTTTTTTTTTTTGAGACCAAGTCTCACTGTTGTCACCCAGGCTGGAGTGCAGTGGCGTGATCTCAGCTCACTGCAACCTCAGCCTCCTGGGTTCAAGTGATTCTCTTGCCTCAGCTTCCCATGTAGCTGAGATTACAGGCACATGCCACCATGTCCAGGTAAATTTTGTACTATTAGTAGAGACAGGGTTTTAGGCCAGTCTCGATCTCCTGACCTCAGGTGATCCATCTGCCTTGGCCTCTCAAAGTGTTGGGATTACAGGTGTGAGCCACCGTGCCGGCCATCAGGTTGGAATTATACACTGCTGCTTTTTATTACATGGGATTATAGTTTAAAATGACATGCCTATTTAGGCTGGTTTTGGAAAACTTAATTTATATTAATTTCCATTTCCATTTTCATATCCATGCAGCTTTTGTAATTGTTAAATTAGTACCATCAATAGACGTTGTAAAGTTTATGCTGTACTCATCAACCATAGGTTAAATTTTTCTTTCACTTTGATGCTTTTTATTCCCAAAATTTCAGTAACCTTTCTGGCATTATGGACAGGAAGACACACATCATGCTTGATAGAAGGCCGGAGAAATCACCTAACAAGTAAGAAGCCCCAAATGGCAAAGAAGAGCTGAAATAGCTGAACACTTAGGACTTTACTTGTGAAACAATCCATTACCTTTTTGAATGCTTGTAAAACATACATTTTAATTCGAACAGGACTCAAAGGGAAGATAAAGAAAACAACTGTTCTTTCACTTTCCAAATACTCTGTAACATTTTGTTTTAAAAATAGGAATGAGGCATTTGCTCTTGAACAGCATTAAATGTGCTGGTATTTTTTTCTAAAATGTCTCTTACACCTCATTCTACTGCTGTAGCTCTTCTAGAAAGTTCTAGATTCCTGTTATTCAATTAATTGTATGAAATGACATCTGGGGTTTGCAAGCTTCTTTGAGTCACTGCATATTTTCCTGTGCATGTTAAGCCAGAATTATCTAAGTACTCCTAATAGGGATCTGCAGAATTACAGGTGACAAGGAAACAAAGTGATTGTAGCCATGACAACTAAGATAGGAAGAAAGAGAAGCGGATGATGAACACCCCGTCTCCAAATGATAAGGTTGAGGGTGAAGAGTGTTCCTAAGTACAAGCTTCTAGGCAAGTGGAAAAGGTCTAACAAGCCCTACATGACCCCCATGTAGCAGACAAGTGTATTAATTGACAATGCACATGGTATGTGTCTGTATACTGGCTTTCTACATGCTTTGTTTATGCTCTGTCCTTTAATTTGTGTTCTGAACACCCCAATCTGAAACAGAAGTCTAAGAAATTCTAGTGAGTAGGATTACAAAGGCAAGTTTGCTGACTCATGTAGGTCTTGGGTGTAACTGTTAGTAAATCCGTTTCAGAAAATGCAGTATCCTGGGAATTTAAGAACAGCCAGAGTGATACGCCAGTTTGAGGCTATTATGCATAATCTTTGAGTGACAGGTGTTCCTTTCCTACTATCAAACCTTCTCAGATTCTTATAATCAGAAGCACATATGCTCTGAAAAACCATACCTGACTTGTCTAATGAGTGACTTCCTCAAAACAAAGTTTGTCTCTGCTGTCAAAATTCCTCAGCCAGTGATAATCACTCCTACCAGAACTCCATCAATTTCAGCTACCGCTTCCTTCCGGGTACAACTTTTTAAGGACCCACAATCCACTCCTGATCCAAGTTGACTGGAATGACACATTATCTCTGTACCACGACAGCTCTACTTCACAGAGACTGTAGACAATATTGTTATAAAATATCACCCCGTTTCTGCACTGTCAAACATTATTTATCCCCAGGTGATGGAAAATGAATGAAATTTTCCAAGTGGTACCGAAATACATTTTTCACGATCAACTAAACTTGTGCTAGTTTAAAACAAACAAATCACGGATTCTCTTAGGTCTTTCCCTTCCTTTTATAAGTCAAAACACACGAACACATCCCTTCCATTTGGGTTCCCATAATGACACCCAACTGTCCCACACTCTTCATTAGCAGTTCCTGAAGGATTTTTTCTAGCTTCTTTTAGCCAAGAAACCAAGAACTACAAATATCGATACAAATTTGTCAACACATAAGGCCTAATGGCATGTAATACTGCCAGTCTAGGCCGATACAGAAATAGTCATTTAGAAGACAACTCAGAGAAAAAAGAAAGAAGCCTTCATCAAATATGACTTATTGCTTTTTCCCACCTGATCCCATTTATATGCCTCATACCGGTATTGATGGACGGGTGAGAGAGAATGGCTGTAGGCCTCACATTACTCATTGTAATCACCAGCCTCAATCACTGACGGAAAAGAGGCTCCGCTCTGGCAATAGGGAGCCAATGAAAACTATTTTCATGCAGCAGTTAACCATTTATTCAGATACTCAGCCTGATGCATTTTCAAAGATTGGAAAATTCCTTCTCTGCTAGAAATGGAGGTGGGGGCAGGTAAAAATGATACTTAAATGCAGAGGCCTTGCCTTGCCCACAGTAACCACAAGAATACTGCCCCGAATGATAATGATAATAATAATAACAATATTTTTTGAAGTGCACCTGCACCAGCTCTGCGAGAAAGGCTGACAAATGAAGGAGGACATATTTTAAGGAATGGCAGTAGAGTTTCTCAGTTGTTTATAATCACCGCATTGTCCTTGATTACGGCCTCTCAGCTTGTCCATGTTCATGCACAAAACTCCAAGGCCTGGAATGTTGCAGGATCTAGATTTCCATCTGATGGGTGGTCTTGGCTCAGGCATCTTTGCTGGTAACACACCCAGAGGTTATTTGGGATGGGCACCACATACTGCAATTATTAATCATTAGAAGGACACAGGTTTAGAATTAATTCTCTTGGGTGGCTAGTACAGGATATACCTTAACAACTGAATGCTCCCTAGTCAGAGAGA